>NC_000007.14:97052233-97355263 GCF_000001405.40 Homo sapiens | reverse complement strand
CTGAGTATAATAAATGAAACAAATTCACACTAGATGCATGAAATGCCAAAGATAAAAGAAGATCTTAAAAGTTAGGTGAGAAAAAAAATACCTACAAGAAAAATGACAATTAGGCATACAATTCACTTCTCAACAGCCACAACAGATGCCCAAAGACTATAGAACAAGATCTTAAGAAAGATGAGAGAAAATAATTACCAACCTTGAATTGTACAGTCAGACTCCAAATTACTTGATGTAATTGCAGTTATCAAAAAGGATAAGAGTAGAGGAGAGAGAAAAAAGGAAAGAAGTGAGAGGAAGGAAGGAAAAAGAGGAATAAATGGGAAGAAAAGAATAAGAGGAGAGAGAAAGGACAGCCCTATCTTTTTTGTTGGAGAAGCTTGAAGAGGTAAGTCTGAAAGTTGTCAGTGGCCATTCCTGAAATGTATTAGATAAGTACTATTTGCAATGAAGTCTTCAGTCTCTTTATTCCTGAAGCCAGTCCCACTTCTGCCTTCCCTATAGTTTAGTCAAAGGTCTCAGTTAATGCCTAAACAAGTTCAAGATGGTTTCCTGACCCTTGCAACTAAAAGAGATTTGACATACTTTGTAGACCTTTATGGACTAGGAATTATTCACATAGGAATAGCAAAGATGCTCGCTAGGTACCCTAGCTATCAAATACTGCTATCACATGTCAGAATTTGACTTGAAGAAGGTGATATCCTTTGAGATTTGTTTACAGCAGATTTTAAATCTTAGGATGGCTTTCTTTTACTCTTCAGCACATTGACATGTAAGCTACTTCGTCTTTAAATATATAAGAATTTATGGATTGTGACCTTTTAGAGACAGAAAGCACCGGAAACCAAAACCTCATCATTTATTCAGAACAAAAACAATTGAATTATTTGTCTAAGGGAGATGGATATTTGTCTTAAATGCTGACATTAAGAGTAATGCAATTAAAAGGAAAGTAGCTTCCATCCGGTACAGATTGTGACAAATACTGTCTGGCTAAACCAAAGGAGATAAATAGTACACCGTGATGAGGAAAACAAAGTCTAAAATGTAAACATTTTGAGATGTTTATTCTGCAAATTAAGAGCAAACATTTTTTGAAAGGTAACATGAGGTCAGATAACAGTTTTATTCAGTGAGAGAAAAGCCTTATGGCAGACTACCAAATTTGTCAGGTTTCCAAATCCAGCTATTATCTGTGCCGGCATTTTGCTCACAAACCCCTCAGGTCCCATATGGCTTGAATGAGAGCCTTTGCTTTGCTGTAGACCTTGTTAAGTAGTGTTAGAGGTAGTCCCACTTTGGGACTCCACAAAGCCTCAAGTTCTCATCTCATCCAAGTTCCTACTAGGTAAGTTTAATAAAGTATCATTTGCCATTCCTCTGAGAAAGCAAAGGGCTGCAGCTCTCCAATGCTCAGCACAAGGCTGTGCTGCTTTCACCACCTCCACTAACTTTCAGTCCTTTTCCCGTAAGTGTGTGTGGTTCTCCCCCATTACCTCCAATTTGAGAATATTTCTGTTATTTGAGAAGAAAAATCACTTTTATCTCTTTATGTACCGTAGCTCATCTGTCATAACTTCAGGCACGATAAACTTTTCTTCCAAACAAATGGAACTGTTAACTTTATAAATGTTACAAAAGTACAAGGAAATTCCAGGTTTCCTTCCTAGAACTCTTCAAAATCCTCCATTAAATAACTGCAAGTCAGGACATCTTTTTATTCAGTCTGTCAACGTCCATCCACAATTCCCAGGTTGGCTAGCATTACAAATGCTTCAGTCAGTGTTTGTTTAAAGTTCTTGATATACCCAATCTCACGTGACTGTTTACTCACTAACGTTACTTAGCAAGCCTTTTTATTGACCAACTGAAGAAAATTCCACTATCTCTCTCTTATGGACACAGTAGAATTTTGATAATATTCCTGCCTAAGGGCAAGCATGTTTCACCTAAGTCATTCATAGTATAGACGGAGTGCATGCACGCGCACATGTATGTGTATGTGTGTGTTGGAACTGGGGATTCATATTTGATATTTACCTTAAGTTGGATACTAGCTATGTTTCATGCTCAAAGAAAATAAAATCACATTCTTCTCTGTTCCTCACTACTCACTACACCCAATTTGCATCAACTGTCAAAGAATTACAAGATTGAAGATTCATTATACTGTATTGTACCTGAGAGTCCCAGAGATAAGATGTATTTTGATCTAAACAGCAGCCTTCCATATTATGAAACCCAGCTCCAGGAGGAGAGTCAGCCCTAGACCTTGAGAGGAAGTTTGTAGAAATATTGATATGGTGAACAATGATTCCAGCTTGACTTCTACTTAATATTCAGGATAGATTAAAATGACCTTGTAAATCAGGCAGCAAGTATGTATTAAGCGATTACAGGAACTGGCATTGCACCCACCTCTGTTATCTGAAAATCTGACACATCATGGAAAGCTCTTCTTGGTTATCAAAACTTTGATGGGAGGGAGGATTAACTCATAAAAACAGTACACACATTGCCAGAACACCCAGGAAAGCACTTACGTCTCCAGAAGACACACAAATGGTCCTGGATTTTACTCTAAAGAACCCCAGAATTCTCTAGCCATCTACCTGTTCCAAAGTGCTTAGCAAATTGCAGAAAAGGTCTTCTTTTTTTCTTTTTTTTTTTTTTTGAGACGGAGTCTCACTCTTTCGCCCAGGCCGGACTGCAGTGGCACGATCTCGGCTCACTGCAAGCTCCGCCTCCCAGGTTGACGCCATTCTCCTGCCTCAGCCTCCCAAGTAGCTGGGCCTACAGGCAGCTGCCACCGCGCCTGGCTAATTTTTTGTATTTTTTTAGTAGAGACGGGGTTTCACCGTGTTAGCCAAGATGGTCTTGATCTCCTGACCTCGTGATCCACCCGCGTCAGCCTCCCAAAGTGCTGGGATTACAGGTGTGAGCCACCGCGCCCGGCCAAGAAAAGGTCTTCTTTAAACTTCTCAGTTTTAACTCCAGCCTGGGAGGCCAAAGGCCACGTGGTACACCACCTTCCACCCTTCCAAAGATTCTGGGTTCCAAAATCAGTGCTTAACAGAGCTTGTCATGGGCGCAAGAGTGAAGTAAGCAATGATAATCTTTGATGTTTTTCCTTATTTTATTCACCAACAACTTCCCAGGCCTGTCCTACCTCTTATCTGCTTTGCATTCCATCCCTTTTCCTTAGAGAACTAACTAAATCTCTCTATAAAGAAATGAACAATCTATGCTAATGTGTTCATTTCGATTGTGAACATACACGGAAAGTTAAGATTTCTGGTATCATTTCTGTAAGTATAAAATAATGAAAAAAGAGAGACACAAATTTAGAGTCAGAGAAACCTGAGTTCAGATTCATTGTCTACACTCTGTATTTGAATGATCTTAGGCAAGATATCTACTTTATCTGAGCCTCCCTCTCTTTTCCTGTAAAATAATGAATAACATCATTCTATCTCATTTCAGACAATTTTTTTAACTTTTTATTTTGAGATCATTGAAGATTTGCATGAAGATGTAACATACAATACAGAGGAATTCTATGTAGCCTCTATTCTGTTTTCCCCCAATGGCAATATCTTGAAAAATTATAGAATAATGTCGCAACCAGGAAATTGGCATTGATGTAATTTACCAACCTTATTCAGATTTCAGCCATTTTTATTCATCTGTGTGTCTGTATGTCCATTTAATGTTTTTTCTTTTTTTTTTATTTGAGTCAAAGTTTCACTCTTATTGCCCAGGCTGGAGTGCAATGGCATGATCTTGGCTTACTGCAACCTCCGCCTCCCGAGTTCAAGTGATTCTCCTGCCTCAGCCTCCCGAATAGCTGGGATTACAGGCATGTGCCACCACGCCCATCTACTGTTTGTATTTTTAGTAGAGACGGGGTTTCTCCATGTTGCTCAGGCTGATCTAGAACTCCCAACCTCAGGTGATTCTCCACCTGTGCCTCCCAAAGTGCTAGGATTACAGGTGTGAGCCACCATGCCCAGCCTGTATGTGTATTTAATTTTATACAATTTTATCCCATATGTAGATCTATGTGACTACCACCACAGTCAAAATACATAACAAGTCCATTATAACGATCCTTCATTCTACTTTTATAGGCACCCCTACCTACCTCCCATCCTCTCCCTGCCAACCACAAACCTATTTTCCATCTCTAAAAGTTTGCCACTACAAGAATGCTGTATAAATGAAACTTTACAGTATATAATTTTTTGGTATTGACTATTTTCACTCAGCATAATTCCCTTGAGATCTATCCAACTTGTTTCATGTATCAATAGTTGCTTTTTATTACAACAAAGGTTGGGGACTGCTGCTGTAGTACATCTATGGTAATGCATGCCCATGTAAAATTGCATACATATACCATATGTACATCTATGCCATAGATGTACTACAGCAGCAGTCCCCAACCTTTTTGGCACCAGGTACCAGTTTCATGGAAGACAGTATTTCTACAGACAAGGTGAGGGGTATGGTTTGGGGATGAAAATGTTCCACCTCAGATCTTCAGCCATTAGAGTCTCATAAGGAGCACACAACCGTCATCCCTTGCATGTACAGTTCACAATAGGGTTTGCACTCCTCTGAGAATTTGATGCCGCTGCTGATCTGATAGGAAGCGGAGCTCAGGTGGTAATGCTTGCTTGCCTGCAACCTCCATCCCTTGTGTGTACAGTTTACAATAGGATTTGCACTCCTCTGAGAATCTAATGCTGCTGCTGATCTGATAGGAAGCGGAGCTCAGGTGCTAATGCTTTCTTACCCATGCCTCACTTCCTGCTGTGCTACCCAGTTCCTAACAGAACACTGACCAGTACCAGTCCACAGCCCAGGGGTTGGGGACCCATGTACTACAGATTATTTAATCATTTGCTCATTGAAGGAGCTGTTTCCAGTGTTTGGCTATTATGAATAAAGCTGCTGTCAACATTCACGGACAGGTTTTTGTGTGAATATTAGTTTTTATTTTTCTGAGATAAATAAATAGCAATTGCTGAATCATACGTTAAACATGTTTAGTTTTGAAAGAAACTGCCATACTGTTTTCCAGAATGGCTGTTCATTTTCCATTCCCCCTAACAATGTATGAGGCTCAAGTTTCTCCATATTCCCCAGAATTGGTATTATGACTATGTTTTTGTTTTAGTGTTCTGAAAATTGTATAATATTTCTTTGTGGTTTTAATTTGCATTTTCCTAATGAAAATGATATTGAACAGCTTTTCATGTGCTCATTTGTATATCCTGTTGTGAAACGTCTCTTCGTGTTTTCTGCCCATTTCTAATTGGATTGTTTGGATGTCTTACTGTAAAGTATTGAGAGTCCTTTATATATTCTTGATATTAGTCCTTTGCTGAATATGTGGTTTGAAAATATTTTTGCCAGTCTATAACTTGTCTTTTCATTATCTTCACAAGATCTTTAGCAGAGCAAAAGTTTTGAATTTTGAAGAGGCCTAATCTAGCAATTTTCCTTTTTTGGATTTTGCTTTGGATGTGAAGGCTAAAAACTTTTCCCCTAGGCCAGGCGCGGTGGTTCGCACCTGTAATTCTAGCACTTTGGGAGGCCGAGGCAGGCAGATCACTTGAGGTCAGCAGTTTGAAACCTGCCTGGCCAACATGGTGAAACCCCGTCTCTACTAAAAATACAAAAAATTAGTCCAGCATGGCGTGCACCTATAATCCCAGCTACTCGGGTGGCTGAGGCAGGAAAATCGCTTGAACCAGGGAGGCGGAGGTTGCAGTGAGCTGAGATCGCACAACTGCACTCCAGCCTGGGCGACAGAGCAAGACTCTGTCTCAAAAAACAAACAAACAAACAAAACCAAAAAAACAACTTTTCCCCTAGCCCTAGATCCTAAAGATTTTCTTCCATATCATAAGAGTATCTTTTTAAACAAAAAAGAGCTGCCCATGTGTGTTATCAATCTTCTCAGCAGCTTCTTTTTGTCAGTGTTGTTCTATCCTTTTTAGATGCTCTCTGAGGCAAAACTTAGTTTTTAAAGAAAACTCTAAACCAGTTCCACTTTGGTCTAGGGGATTGTTAAAGCCAGAAGAAAACAGCCTGTGTTCTAAAGACACAAACTATGAAGGTAATGTGCTGGTATTTTAAGTAGATCTATCAAATGTTTATTGAGTGCCTGCTATGTATGAGTTAGCCAATTTCTAGAACTTAGGGAAATGAAGATAAATAAGGTCAGGTCCCTGCGTTACAGGAGCTCAACATCAAACCAAGAAACTGGTGCCAGAACAGCACAGAAACTCACGCATATAGAACTTAACCACAAAATGACTATTTCCTCAAATTCAACAAACATTTATTGGGCACTGTGTACTAGACATTATATCTGAGAATACGAAGATTAACCCTACTGAGGCCCTGGCAGGAGAAGCTTCTTTTCAAGGGAAGAGATAGAGCTGTAAATAATATCCACAATATAAGGAAACGATGGTGTAGTAGAAAAAGCAAAGAGTTGGAAAAATCCCAGTTCTGACACCTACTACTTGTGTGAAGGTTGTTTAATATCTTTGAGCCTGAGAGTTATCCCTTATACAATGGAGATGCTAATACATAATTTACAGCTTTGTAATGAAAATTCAGCTAGAATATATGTAGATAGTCTTTCATCTAAATAAAGTCAACGAGATTTGGTGATTGATGGGATAGATTTGGGGTGGTGGAAAGAATGCAGTGCAGGGTGGTTCCCGGGTTTCTGGTCTCTGACAGCACAACTGATTTGCTGTTGTCCTTGTACATTGTCTGGGGGTTTATCCTAGGTTTTAGTTGTAGTGGAGCCACCAACAGCCAACATACATACAGACTAGAAGAACAACTCTAGTGGTTTTGTTCAGAGGCATAGGCAGATGTGGTCAGGGGTGGGGGAGAAATTAGAAGAAGGCCTAGAAGATGAAGACAGTGGTGCCTGTGTAGCCTCCAGGGAAGATGCTCAACAGATAGCTGAAAAAAAAAATCTGAACTTAACGTAAAAGTTTAGCCTGGAAATAGTCATTAGCATATAGTCATCCATCTTGATGACATCAACTACGATATTCTAGAATACCATCTATCTACATAAGAAGGCAGCTGGATATTTCAGAATTTTTCCAGTCCAGCCAGGCACAGTGGCTCACACCTGTAATCCCAGCACTTTGGGAGGCCAAGGCGGGCGGATCACCTGAGGTCAGGAGTTCGGGACCAGCCTGGCCAACATGGTGAAACCCCGTCTCTACTAAAAATACAAAAGTTAGCCAGGCATGGTGTCAGGTGCCTGCAATCCCAGCTACTCAGGAGGCTGAGGCAGGAGAATCACTTGAACCTGGGAGGCAGAGGTTACAGTGAGCAGAGAACGCACCATTGTACTCCAGCCTAGGGGACAAGAGTGAGACTTCATCTCAAAAAAAAAAAAAAAAGATTTTTCCAGTCCTTGGGACCTGATCACCCCAGGCTTCAGTCTGGACTTTTAAAAACACTTCTTTCTAATTCAGCCAAAATTTATCTTTGCCCTATTACAAGTCTTTTTTAGAAATGTAAAGGTCACACCTAAATATATGTACTGTACTCCATTTTAAAAATTTCCACTTATGGATCATGCTTTTCTGGACTTTATTCAGTACACTGCAACCTGTAGAGTTCCTTATATTTAGATGGCACACTTTAGTTTGCAAAACCCTTTCCTACACATCAAATCATCTGATTCTTACAAAAACTCTTCTAAATGCAGAAACTCAGGCTCAAATTGCTGACATGACTTGACTAAACTGACACAGCTAGCAAGTGGAAGATCTGGGAGTCAAGCTCACTTCTCCTGACTCCTAAGCCAGCACTTTTACCAACTGGTGGCTGGGTGAAGCCCAGGCCCAGCCTATCACACTAACTTGGCCTCCCAGAATCAAACTTGGTGCACTCTGATGGCTTCAATATTCTGAAAGGCTGGTGGAAACTCTACCTAAGTCATGAAGTGTTAGGGAAAATGGAAACCCCCTAAAATCTAGTTGAACATTAGGAATTAGGGTGAGATAAGCGACCAGCTCATGTTCCCAAAAAAGATGGCATGGTGGCCGGGCACGGTGGCTCACGCCTGTAAACCCAGAACTTTGGGAGGCCAAGGCGGGTGAATCACGAGGTCAGGAGATCGAAACCATCCTGGCTAACATGGTGAAAACCCGTCTCTACTAAAAATACAAAAAATTAGCCAGGCGTGGTGGCAGGCGCCTGTAGTCCCAGCTACTCGGGAGGCTGAGGCAGGAGAATGGCGTGAACCCAGGAGGTGGAGCTTGCAGTGAGCCAAGATCGTGCCACTGCACTCCAGCCTGGGTGACAGAGCGAGACTCCATCTCAAAAAAAACACAAAACAAAAAACGATGGCATGTCACTAAGAAATTCTTTTATTCCTTCATGATTTAGTTATGCATTTTGATCAATATTTTGTCTCACATATATGAGAAAAGCAATGCCTAAAACAGATTTGTGAACTGCCAAGAATATTCATTTTCATTCATTTGTCTCTCTTTTTACTAAAGGTCAGTTAATCAAAGAATGTGGTATCCATGATCAGTCTGAAATTATTAAAGACCTCAGAGATATGCAGCTGTGATCTCTGAACTGAAAAGCCCTCGCTTGTTCTCCAGGAACAATAACAACAACAAAAAGATGAGTCAGTTGACACTGTATACAGCTTCCATTGTCTTTGTAAAGAACAATTTATTATCTCTTGTCTCGGGTAGCTGTCATCTGCCTGGGGATTTGATGAATAGAGTATATAAAAGTGTGGGCATCAGTAAATTAGCCAGTGATTCAGACCTATTGGAAGGTCACATCTCATTTTTCATGCCTAGTTGAAAATCTGAAGTGTTAACAGTGTAGGATACCCCAAAACAGGCTTGCAGCCCTGAATACAAGTTACATTTTCATCAGTAATTTAATACTAAATTTATTATTTGATAATAAATATATTTAAAACTCAAAACCCTAGGTGTTTTAAGTTTTTTCTTACAAGCTGTATTACTTTACAAATATGGCGAAGTTTAACAGGATTTTAAGAGGTTTTTGATTAATGATTGGTCCCAATTATAAACTAATTTAATTAGATCCTTTAGATATTTTAACCTGCATTTATAAATGTAACATATTTGATTACCTTATAAAGGGTACTTCCATTCCCATCCTATGGCCATGCCCAGAGCAAGGAAATGTGGGAAATAACAGTCTCTACATAGGTGGCTATGTATCCAATTAAAACATGCAAGATTCTATTTTTAAAAGGAAAAGAGAAAAGATTGGGCACTGGAGGGGGTATTAGCAGTCTCTGTCATATCCATGTTCTTCTGAGGAGTTAGTCCAATAGCTTACCCCTCCCAGCCTTATTGTTTCCCAGCAGCCCCCTTAGAGTGCAGCGCTTTTTTTTTTTCCTTGAGACGGAGTCTCATTCTGTCGCCCAGGCTGAAGTGCAGTGGCGCGATCTCTGCTCACTGCAAGCTCCGCCTCCTGGGTTCACGCGATTCTCCTGCCTCAGCCTCCCGAGTAGCTGGGATTACAGGTGCCTGCCACCACGCCCGGCTAATTTTTTTATTTTTAGTAGAGACGGGGTTTCACTGTGTTAGCCAGTATGGTCTTGATGTCCTGACCTTGTGATCTGCCCGCCTCGGCCTCCCAAAGTTCTGGGATTACAGGTGTGAGCCACTGCGCCCGGCCCCACAGCGCTTCTTTTGTAATTACTGTGGCAGCTTTGACCACATAAATGTTCCACGTGTACTCAGAGTATGGCTCTGGCCTCAGTATAAATTCTCTAGGTGATTGCATCTTTCTCTTTCAATTGTTATCTACAGATTAGAACTCAAATGAAAATACTGCTACAATTCTGCCAGGTATACCAACTCAGTGCAATAGAATATGTCCATAGAAATTATCTCCAGTGCTAATCTCTGTATAAGGTCTTAAATGTGGAGGATTTTCACACTTGTCCTTTGATAATTCTCTGTACTCATAACCTTGGTTTTGGGCAGCTAAGAAGATGAAAATTAGAAAATCAACATAAGGTCAAAATTCAGCATTTAAAAAGCCAAACAAAACTCTTCATTAACGCATTTCTGATGAAGGATATTTCTACTTAGTATGGAAGAAAAGTGTACACAGATGATGGTTGAGTTTGGTTTGTAGCTATATATATATAATGAGTCAAATTTAAATCAAAATAATCAGCTTATTTTCTTAAAGGTCTTTGCCATTTTCTAAAAGATTACATTTTCAAACTACTGTTTAGCTTGAAAGGATTTTTTTCCCATCAACTTTGCTTGACATTTGATAAAGTTATTTCTTTTTGATAGTTTAATAAATCTTTAGTCTTTCCTGTATCAATAACTTGAGCTCAAATGTAGAAAGGAAAAGCAAGGATGATTGGGAAAGGAAAGACAGAATAACATAAGAACATAAGAGAAAAGAATAATAGAATAACCAAAGTTCCTCTCCTTTATCACAAATAAGTATTTGTTTTCATAATACACATCATTCATACTACTTTCCATTATCCCTACAAATTCCTGAATCCACCATGTGAAAAGTCATTATATTTCTTTTTTTTTTTTTTTGAGGCGGATCACTTTACCATTATGTAATGCCCATCTTTGTCTTTGTCTTTTTTTTTTTTTTTTTTTTTGAGATGGAGTCTTGCTCTGTCCCCCAGGCTGGAGTGCAGTGGTGGGATCTTGGCTCACTGCAAGCTCCGCCCCCTGGGGTCATGCCATTCTCCTGCCTCAGCCTCCTGAGTAGCTGGGGCTACAGGCGCCCACCACCACGCCCGGCTAATTTTTTTTCATTTTTAGTAGAGATGGGGTTTCACCATGTTAGCCAGGATGGTCTCCATCTCCTGACCTCGTGATTCGCCCACCTTGGCCTCCCAAAGTGTTGGGATTACAGGCGTGAGCCACCGTGCCGGGCCGAAAAGTCATTATATTTCAAACAAAAACCTCCTGTTGACATTGCATACGTATTTTTATTTTACATTATTTGCAAAGATTTTGCTACCATTATAGATTTTTAAATGTTATAATAATTAAAAATTCAAGTTTCTCTATTTAAAAAATCACTTATTTCTACATCAACCTAGAGGTAGAGAGTCACTATTTCTTATTCCTTATTTGCTTCCTTTCTGACTGATTGAGCATGAGCAGTTGGATCTGTTTCCTGAGTCCTTTTACTTGCTTTCAGGAGCTGTCTAGTTCATTTGTGTAGTAGCTCAGAAGGAGGAGAGCTAGTCAGTGCAAGGGAAGAGATGGATTCAGCTAAAACCACAGGTGTGCCTCAGGGAGTCTAGAAATTGCTCATGGCATTGTCTGTAGGAACATTCTGCAGTTTTCTGACGACAGGCTCCGAAAGTTTTTATTAGATTCTCAAAGGTATCTACAATCCAAAGTAGGTTTAAAACTATGGCCTCTGTTCCTTCTGTAAGTTGTCAAGGGCATAGTTGCACCTTTAAGAGAGTCGCCATATTCTAGGTCTTCTTCCTCCACCTGTGGGAGGCATGATGAAGTCTGGGAGAAACACGATAGGAGTGTTTGCTGTGGCTAGAAAGGGCTAGAGTGGCCATAGTAGTAAGAGTCAATGCAACCCAGAAGCGCCTGCCCATCTCATCCAGCGTGGGCTAACTTCATTTCTCCACTCAGCACTTCAGGTTCTCCTATTGTAAAGTATGTATTTGGGGCAGGTAAACACTACCTAGCCCTTATTTCATCTAATATGTATATTAGGTGGCAATTTACATATAGGAGTATACCGAACTGTTAGCTTCCTGAGGGCAGAAGCCATCTTTTCTCCTTCCTGGTCTCCTGCCATCTTGTAGAGCACCTGACATATAATGAATGTCCCATAAACGTTTATTGAATTGAATTAAGCGTTAAGAATTAGACATGTTTTATACTGTGTGTTTATCAGGTCACTTGAGATTTATATAAAATCGTGTTTCTTTGTTAAACAAGCAAAATTTCCCTTGGGCTTCAAGTACTGTACAAAAAACAAATTCAATTAAATCTAGCAGCAAAATTCTCTACAGACAAAAGAGCACATCTATATCCATTAGGAAATCCTTTCCACCTGACATAGGAATGAACCTCATACATACCAGCTCTCCCTTCAGTTCTTCTGTAAACCTGGATGTGTGAACATATCCAGAAAAAAAGTCTAACTCACAGAAAATGACCAGCCTTTGATCTGCTGAGATTTGAATCACAGAATATTTATATTCTTCTATTTATTATTATAGTTGATGTTTAACATGATTCATCAACCTAATCTTACATATTTAATTGGTTTCTGTTCTTGTAGCTTCTTTCCCCCTTAGAGTGCGAAGACTCTGAATAAATAAACTTAAAATTAAATATCCTAACCCTGAGTAATTGATAAGGAGAATGGAAACAGCAAACAGGTGAGCAAAAAAAAAAAAGAAAACAGAAGGAAATTAAAAGTGAAGGAAGTATATGTAGTCCAAGCGCTTTATCTTATCTCCTGGGGTTTTATTTCGTCTGTTTGATGTCATTGCAAATATTTGCTGAGTACCTAAGTTGGGCTCTGTGCCAGGCATAAGAAGCATGACAATGAAGAAGACAAGGATCTTGAACTCAGCCACTGGGGGACACAAACAAATCACTTTTTATAAAATAAGACAAAAGAAAATGAATTCTGAATAATTGCAAATAAGTGGGCATGCCCATGAAAGAATAATTCATTCAGACTAGAGACCTGGGAAAGTTTAACAAAGAAGGTATCTAAAGTAGTGAACTCTAATATTTCAGAAAAGAGGAAGTTTCTGGCACTTAGATCCAGAGACAAGAAACTCTGGGTCTAGTGTAACAAACTGACCTTGGCCTAGATAGAGAAGTAGTTGCTCCAATCCCTTTCCTGCTGTGAGTTTTGATGTTCACTACCTGCAATGTGACAGTGGAGGTGTGGGGGAGGGAGAGAAAAAGAAAGAAGGGAATTGCTAAGTGAAAGCAAAATAGTGGCTTGCAAAATAGTGACCTGCACATATTCAATTTAGAATAGGATTTATCAGGCCAGGTACGGTGGCTCAAGCTTGTAACCCCAGCACTTTGGGAGGGTGAGGTGGGCAGATTACCTAAGGTCAGGAGTTCAAGACGAGCCTGGCCAACATGGCGAAACCCTGTCTCTACTAAAAAGATACAAAAATTAGCCGGGCATGGTGGCGGGCGCCCGTAATCCCAGCTACTTGGAAGGCTGAGGCAGGGAGAATTGCTTGAACCCAGGAGGCAGAGCTTTCAGTGAGCTGAGACTGTCTCAAAAAAAAAGAAAAAGAATAGGATTTTTCTAACCCACCTTCAACCTCAGCATGTTAATTTTGTTCTGATGAAATCATATTTACACCAAGCAACTCAATCCCACTTGCCAACCATGTGAACACACACACACACACACACACACACACACACACACACACACAGACATACCTCTCTACCTTGGAGTTCATGTACTCATAACTTTGGCTTCTAAATATCTCAAGCATTAAGATTTAACTCCATGACTAACTACTAATAAGAACCATCCTCATGCCCTGCCCCACTAAATAACCCCACCCCAACTCTCTCTCTCCTAAAAACTGTCTAAAAACCCCTCTTCAAAACAGCCAAGAAAGATTCCTGCGTTCAGGCAATAGCCAAGGAACATTTTCAATGTTTAGTGAGTTAAGGTCTCAAAAAGAAGAAATGTAACTTTATTTAAAAATGCACGTGTAGTTTTTTATTTTTATTTAAAGGAAATGTTCACATTGCAATAGAAAAAAACCTAAATGTCTAAAAATGGGGAATAGTCAAATATTGATACCCACATATATTAAAATACTATGTGGCTGTTAAAAATTATTTAGAAAAACAAAGATGTTGGCAATATACAGTACATGATAAATTAAGTGAAAGAAGTAAATTATAAAACAAGATATAGAACATAATTGCATTATTTTTAAAGTATGTATATTAACAGAACAAAGATTGGAAAGATAAACATCTAAATAAGATGTGATGGGATTGCAGGTCAAGTGTGGTGGCTCACGCCTGTAATCCCAGCACTTTGGGAGGCCAATGCGGGCAGATCACGAGGGTCAGGAGATCGAGACCATCCTGGCTAATACAGTGAAGCCCCATCTCTACTAAAAATACAAAAAAAAAATCGCCGGGCATGGTGATGGGCACCTGTAGTCCCAGCTACTCGGGAGGCTGAGGCAGGAGAATGGTGTGAACCTGGGAGGTGGAGCTTGCAGTGAGCCGAGATCACGCCACTGCACTCCAGCCTGGGCGACAGAGCGAGACTCCATTTCACAAAAAAAAAAAAAAAAAAAAAAAAAAAAGATGTGATGGGAATGTGAATGATTTTTTATTTCCTTTATACTTTCCTGCATTTTCCAAATTTTTAAGCAAAAACACATATTACTTTTAAAGTAATTATAAAGGTCAAAATTGTTTAAACAACCCAGGAAAACTGTTTTTCCACTTCCTACTCAAATATACTGCTTTTGAATCTCACTTTTGACTCAAAATAAATGAGGTGGCTGTTGGTTCAGGTACAAGGAATCAAGTTACAAAATAATTTTCCCTTTCTTTAGGCAAAATCCATCATCCTGCAGATAATTCTCTATCTATCCCCCAGGGTGTCCTCTTTCCCTGCCTATCCTTATCTGCTGGTATGAGAGAGATAGAGACACCCCTCTCTGCCTCCAAAGAACTTATTACCATAGTTGGCCCTATCTATGCCCAAGTGCCCAATTTCTAGGCTTCCTTCATCTCAGATCCCACAGGGAACAGCCTCTTTTAGTTCAGAGACAAAGACGTGTCTTCAGGGTGAAAATACAAAACATAAAAGATACACAGAAGCCTCTGGGGGTTACATGTACCTCTTAGACGTAAACAGTTATTATGTAATGTGAAAAAATTCCCTTTGCTGGAAACTGCTTTTATTCCACCAAAGACTGAACACACAAGTGACAGAGTATGTGTGTGCCTTTGTTCTTGGTTGGTTCTGATCTAGAGGCTAAGGTTTATTTATTTTGTATTTTTATTATTATTATTATTATTTTGAGATGGAGTCTCGCTCTGTCGCTCAGGCTGGATTGTCCCAAAGCAAAATTCACGAAGAGGCTTCTCTGCTTTTTGCCTATCAAAAAGTAATTCCAGCAGAAATGGCTTGCTTTCCCCATAGGGCAGTTTGGATTGTATGTATGCCTATGACTAGTATCAGGTGCAGAAATATTTATTTGGGAGAGTTAAGTTTTCTTATATTGTTTCAGGATGATTTCCCTCCTGATTGTATTCAACTACCTTCTCTTGCTTTCCTCTTTCTAGGCACGTAGTCAGTGATCAATTTCTGCAAACTTCGTAAGAGGTAGCTCTTAAGAATAGACATTTTCCACAAAGTGCAGTCTTTGTTTACATGTTATGTGCTGTAGGCATAAGAGCATCTTAAGAAGATACTATATAAAACAAAAACATTTCCAGTTCTAATAGGAATAGATTCCTAATGGCAGCATTCTAGAGGCTATGAAAGTTGTTATGAAAGGAGTGTATTTTAAGCAAGGTCCTCCTGTATTCCCTTAAAACATTCCTTTCTGTAGACTTTCTCCAGACTTGGAATCAGAAGAGTCCTAAGCTGTTTCTCCAGGGGTTGGAATGAATGGGAATTGATCTACCTGTGGTCTTGGTGAATCAGCTTGTGACCAGTCAAAGTTATCTGCAGGACTAAAAGTGCACTCAATTTCATGCCCTTGAGGGACCCTGAAATGCTCCCACATTTTTCAAGCAAGCATCCAAGGAAACTCCAACATTATCTCACTGCGTACAGTTTTCCTATGACTTTGACTTAATCGTAATGTGGTGACTTAATCACCCTATCTTTAGCCAAAGGAGTTGGGCCACTTGGCTCAATCCTGATACAGCCGCCATCTTTGTGAGATAAACTGCCCTATCGCAGACCTTGAGGGTCCACCAACATAAGATCAACTATTCAATAGGATGCCCAGTATCCTCTACTAAGGAAAAAGTTATCTGTATTTTCGTTTATTTATTTAACAAACATTGATTGAATACCAACTGTGTCAGGAATTCTTCTAGGTGCTAGAAATTCAGCAGTACAAGGCAGGAGCTGGTGAGAAAAATATCCCTGCTCTAATGGAATCTCCTGCTACTGAGGCAAAACAGATGATAACATAAGCAGGTAAAACGTGTACATGTTAGTTGGTGATTACTCTAAAGAAAAATAGGGCCAGGCGCGGTGGCTCATGCCTGTAATCCCAGCACTTTGGGAGGCCGAGGTGGGCGGATCACGAGGTCAGCAGATAGAGACCATCCTGGCTAAAACAGTGAAACCCCATCTCTACTAAAAATACAAAAAAAAAAATTAACCGGGCGTGGTGGCGGGCACCTGTAGTCCCAGCTACTCGGAGGCTGAGGCAGGCGAATGGCGTGAACATGGGAGGCGGAGCTTGCCGTGAGCCGAGATGGCGCCACTGCACTCCAGCCTGGGCAACAGAACGAGACTCCATCTCAAAAAAAAAAAAAAAAAAAAAAAAAAAAGAAAGAAAAGAAAAAGAAAGCAGGGAGGCCAGGCATGATGGTTCATGCCTGTAATCCCAGAACTTTGGGAGGCCAAGGCGGGTGGATCACTTGAGGTCAAGGGTTCGAAACTAGCCTGGCCAACATGGCGAAACCCCATCTCTACTACAAATACAAAAATTAGCCAGGCATGGTGGTGCGCGCCTGTAATCCTAGCTACCTGAGAGGCTAAGACGGGAGAATTGCTTGAACCCGGGAGGCAGAAGTTGCAGTGAGCCAAGATCGTGCTGCTGCACTCCAGCCTGAGTGACAGAGTGAGATTCCACCTCAAAAAAATAAAATAATAAAGCAGCGTAGGGGCGTGGAGAGATTCATGTCTTGGAGAGGGACAGAGTGGCCAGGGAAAGCCACACTGAGAAGGTAACCACTGAGTACAGACCTGAAAAGGAGACGAAGGAAGCCATGTAGGTATCTTAACAGGGAGCACTCCACACAGCAAGAACAGAAGTACAAGAGCCCTAAGGCAGGAGACTCCTACTGTGTCTGAAGAACAACAAAGAGGCCTGAGTGGCTAGAACCCAGTGAGCAAGAAGAGAGAAGTCAAGGATGAGGTTAGAGAGGTCAAGGGGCAGGCATCACACTGACCATGTAGGGATTGAGGTTTTCCTCTGAGAGACATGAGAAGCCACTGAAAGAAAGCAGACTTATTTAACAGCCACACCCTGATTGTTGTGTTGACCAGACTGCAAGAAGGCAAGGGAAGAAGCAAGAGATCAGATAGAAGGTTTTATTTGTTTTGGTTTTTGTTGAGACAGGTCTCGTTCCGTTGCTCAGGCTGGAGTGCAGTGTCATGATCATGGCTCACTGCAGCCTCAGGTTCTCGGGCTCAGTTGATTCTCCCACTCAGCCTCCTGAGTAGCTGGGACTACAAGTAAACACCACTATGCCCAGCTAATTTTTTGTAATTTTAGTAGAGGTGGGGTTTCACCATGTTGCCCAGGCTGTTCTCAAACTCCTGGGCTCAAGTAATCCACCTGCCTCGGCCTCCCAGTGTGCTGGAATTACAGGCGTGAGTCACTGCACCTGGCCAAGATAGGTTTTTGCAAAAATTCATAGACCAAAGATGATAGTTGCTTGTACGAGGACAGTGGCAGTGAAAGTGGTAAGAAGTTTTAAAACTATTCGACTAAACCTATCATTTATCTTTATTTGTATCATAGCTATACAGAAAACAGGTGTTAGTTCCCCATCCCTACTCCTAACTCCAGGGGAGTCTAAATAGGCTTTTATACCGACTGAATTAATATATAAGGGTGCCTACCCATTGACCTCTCTAACCTCATCCTTGACTTCTCTCTTCTTGCTCACTGGGTTCTAGCTACTCTGGCCTCTTTGTTGATCAGTAAAACAATAGTCAAAGGGTTAACTACTAGAAGGTTGATGAGTAAATTTAAATAGAATTTTCCATAACAAACACACAAGAGTAACTGTAATTTCCCACATTCAGTAGGTAAACAAGTATCATAAAATCAAGGTTAAGGGCAATATGCAATAAACCATTGTAGGTAAAATAGAGTTTTTGGGAAATATCTTGCAAATCGACTATGCAGCACTCATTTTATGATGACAAGATACAGAAAAGATAGAAATCTGAAAAGAAAGCATCCTCATTTCAGCCTTATAATCTGAGTGTCTTTAAGGCAGCTGATTTATAAATGGACTTCAAACTTCTTTCCTGACTCAAAAGGAAATGCAAACGGTAGCTCTTGGAGAATACAGAACACCAGGGCCAAGAATCTCTTTGTTCCTTCAAGCCTCTTCATTCAACATTGATTGAGACTTGCCGCCTCTATCATCAACTCTACCTCCGTGCAAGACTGAATCAAAGAATCTGGGGCTTGTAATTTTGAGTTCTATGTCTATGCTATGCTGTGCTATGCTATGCCATAAGAAGCTCTCCTCAAACAGAGAAAGTGGTCACTAGACCAGTTGGGTTTTTTCTTTGGAAATTTGAAATGGGAAAGATTTAAACAACTGGCAATTGCGGTAGAGAGAAGGAAAGAGCAGCTGAGTCATGTTAGGGTAGAGAGGCAGGACTGTGTAGAGCTCTGTGAATCCTGACCAGGATTCCTCTCCCTCTTACTGCCTTAGGAATCCTAGCTTGAGGTAAGCTAAATGAGTTGGCTTCTTGCAACTAAAACTACCTCCACAGGCACTGAGAAAAAGAATACTATCTGAGACTTATTTCCAATTTATGATGGAAGATACTTAGAGGAAAAAAAGTGATTTATCTTCAAAACTTGAAATGATTATTCTGGGAAATGATTTTTCTAGAAAAGGTGTAGGAAATCATTTCCTAGAAAAATCATTTCTAATATATAGTTCATTGGCTGGTGAGATAAGTTTTCCTAGAAAGCATTTGTCTAGGAAAAATGATTTTTCTGGGCTTGGTCTCAGACATCACTTCTTGTTACTATTTATTATACTTTAAGTTCTAGGGTACCTATGCACAACGTGCAGGTTTGATACATGGGTATACATGTGCCATGTTAGTTTGCTGTACCCATCAACTCGTCATTTACGTTAGGTATTTCTCCTAATGCTATTCCTCCCCAAGCCCCCCACCCCCCGACAGGCTCCAGTGTGTGATGTTCCCGGCCCTTTGTCCAAGTGATCTCATTGTTCGATTCCCACCTATGAGTGAGAACATGTGGTGTTTGGTTTTCTGTCTTCATGATAGTTTGCTGAGAATGATGGTTTCCAGTTTCATCAATGTCCCTGCAAAGGACATGAACTTATCCTTTTTTATGGCTGCGTAGTATTACATGGTGTATATGTGCCACATTTTGTTAATGTAGTCTATCATTGATGGACATTTGGGTTGGTTCCAAGTCTTTGCTATTATGAATAGTGCTGCAATAAACATAAGTGTGCATGTGTCTTTATAGCAGCATGATTTATAATCTTTTGGGTATATACCCAGTAATGGGATTGCTGGGTCAAATGGTATTTCTAGTTCTAGATACTTGAGGAATCACCATGCTGTCTTCCACAATGGTTGAACTAGTTTACAGTCCCACCAACAGTGTAAAAGTGTTCCTATTTCTCCACATCCTCTCCAGCATCAGTTGTTTTCTGACTTTTTAATGATCGCCATTCTGACTGGCATGAGATGGTATCTCATTGTGGTTTTGATTTGCATTTCTGTGATGACTGGTGATGATGAGCATTTTTTAATGTGTCTGTTGGCTGCATAGATGTCTTCTTTTGAGAAGTGTCTGTTCATATTGTTTGCCCAGTTTTGGATGGGGTTGTTTGCTTTTTTCTTGTAAATTTGTTTGAGTTCTTTGTAGATTCTGGATATTAGCCCTTTGTCAGATGGGTAGATTGCAAACATTTTCTCCCATTCTGTAGGTTGCCTGTTCACTCTGATGGTAGTTTCTTTTGCTGTGCAGAAGCTCTTTAGTTTAATTAGATCACATTTGTCAACTTTGGCTTTTGTTGCCATTGCTTTTGGTGTTTTAGTCATGAAGTCCTTGCCCATGCCTGTATCCTGAATGGTATTGTCTAGGTTTTCTTCTAGGATTTCTATGGTTTAGGTCTAACATTTAAGTCTTTAATCCATCTTGAATTAAATTTTGTGTAAGGTGTAAGGAAGAGATCCAGTTTCAGCTTTCTACACATGGCTACCCAGTTTTCCCAGCACCATTTATTAAACAGGGAATCCTTTCCCCATTTCTTGTTTTTGTCAGGTTTGTCAAAGATCAGATGGTTGTAGTTGTGTGCTGTTACTTCTGAGGCCTCTGTTCTGTTCCATTGGTCTATATATCTGTTTTGGTACAAGTAGCATGCTGTTTTGGTTACCGTAACCTTGTAGTATAGTTTGAAGTCAGGTAGCATGATGCCTCCAGCTTTGTTCTTTTTCCTTAGGATTGTCTTGGCAATGTGGGCTCTTCTTTGGTTCCATATGAACTTTAAAGTACTTTTTTCCAATTCTGTGAAGAAAGTCATTGGTAGCTTGATGGGGATGGCATTGAATCTATAAATTACCTCAGGAAGTATGGCCATTTTCACGATATTGATTCTTCCTATCCATGAGCATGGAATGTTCTTCCATTTGTTTGTGTCCTCTTTTACTACGTTGAGCAGTGGTTTGTAGTTCTCTTTGAAGAGGTCCTTCACATCCCTTATAAGTCATATTCCTAGGTATTTTATTTTCTTTGTAGCAATTGTGAGTGGGAGTTCACTCATGATTTGGCTGTTTGTCTGTTATTGGTGTATAAGAATGCTTGTGAGTTTTGCACATTGATTTTGTATCCTGAGACTGTGCTCAAGTTGCTTATCACCTTGAGGAGATTTTGGGCTGAGATGATGGGGTTTTCTAAATATACAATCATGTCATCTGCAAACAGGGACAATTTGACTTCCTCTTTTCCTCATTGAATACCCTTTATTTCTTTCTCTTGCCTGATTGCCCTGGCCAGAACTTCCAACACTATGTTGAATAGGAGTGGTGAGAGAGGGCATCCCTGTCTTGTGCCAGTTTTCAAAGGGAATGCTTCCAGTTTTTGCCCATTCAGTATGATATTGGCTATGGGTTTCTCATAAATAGCTCTTATTATTTTGAGATATGTTCCATCAATACCTAATTTATTGAGAGTTTTTAGCATGAAGGGCTGTTGAATTTTGTCGAGGCCTTTTCTGCATCTATTGAGACAATCATGTGTTTTTTGTCATTAGTTCTGTTTATGTGATGGATTATATTTATTGATTTGTGTATGTTGAACCAGCCTTGCATCCCAGGGATGAAGCCAACTTGATTGTGGTGGATAAGCTTTTTGATGTGCTGATGGATTCAGGTTGCCAGTATTTTATTGAGGATTTTCGCATTGATGTTCATCAGGGATATTGGTCTAAAATTCTCTTTTTTTGTTGTGTCTCTGCCAGGCTTTGGTAGCATGATGATGCTGGCCTCATAAAATGAGGTAGGGAGGATTCCCTCTTTTTCTATTGATTGGAATAGTTTCAGAAGGAGTAGTACCAGCTCCTCTTTGTACCTCTGGTAGAATTTGGCTGTGAATCTGTCTGCTCCTGGATTTCTTTTTGGTTGTTAGGCTATTAATTATTGCCTCAATTTCAGAGCCTGTTATTGATCTATTCAGAGATTCAACTTCTTCCTGGTTTAGTCTTGGGAGGGTATATGTGTCCAGGAATTTATCCATTTCTTCTAGATTTTCTAGTTTATTTGCATAGAGGTGTTTATAGTATTCTCTGATGGTAGTTTGTATTTCTGTGGGATCGGTGGTGATATCCCCTTTATCATTTTTTATTGTATCAATTTGATTCTACTCTCTTTTCTTCTTTATTAGTCTTGCTAGTGGTCTATCAGTTTTGTGGATCTTTTCAAAAAACCAGCTCCTGGAATCATTGATTTTTGAAGGGTTTTTTTTTGTGTCTCTATCTCCTTCAGTTCTGCTCCGATCTTAGTTATTTCTTGCCTTTCTGCTAGCTTTTGAATTTGTTTGCTCTTGCTTCTCTAGTTCTTTTTTTTTTTTTTTTTTTTTTTTTTGAGACAGAGTCTCACTTTGTTGCCCAGGCTGGAGTGCAGTGGCTTGATCTCAGCTCACTGCAAGCTCTGCCTCCTGGGTTCACACCATTCTCCTGCCTCAGCCTCCCGAGTAGCTGGGACCACAGGTGCCCGCCACCACGCCCAGTTAATTTTTTGTATGTTTTAGTAGAGACGGGGTTTCACCATGTTAGCCAGGATGGTCTTGATATCCTGACCTGGTGATCGGCTCGCCTTGGCCTCCCGAAGTGCTGGGATTACAGGCATGAGCCACCGTGCCTGGCCACTTCTCTAGTTCTTTTAATTGTGATGTTCAGGTGTCGATTTTGGATCTTTCTTGCTTTCTCTTGTGGGCATTTAGTGCTATAAATTTCCCTCTACACACTGCTTTAAATGTGTCCCAGAGATTCTGGTACGTTGTGTCTTTGTTCTCACTGGTTTCAAAGAACATCTTTATTTCTGCCTTCATTTCATTATTTACCCAATAGTCATTCAGGAACAGGTTGTTCAGTTTCCATGTAGTTGTGAGGTTTTGAGTGAGTTTCTTAATCCTGAGTTCTAATTTGATTGCACTGTGTTCTGAGAGACAGTTTGTTGTGATTTCTGTTCTTTTACATTTGCTGAGGAGTGCTTTACTTCAAATTATGTAGTCAATTTTAGAATAAGTGCTATGTGTTGCTGAGAAGAATGTATATTCTGTTGATTTGGGGTGGAACATTCTGTAGATGTCTATTAGGTCTGCTTGGTGCAGAGCTGAGTTCAAGTCCTGGATATCCTTATTGATCTTCTGTCTCGTTGATCTGTCTAATATTGATAGTGGGGTGTTAAAGTCTCTCATTATTACTGTGTGGGAGTCTAAGTCTCTTTGTAGGTCTCTAAGGACTTGCTTTATGAATCTGGGTGCTCCTGTCTTGGGTGCATATATATTTAGGATAGTTAGCTCTTCTTGTTGAATTGATCCCTTTACCATTATGTAATGGCCTTCTTTGTTTCTTTTGATTTTGTTGGTTTAAAGTCTGTTTTATCAGAGACTAGGATTGCAACCCCTGCTTTTTTTTTGCTTTCCGTTTGCTTGTTAGATCTTCCTCCATCCCTTTATTTTGAGCCTATGTTCTGCACATGAGATGGGTCTCCTGAATACAGCACACTGATGGGTCTTGATTCCTTATCCAATTTGCCAATCTGTGTCTTTCAACTGGGGCAGTTAGCCCATTTACATTTAAGGTTAATATTGTTATGTGTGAATTTGATCCTGTCATTATGATGTTAGCTGGTTATTTTGCCTGTTAATTGATACAGTTTCTTCATAGCATCGATGGTCTTTACAATTTCGCATGTTCTTGTAGTGGCTGGTACCAGTTGTTTCTTTCCATGTTTAGTGCTTCCTTCAGGAGCTCTTGTAAGGCAGGCCTGGTGGTGACAAAATCTCTCAGCATTTGCTTGTCTATAAAGGATTTTGTTTCTCTTTCACTTATGAAGCTTAATTTGGCTGGATATGAAATTCTGGGTTGAAAATTCTTTTCTTTAAGAATGTTGAATATTGGCCCCCACTCTCTTCTGGCTTGTAGGGTTTTTGCCGAGAGAGCTGCTGTTAGTCTGATGGGCTTCCCTTTGTGGGTAACCAGATCTTTCTCTCTGGCTGCCCTTAACATTTTTTCCTTCATTTCGACCTTGGTGAATCTGACTACTATGTGTCTTGGGGTTGCTGTTCTCGAGGAGTATCTTTGTGGTGTTCTCTGTATTTCCTGAATTTAAATGTTGGCCTGCCTTGCTAGGTTGGGTAAGTTCTCCTGGATAATATTCTGAAGAGTGTTTTCCATCTTGGTTCCATTCTCCCTGTCACTTTCAGGTACACCTGTCAAACGTAGATTTGGTCTTTTCACATAGCCCCATATTTCTTAGAGGCTTTGTTTGTTTCTTTTTACTCTAACCCTGTCTTCTTACTTTATTTCATTAATTTGATCTTCAATCACTGATACCCTTTCTTCCACTTGATCGAATTGTCTGTTGAAGCTTGTGCATGCATCATGAAGTTCTTGTGCCATGGTTTTCAGCTCCATCAGGTCATTTAAGGTCTTCTCTACACTGTTTATTCTAGTTTGCCATTCGTCTAAGCTTTTTTCAAGGTTTTTAGCTTCCTTGCAATGGGTTTGAACATGCTCCTTTAGCTCAGAGAAGTTTGTTATTACTGACCTTCTGAAGCCTATTTCTGTCAACTCATCAAAGTCATTCTTTGTCCAGCTTTGTTCCATTGCTAGTGAGGAGCTGCAATCCTTTGGAGAAGAGGCACTCTGGGTTTTAGAATTTTCCACTTTTCTGTTCTGGTTTCTTCCCACCTTTGTGGTTTTATCTACCTTTTGTCTTTGATACTGGTGACCTACAGATGGGGCTTTGGTGTAGATGTCCATTTTGGTGATGTTGGTGCTATTCCTTTCCATTGGTTAGTTTTCCTTCTAACAGGTCCCTCAGCTGCAGGTCTGTTGGAGTTTGCTGGAGTTCCACTCCAGACCCTGTTTGCCTGGGTGTCATCAGTAGAGGCTGCAGAACAGCAAATATTGCAGAACAGCAAATATTGCTGCCTGGTCCTTCCTCTGGAAGCTTCGTCCCAGAGGGGCACCTGCCTATATGAGGTGTCTATCGGCCCCTACTGGGAGATGTCTCCCAGTTAGGCTACACGGGCATCAGGGACCCACTTGAGGAAGCAATCTGTCCATTCTCAGAGCTCAAATGCCATGCTGGGAGAACCACTGCTCTCTTCAGAGCTGTCAGACAGGGACATTTAAGTCTGCAGAAGCTATCTGCTGCCTTTTGTTCAGCTATGCCCTGCGCACAGAGGTGGAATCTATAGAAGCAGAGGCCTTGCTGAGCTGTGGTGGGCTCTGCCCAGTTTGAGCTTCCCTGACGCTTTGTTTACCTACTCAAGCCTCAGCAATGGCAGACACCCCTCCCCCAGCCAGGTTGCCACCTCGCAGTTCAATCTCAGACTGCTGCACTAGCAGTGAGCAAGGCTCCGTGGGCGTGGGACCTGCCGAGCCAGGCACAGGGGAGAATCTGTCTGCCAGTTGCTAAGAAAAACTGGGAAAAGCGCAATATATGGGCGGGAGTTTCCTGTTTTTCCAGGTACAGTTTGTCACGGCTTCCCTTGGCTAGGAAAGGGAAATCCCCTGACCCCTTGCGCTTCCTGGGTGAGGCAATGCCCTGCCCTGCTTTGGCTGGCCCTCTGTAGGCTGCACCCACTATCCAACCAGTCCCAATGAGATGAACCAGGTAGCTCAGCTGGAAATGCAGAAATCACCCATCTTCTGCGTCAGTCACACTGGGAGCTGCACACCAGAGCTGTTCCTATTCAGCCGTCTTAGAACGGATCTCTCCCATCACTTCTTATCTACGTGATGCTTGTCCTAATGCATGGCCAGAAAAAGAAGTCTATGGCCACCGTGGCACAGAAGAAAAAAAAAAAAAAACTCAATCTTTCATGTCCTCATAAGCCC
The DNA here is from genome assembly GCF_000001405.40 of Homo sapiens. Lineage (NCBI taxonomy): Eukaryota > Metazoa > Chordata > Mammalia > Primates > Hominidae > Homo > Homo sapiens. Next base: position 97,329,620 of record NC_000007.14, on the reverse strand, counting down.
TGTAAGCAATTGAATTGCACTCTATAAATAATCTTCTTTGTGAACCACGTGGCCTTTTGAATAAACTTGTTTACTAATAGCCCATTCATAAACACGATATAAATAATAAAGTTATTAGCTACTACTTACCAGCACCTAGCAAGTTTCAGGCCCTGTGCTAAGAGCTTTATGTACATTACTACAGTTAATCCTTAGACGCATGAGGCCACATTTTTATCCATTTTTACAGAAGAGAGATCATGACTTACAGAAGCTATGTGGCTGATAGAGTCACACAGCTAGTGAGGAACAGCCAGGATTTGAAAACAGGTATGTCTTTAGGCCACTTCCTTATTCCCCAACCACATCCAAAAGCTAGAGGAACAATGATGGTGGTTGTGTGGGAAGGCAGGGTTGAGGTTCAAGGCACATGAGTGAGAAATAGTCCAAACTGGTGACTTTCCTATAGTTACAGAGCTGGTGAGGTGCTGGGACACTACCTTTACTTGCTGCCGGTGAATATTTAGTCTCAAGATACTGCCTTATAATGACCAGACAGAGGAACAGGAAGATAGAGACAGGTGTTAAGAAAGTTTAGCCTAAGGCTGCCTCCTTACATATTTTAAGTTCAGTCTACAGGTTTCTCCACACATAGGGAACTATAACCTAACTGGATGTTTCAACAGACTGTAACCTATTTTCTTATATCAATCACCAAATTTCAGCCAATCAAAGGAAGCCAACTCTTCAAACCATATTCAAATAAGGCAAATGCCCAGCTGTAACCAATCTAGTTTCTCTACTTCACTTCTGTTTTCTGTATGTCATTTTCTTTTTTCTGTCCATAAATCCTCTCTGACCATGTGTCAGTGCTGGAGTAGCTCTGAATCTATTCTGGTTTGGGGGGCTACCCAATCTGAAATTATTCTTTGCTCAATTAAACTCTGTTAAATTTAACTTGTCTAAAGTTTTTTGTTTTGTTTTGTTTTAACAGATGGCATTAGAAGTGGAACCCAAAGTAGAGCCTCTTGCAACCCCCAGAAGCACCAAGAGACCAAGAAAAATACCTACCAGGCCCATTGTGTTCATTGCTCTCTTGCAGAAACTGGTGATTGTGGGTAAGTTCACTCTTGGATTCCAAAGCTCCGTGGACTTGTGTTTTGAGCTATCTAAATTAGTTTGAGCAAATTTTTTATCTGAACTGGATTAGGACCTTAGGACAGAAACTGGACAGAGTCTAGGATTAGACTAATTAGATGAACCAGGTAGCTCAGCTGGAAATGCAGAAATCACCCATCTTCTGTGTCAATCACGCTGGGATTCACACTAGACTAATTAGTCTAGTCTAATCCTAGACTCGAGCTGAAAAGTAACTGGCTTGGATCCAGTTAGAGGCCTTGGATATCTGACTGGATGAAACAGAAACTGGCAGTAAATGGCAATGCTACAGGGGGTGCAAACTTCAATTTTTGGAAATTTGCAGAGATTTTTGTGTTCTGTCTCTTTTGATTTTTTTCTCTGGCATGTTTAGGTAGGAAAAAATCATTGGATAAGTTGATCAGGGGGATTTAAGAGCCAAAACCAAGATTTGACATAAAAATGGGATTCTTAATTTCTAAAAAACTGATTACTCCACCTTCCAATTATACTTACAATTGCATGTGTAAGTATTAGACCCTGGAAGCAGCAAATGCTTACAAAAATGTTGAAATCTTACTAAAGATAATGTAATGGGAGAGTTCCCTGAGCCCTTCACGGGACTCGTGATGGGGGTGTGACTCGTTTGCTCAGCTGCTGCACACTCAAACCCCTTTCAGGAGGAGGAGTACACAGACAGGCAGGTGCAAGAGCCAGGGAAAGCACTTTTGGGCTCCAGCCCCACGGTAGCATCTAGGGGTGTGTTACAATTAATGCTCTCTTAGCAGTTGCCACCTGCAGATGGCTAAGTATTAAACCAGCTCAGTGGAGAGCCAGGGTGACAGCCTTTTACACCCTGCCCTCTTGGTACCTGGGTCTTTGTCCAGCGTCCAGGAAGAATCAGGTCACACAGACTTGAAGGATGGTGAATGCGGGGATTTTATTGAGTGGTGGAGGTGGCTTTCAGCAGGACAGATGGGGAGCTGGAAAGGGGATGGAGTAGAAAGATGATCTTCCCCTGGAGTTTGGCTGTCCCACAGCTGATCTCCTCTCCAAACATCCCCAGCCAGACTCCTCTCAATGTTCAGATGCTCCTTCTCTCCTTCTCTGCCATGCCACTCGGCCACTCATCTGTTTCTCTGCTTGTCAGCTTCTGGAGGCTGAGGTTTAGGGTTTTTATGAGTACAGGATAGGGGGATGTGGCAGGCCAAAAGGCAACATTTGGGCATGAAAACAGGAATGCCTGTTCCCATTTAGGGCTGCAGGTTTCCAGGCTTGAGAGTGGGACCTCTGCCAGACAACCACCCTCTTCTACCCAGTATTTCCCTGCCTCCTGTCCATATCAATACCAAATCACTATGAAACATTCCAAATGAACAACACTGCACTTTAAGAAATGCATTTAAAATGAAGGTTCCCAAATTTGTCTCATGCAGGGAGGCTTATTGATGTGCAGAAGCTTCTAAAAAGATTTCAGTATTTTATTGCCTCTTTAAAAAGACTATATGAGGCAAATAAAAGGCTTAAGCAACTGATTGGTAAGAAAAATTAAATCTACTAACCTTTTGCTTAGTTACTATTATACCCTAAAGGCTGAAAAAAAGCTATCTTGGATGAAGTATTTATAAAAGGTAGGCCCCTGGTAAAGTAAGTTTGCTTCTTTTTTTTTTTTTTTTTCCAAAGCTATCTATGCTGAGTGCTGAGTCCAGGCATAGAGAATTGGTTCTTTGTGCTTTTTCTTCTTAATGAGCTCCACTCTGAACTCAGTAATTTTAGCTAAGAAACAGTAGCTAAGTTAAAAAGATGTACTATTAAACTAAATCAGTCTCCAAAATATAACTTCCTGGCATTTAGCTAGCTATTTTGAAATCCTTTTGTAAAAAAAATTTACATCTATGAAAAATGTCTTCTTTTTTTTTTTTGAGATGGAGTCTCGCTCTGTCGCCCAGGCTGGAGTGCAGTGACGCGATCTCAGCTCACTGCAAGCTCTGCCTCCCGGGTTCACGCCATTCTCCTGCCTCAGCTTCCCGAGTAGCTGGGACTACAGGCGCCCACCACCACGCCCGGCTAATTTTTTGTATTTTTAGTAGAGACGGGGTTTCACCATGTTAGCCCGGATGGTCTCCATCTCCTGACCTCGTGATCCACCCACCTCGGCCTCCCAAAGTGCTGGGATTACAGGCATGAGCCACCACTCTTGGCCAAACGTCTTCATTTTTAAGGGTGTGTTCCTCTGTACACCAAGAAGAGACAGAGGCCTGAGTCACTAGAAACTCTTACCATTGTTTCAAATTTACATAACAAGTCTTTTGTTTAAGGTACCTTTGATATGGACAGGAGACAGGGAAATACTCGGTAGAAGAGGGCGGTTCCCCAGTCAAGGCCCCACCCTCAAGCCTGGAAACCCACAGCCCTAAATGGGAACAGGCATTTCCGTTTTCTTGCCCAAATATTGCCTTTTGTCCTACCACACCCCCCTATTCTGTACCCATATAAACCCCAAACCCAAAGCCCCATGAGCAGAAGAGCAAAGGAGCAGAAGAGTGGCACAACAGAGAAGGAGTGTCTGAAGGTCGAGAGGAGTTCAGCTGGGGACAGTCGGAGAGGAGATCAGCTGCAGGATGGCTGAACTCCAGGGGAAGTTCATCTTCCCACCCTACTCCATCCGCTCTCCAGCTCCCTGTCCATCCTGCTGAGAGCCACCTACACCTGGAAAAAAAGTCCCCCACATTTACCATCCTTCAATTTGTCCGTGTGACCGGATTCTTCCTGGATGCTGGACAAGGACCCAGGTACCAAGAGGGCATTGAGCTCGTTAACACTTAAGCAGTCTGAAGATGGCAGGGCTAAAAGAGCAGTGTAACATCCTCACTTGGGCTCTGGGAGTTGCAGGCACCCACCCCCAGATGCTACCGTGGGGCTGGAGCCCAAAAACACTCACCCTGGCTCCTGCACCTGCCCATCTGCTCCCCCTCCAATAAGGGGTTTGAGCATGGGTGGCCAAACAGATGAGCCACACCCCTGTCACACATCCTGCAAAGGGGGGTCAGGGAACTCTCCCATTTAACTTTTTCTTATAATTTTAACTGGGCCTTACCTCTACCCTTTTCCCTTGGTTTAGACAAATGATGGTACAATATTTAGGCCCGAGGCCTACCTCCGTGATTTTGAGATATAAACTTTCTCCCTTGTTTCACCTAAGAGTCATCTTGTTAGAAATGCAAATTTAGAGTTGCTTAGCTGACAGTTACTGAGGGCAATAAAACAAGTCACTGGAAGATTGATAGTCTGAATGGAAAAAAAAACTGTTTGAAAGCCAGCAAATGAGAATTCTTTATGAAAGTTATAAGACCTGCTTCTGTTGGGCACAGTGGCTCACGCCTGTAATCCCACCACTTTGGGAGGCTGAGGCTGGTGGATCACCTGAGGTCAGGAGTTCAAGACCAGCCTGACCAACATGGTGAAACCCCATCTCTACTAAATACAAAAAATTAGCCGGGCGTGGTGGTACATGCCTGTAGTCCCAGCTACTTGGGAGGCTGAGGCAGGAGAATCACTTGAACCTGGGAGGCAGAGGTTACAGTGAGCTGAGATTGCACCACTGCACTCCAGCCTGGGCGACAGAGTGAGACTCTGTCTCAAAGAAAAAAAAAAAAAAAAAAAAAAAAGACCTGCTTCTGTCTGTCTGTATTTCTATATGTCTATATGTGTTATGCTATGTGATAGTATTTTGTAAATAAAGCTGGTTTTTAAATTGTTAGTAAAATAAAATAAGAATGAATTCAGAATTGTCAGTTTAGTATAATTCAGGCTTCTTTATCTTCAAATACTGGTCAGAGAGGTTTATGCTGTCTCTGATACCTGTTTTAATGTTATGAAATTGCTGCTTCTGTAATATTTTTGATACTTACTTGATTTGTTTGTAAGCTAAAGTTGTAAGAGCTGGTTGCTGGGCTTCCTTGAAACACGCATCTTACTGTGTGTTTGGTTTTGAGCCTTTGGATTCCGGGGCTTGACAAGTGGCCATGCTGAGCCCTGGGGATATGTTCTCAGTGCCTAGATGGCAGAGTAAAGCCCAAAATGGCCCCTTCCTCCCTGGTGCAGCTTTGCCTTCTGGCCGTTCAGGGAGGCGTTGAATCCTCCAGGGATCCTCTTCCCAGCTGTGTCCTCTATCCTGAGCTCTATAGACAGTGTGTAAATTCAGGACCTAGGTGATTCCCACCCTTCCTAGTCATCCTAGTCAACCACATGAGTACTTGGGACCCAGTATAACCAGAGAAGATGTCAGGGAGGGTACCAGTGTCATAGTTTCACAATTCTTTTTTGTGTGTGTGTGATGGAGTTTTGCTCTTGTTGCCCAGGCTGGAGTGCAATGGCATGATCTCAGCTCACTGCAACCTCTGCCTCCAAGGTTCAAGCGATTCTCCTGCCCCAGCCTCCCAAGTAGCTGGGATTACAGGCTTGAGCCACCACACCTGGCTAATTTTGTATTTTTAGTAGAGACAGGGTTTCTCCATGTTGGTCAGGCTAGTCTCAAACTACCGACCTCAGGTGATCCACCCCCCTCGACCTCCCAAAGTGCTCGGATTACAGGCGTGAGCCACTGTGCCTGGCCATAGTTTCACAGTTCTTTTCAGTTTTCATGTTATGTTAAATCAAGTAATAGGTGGTCATAAAATGTCAAGTCATTTCTAAGTTAAAATACTGAAACATTAATTATTAAACATATGTTTGTTTATATACTTTGCATCTTATATTTATATGGTATAGAAAAGCTAAATATATCTAGATTAGCTAATTAAAAAATTGCCAGGAAACTTCTTTCTTAACAATTATGAAATGGTTTTCATCTACAAATACTGATATAAAACAGTTCAAAATTACTTACTTCCTAGAATTTCACTAGAAATTAGGGTTACTAAGTTGAATTTGTAGCTAATATATGTAATTAAAACTACTAGATTTACAATTGTTTACTAGAGAAATAATTCTGTATACAGAGTGTATAAAGAAAAGCAATATATGTTTTTGGTGAGGAACATTGTAAAGGCATGAAAATATGTGCTTGTTGAGAAACAAATAATTTTGTCTAGAAGAGAAGTTATTTAAAGTTTGTTTCAAAATAAAGGAATAAAAATGACAGATAAAATTAAGTGAATATAGAAAGTTGAAAAGAGAAAGAGAATAGAAAGAAGTTCTGTAGAAAATTATAAAAGGTTTACTGAAATCTTGTGTGGTCAAAAGCTGATTGAGATTGAATGGATTTGCTAAGATTGCTAAAGTTAGCTTCAGTATTGATAACACACTAATACAAAAGTAAGTTTTGGTTTTATATTTTGAACAAGGATTTCATGTAGTATTAATAAGAGACAGTAAAATATCTTTGTTCACCTTTTGAGTAAAATGCAAAAAAAAAAAAAAAAGAAGAAAGGAAGAAGAGAGATTCTGTTTCATGCTGTCTTTTTTAGGTCTCTTGATTGGAAAACTGAGTTTCCTCTCTATGAAAGAATGAAGATTTTCACTTTTTAAAAACTTTAAAAGGCGAAACATTTATATGATCTGAAGAGAAACCAGAGTATTGCTTTTTAAAAACTTTAAATTGTCACTTAGGCTAAATTAATCACTATTATTTTACAGTGATCTTTGATCCTGTTTTGTTTTAAACCTTTGACGTATTTGACAAGCTTTCTAAAATCAAATTTAAAATTAAATCTTTTTGACTGAAAACTAACTTTGGGATGTTACAGAAGACCCTTGAAGCCTCCTAAAGAGAGAATAAACAGATTTATTTGATATGTTAAATTACATGGAAAGGATTGTCAAATAAGAAAGGTTTAACCTTCTTTGAGTTATATTTTGTGAAAATGTTATCAATATATGTTCCAAAATTGTATGAGGTTCCTAAAATTCTGATATGTCTTGGTATGTTTTCAGTCATAATTATGGTTATTATGTTAAATTATTATAGGCCATAGAAATAAAATTTTCTTGTGAATTTCATCTTTTAAGTTATTTTTAAGACCATTTAAGTTATCTTTTAAGACCATTTTATTTCCACAGTTAATTACTTAATTCTTTTGTTTGTTTGTTTGTTTGAGACAGAGTCTTGCTCTGTCACCTAGGCTGGAGGGCCCTGGATGATCTCAGCTCACTGCAACCTCGGTCTCCTGGGTTCAAGCAATTCTCCTGCCTCAGCCTCCTGAGTAGCTATGATTACAGGCACCTGGCACCATGCCCGGCTAATTTTTGTATTTTTAGTAGAGATGGGGTTTCACCATGTTGGCCAGGCTGGTCTCGAACTCCTGATCTTAGGTCATGCGCCCACCTCAGCCTTGCAAAGTGCCAGGATTACAGGCGTGAGCCACCACGCCTGGCCAGTTGCTTAATTCTAATGCATTTTCTGAAAGCTTACAAGCAAGTAAAATCCTAGAATATTGTATCTTTAAGGAGGTTCCTGGAAAGACCCCTGACGACCATTCTGGAATACAGGTTTTGGATAACTTTAGGATCATATCATTTGGATTGGGTAAAAATTCCCAGAACTCTAATGAAGAAATTGACTGGATTATAAAACTGCAAACCCAGCAGGAAAAGAATTAATACCAAAGGAATACTCTGCCAGATTTTCATGCTAAATCAGCCAATACTGAAATGTGATTTGCAGTTCAAATGAACTCCATGGTCCAAGTCAAATTACCTATGATATCCCAATTATTAGATTGGGTTATTAAATTTATATCCTCTTAAATACCAGTCTGTTTCTCCAATTCAGGTACAATTACCTAGGCACCTGAATTGGAGAAATAAAACTAGTATTTAAAAGGATATAAATTCAGTGTTAAGCATGGGTTAATGGAGAGCTTAGATCACCATCTGGTCCTTTCTGGTTAAAGCTTCCATTACTAAAAGCTATGCCTTTCCTGACTCATCATGGAAGCAATACAATGATCCAAATAGAAAATGTGTATATTGGTGTGATGACTGTTCTAAATTGCTGAAATGTTTTATGACCAATGTTTGGTTTGTCAAACTCATAATCCTGGGAATACAATCAAAATGTCGGGTACATTTCTGCTACCTCATGGTAGCATTTTAACATTTAATGGTGGGTTTTCATTCACCTATCATTTTCTTTTTATTTTTTCTTTTATTTATTTTTTTTTTTGAGATGAAGTCTCGCTCTGTCGTCCAGGCTGGAGTGCAGTGGCACGATCTCGGCTCACTACAAGCTCCACCTCCTGGGTTCATGCCATTCTCCTGCCTCAGACTCCCGAGTAGTTGAGACTACAGGTGCCCACCACAGCACCCAGCTAATTTTTTGTATTTTTGGTAGAGACGGGATTTCACTGTGTTAGCCAGGATGGTCTCAATCTCCTGACCTCGTGATCCGCCCGCCTCGGCCTCCCAAAGTGCTGGGATTACAGGTGTGAGCCACCGCACCTGGCCCACTTGTCATTTTCAATGCATGTTTTCTGGTTGTATAAAAGCTTTCCCATGCAAGAAGGGTGATGCTATAACAGTTGCTAAAAAGTTATTAGGAAATATACTTCTTTCATGGTGCATTACTGGAGAAATCTCCAGCAATAAATGTACTTGTTTCACTGGCAAGTTGTAAAATAGTTAAATAAGGTATTGCAGATACAATAATATTAGGCAAAGCTAACTGAATGGACTAGATAGCCTGGTCAAAGGTAACGCAGACTGATGACAATGAGATCCACTTCCAGTGGAAAACATAAGTTGAACCCTTATGAAATAGTCACTGGAAGGCCTATGCTTCTAATAATAGAACCTCATGTATCTTCTACTTCTAAATTCTGATATGAATAAATGATGCAAGGCTTTAATGCATTATGCCTAAGTGTATTTTCACCAGGTAAAGAAAGCTTTTCATGATCTACCAAATGAGGACAATTAAACCCCTAACAATCTAGAACCCAAAGATTGAGTCTTCTGGAAACAACATCAGAGAAAGGCTGCCCTTTCCACTTAAACTAGAGCAAAACTTCAGGACCTTGAAACTGGGGTCTATAATATCACAACTCAGAAGGGCCCTTCCAGACTCTCAGAACTGGGCACCCAATGGAGGCTTTGAGGTAAAGGTTACAGGGGGAGTTTGTCCCTGGAAGCACATAGCATTCTAGACATGGACAGCTTTCCTAAGATAACAAGTCAAGACTTCTCTGCTATCATGAGCCTCTTACCTCTCTTAAGTTTTTCCTTGTTCATGCCCCTATGAACAGTAGAATTGGAAAAGAGATCTTGTGTGCACCCAGGGGGCGTACTTTTATTTGTGGAAGATTTCACAGCCAACCTTACACATGAGCAAACTTATACCTTGATGTATAGAAAATGAAAAGCCAGGCGGGGCACGGTGGCTCACGCCTGTAATCCCAGCACTTTGGGAGGCCGAGGGAGGCAGATCACGAGGTCAGGGCATCGAGACCATCCTGGCTAACATGGTGAAACCCCGTCTCTACTAAAAATACAAAAAAATTAACCAGGTGTGATGGCGGGCACCTCTAGTCCCAGCTACTCAGGAGGCTGAGGCAGGAGAATGGCGTGAACCCGGGAGATGGAGCTTTCAGTGAGCTGAGATCATGCCACTGCACTGCAGCCTTGGCGACAGTGCGAGACTCCATCAAAAAAAAAAAAAAAAAGAAAGAAAATGAAAAGTCAGTGTGGGTGAGGAATTTAATGGTGCATTTGTTGATTCATCATCAGTCAGAAACAGAACATTGGTCCATTCCTGTTAACCTACATTCTAGGTTAAATAGAACATTGCCAGGAGGCCTTCACCCTTCAAGGTGGGAATCATTTGTTAGCTTCCTTTATCTGTGATTTGGAATAAATGACGCAATGAATAGAAATTTGTCCCTCCTAATAGGCTTTATATCAGATTCTACTGCAAATGCTGTGGATTTACAACAGACTTTTAAAAAGTATCTTGCTAAAGTTATGCTAAATAATACAATCGCTCTGGAATACTTACTGGTATAACACAAAATAATCTGTAGAGTTCCTGACACTTCCTGTTGTACATGTATAAATATATGGGGTATTATAGAGATTTAGCTGTAGGGAATTAACAAGCTCCTTGGTTGAAACTAGTAGATTCTTTTTCTAGCTCATTCTTTGCTCTATTTGCTTTTAGATGGTTTAGTTTATGAAGGCCCTGACTAAAAAGCATACTTCAAACTCTTGGTATTATTTTCCTCATAGTAATAACAGTAGTCTCCCTGGTGCACTGTATTCTCTCAAAAGTTTTAAATGTTTTCATGCAGCTTTCTGTAGAATATCAAATGGTCTCACTTCAGCTGGAATGACAAAATCTCAAAGAAATGCATGACTATGAGGACATCGTCACCTATGAATGACATACTGAGACCAGAAACTCAAAATGATGGTAACTGAAAGTAGTGCCAAAACCTAGTTTTGGTCACACTCTCACCTAAGTGAGATTCAGACCAAAAAGGTGGAGAACTGGCCAGATGCGGTGGCTCATACCTGTAATCCTAGCACTTTGGGAGGCCGAGGTGGGCGGATCACAAGGTCAGGAGATCGAGACCATCCTGGCTAACACAGTGAAACCCCATCTCTACTAAAAATACAAAAAATTAGCCAGGAGTGGTGGCGGGTGGCTGTAGTCCCAGCTACTCATGAGGCTGAGGCAGGATAATGGCGTGAACTCGGGAGGTGGAGCTTGCAGTGAGCCGAGATCGCACCACTGCACTCCAGCCTGGGCAACAGAGCGAGACTCCATCTCGAAAAAAAAAAAAAAAAAAAGGTGGAGAACTTTTAAACAAAATTATCGGATGCCATTGTATTGGACTGAGCTTGTGCACTAGACCAGACAAAACAAAAATGTCATCACTCATGCCAAATGCAACATAATCAAGTTGAAACTACGAGGCAGCATACAGATCCCAAAGCAAACCATTTTTTTTCTTCCTGAGAACAGGGGATTCCAGCATAATAAAGAAGTACCTTTTGCTCTAATTCTTACCAAAAAAACTAACCTAAAGTCCTTGTAGCCCTTACAAATCCCACTGTTCTGTTATGTTTCAGTGGGATTTGAGACCAAATAAGTACATTTACAATGGTGGCAGAGTGACATGAATGCCTAAAGTTTTGGTCAGCCTCTAAAAGAGGGGAATTGTTCAATTAAGTTTGGCCTAAAGCTGCCTCCTTACATATTTTAAGTTCAGCCTAAAGGTTTCTCCATACATAGTAAATGTAACCTAACTAGATATGTAAAAAGAATATAACCTACTCTTGTACCGTTTACCACATTTGGGCAAATCAAAGGCAGCCAACTGTTCAAATCATGTTTAGATAGGCAAATGCCCAGCCGTAAGCAATCCAGCTGTTTCTGTACCTCACTTCCATTTTCTGTATGTCACTTTCCTCTTTCTGTCCATACATCTCTGACCATAAGGCAGCCCTGGAGTCTCTCTGAACCTATTTTGTTTCAGGGGCCTAATTTGAAAATTGCTCTTTGCTCAATTAAAGTCTGTTAAATTTAATTTGTCTAAAGTTCTGTTTGTTTTGTTTTCTTTTCTTTTATTTTAACAGAGGGTACCATCCTGGTTAGGGTTGGGAGGACTCAGTCATGCTCTTCAGACCTCCCAGTGGTTTGTGTGGACTAGTAAGCAGTTAAGATTCATCCATCTGACTGTCCTTTAACCTAAGGAATTTGTGTCTCTTGTAACTGCAAAGTCTTTCAGAAAGAGCAATAGCGCCCCACCACCACAGACACACACACATTCCTTCTCTAAACTTCACTTTTTAGTCAATTCCACATCCAAATACATCTTGCCTCTCAGCCACCTACATGCAAAAGCCCACACAGAATATCATGAAATATTGCTAAATGTGTTTGTTCCTTGAAAAATCAGCTCACATGATTATGCTTTTATGAATATAGTAAGAACAACACAGAAAGCTTCTTGGTTCTGGGTGGCTAATTAGTAGCTCAGAGTCTTAGTTCTCAGGTAACATTCCCAGATACTAAATTATTAAGGGATAGCCTCCCCAGATTCAAAGGCTGAATGCAAACCCCAAATGACTCTAGGAAAGCCCACGAGTTGTTCACTGTGCATTTGGCTTAATTAACTATCTGAGAAAACACATTTTACATTTGCTCAGACAAACTACTTTGTGAGGAAAAAGTTTGGCAAGTAATATAACTTACGGCCCATACTAACTGTCCTGTCATCCACCACCTTCCCACAACCTCCCTGCTCTCTCAACCCAGCCATACAGGACAGGCTATTCATGCCCAGAGCAAACTGGATGCTGGAAGAACAAAACTAAAAGTGAATAACCTGCAGTTAATGCAGATTCACGGCATAGAAATGAAGCACTTGAGATGCTAGTGAAACAGGAGTTCCCTGATCCTGCCTCCCTTATGGGAGGGGGAGCACACAGATGAGCAGGTGCAGGTCCTGGAGTGAGCACTTTTGGGCTCCAGCCCCATGATAGTGTCTAGGGGTGGGTACTGGTGACTCCCGAAGCCCCAGTGGGCATGTTACGGTCCTCTTTTAGCTCTGCCATCTGCAGACAGCTTAAGAGTTAACCAGCTCAGTGCCCTCTTGGTATCCGGGTCCTTGTCTGGCATCCAGGAAGAATCAGGTCACATGGACAAATTGAATTATGGTAAATGTGGGGGAATTTTATTGCCAGATGGAGGTGGCTCTCAGCAGGATGGACGGGGAGCTGGAAAGGGGATGGAGTGGGAAGATGATCTTCCCCTAGAGTTCGGCCATTCCACGGCCGATCTCTCCAACCGTCCCCAGCCAAACTCCTCTCCATGTTCAGATGCTCCTTCTCTTCTCTCCTCTGCTGTGCCGCTCTTCTGCTCCTCTGCTGTTGGGCTCATGGAACTTGGGGTTTGTAGTTTTTATGGGTATAGGATGGGGGCATGGTGGGCTAGAGTGGTCTTGGAAAAGGCAACATTTGGGCACAAAAACAAGAATGCCTCTTCTCATTTAGGGCTGTGGTTTTCCAGGCTTGAGGGTGGGGGCGTTTGCTAGGGAACTACCCTCTTCTAGCCAGTATTTCCTTGCCTCCTGTCCATATCACTGAGACTGAATGAAGTCCAGAGTTTGTGTTATAACACAGGAGGCCCATAGCCTGGGGGTGGGAGGACCATCAAAACAGCAGGACCACCCTACTTGCTGTGGTACTGTTACCGGGGGGTCCTTGCTCCCAGAGCTCCCAGGATGGCCACCAGCCACTTCCAAGATGGTGGCAAGCCTCGTGTTCTCTGACCTGGGGTTCTTGTCCTCATGGATTCCAAGGAATGGAATCTTGGGCCATGCGTTGAATGTTATAGCTCTATTAGAAGCCGTGTGTCACAGAAGAGAACCGTGGAACCCAGTGACTAGTGTTCAGCTCGATTAGGATGAACCTGGGCACTTAGCTGTGTGGGAACAATGGCAAGCCTTTAGCCTGATCAGGAGCGGCAATGGGCACCTCACTGGATCAGGAGCACAGCGGACACCCTGCCAGATCCAGAGGGATGGAAGTCAGTGGCGGGTCTGCAATAGAGGCAAACAACAGTTTGCTCCACGGAGGCTCGAGCAAACAGCTCGAGCAAAAGCTCAGCTCGAGCCGTAACAAACACAGACCAAAAGAGAATGCAGTTGCAAGATTTAATAGAGTGAAGACAGAACTCCCATACAAAGGGAGGGGACCTAAAGAGGATAGCCATTGCTGGCTGGAATGCCTGAGTTTATATCCCGATCATTGTCCCTCCCGCTGTGCTCTCAGGCAATAGATTATTGGCTATTTCTTTACCTCTTGTTTTTGCCTAATTAGCATTTTAGTGAGCTCTCTTTACTATCTGATTGGTCGAGTATGAGCTAAGTTGCAAGCCCCGTTTTTAAAGGTGGAAGCGGTCACCTTCCCAGCTAGGCTTAGGGATTCTTAGTTGGCCTAGGAAATCCAGCTAGTCCTGTCTCTCAGTACCTTCTCTGCCTTTCACCATAGCCCCTTCCTGGTGAACATCAGAGTTATCAAAAGAGGACCATGACTTTTCATACAGAAGGTTGCTGATTCATGTGGATTTAGACAGTCTCCCTGAATGTTTGTTTTCTTATTACAATAGCCATTTCCATGGCCTCTGCTCCATTTCCACTCCAACGAGGTTTACTATAACTTAATAATGATACTAACTACTGAGAGTTACATCAGACTCCATAGGTTTAAGAGTAAAGTCCTCTACAAGACTGCCCTGATTTCAGATACCAGCCACAAGTTCTGGGGTTCCCTAGGCCATCCACATTTCTGACTGACTTGGGTACAAATTCAGGAGTTCCAATAACCAACCTGCCTTGGGTTTGATAATTCACTAGAACAACTCTCAGAACTCAGAAAAGCACTGGACTTACAATTACAGCTTTGTCAGAAGAAATACACATAGGGCAAGTTCTAGAAGAGTCCCGGTATAGAGCTTTCATGTCCTCTCCCATGCATTCAGAGCATCACCTTCCACGTCAGTGTATTCATCAACCAGGAAGCTCCTCCAAACCTCCAATGTCCAGAATTTTTATTGGTGTTTTATTACATAGGCACAATGAGATGGAGCAGGGACCCTTTCTAGGGCCTTGCCAGCTCCTTCCCCCATCCCAAACATGAAAATTAAGGAAAATCTTGAGTTCCTTCAAGGGAAATTCCAGGCACCTAGATAGCCTTGAGAAGTAAATGAGCAACCAGATAATAATAGCTTAAGACAATAGCCAAGAAGTTAGAGCCACAAGATGCTTGGCTCTCTATAGAAACTAAAGATAACACTTACACATGTCCCTGGATTGTTTTTCAGAAACCCAGATCCCTACCAAATGGAAAATGCCATCTGCTGGCACACAGACCTCAGATAAGGAGGAACTGAGGACTGAAATTCCAAGTTTTTGCACAGAGTTTTGCTTCTTTAACCAATAATAAATCAGAGAATCTTTGAATCCGCCTATGACCTTTGAAAGCCCCCATTTCAAGATATTCCACCTTTTCAGGCCAAATCAATGTATAACCTGTATGCATTGATTTACAATTTTGCCTGTAACTTCTGTTTTCCTAAAATCTACCCCTCTCTTTAAAAACCTTTGCTTGCATACCATTAGAGAGGTCGGGTCTTAAGCATGAGTTGCTTAATTCTCCTTGCTTGGTGCCTTGAAAATAGACTCCTTCCTTTCTCTCACTGCAACGCCTTGGTTTGAATGTTTGGACTTACTACACCAGGGTGAGTGGACTCAGGTTTGGTTCAGTAACAACCATTGACTAAATCATTAGCCGCATTGTTGAGCTTAATCTCCAGCCCTCTTCCCCTCCTTGCAGGTCTGGCTGGCCCAAAGTTCCCACTCTGGGGGTTTGTGGTTGGTCTTTCTTGTGACCAGCCCCCATCTGGAAGCTAAAAACCCACCTTGAGCTATTTCAGTTAGCATAACAAAGACATTCTCTCCTTAGGGAAATTCCAAGGGTTTTTGAAGCTCTGAGCCAGGAAGGAGGACAAAGAACGGATATATTTTTTATTATACGAAGACTGTATTTTTATCTACATTATAATAAGTCTTGAATATATCATCTTTGATACCCAGATCTGAATATTAATCTCCCTATTTGATCTCTATTTCATGGTCTCATAAGTTCTTCATATTCAGTATGAATAAAACTAAACTGATCTTCCTCTAACACAATTTATCAGTAGTTTAATCAGAGAAACAGAATCACTAGATGTAATAGGTAATGAGAGATTTATGATAGGTACTACACTTCATGCAATTGTGGGAACTGGTTAAACCAGGCGTTCGCAAACCCCAGCCCATGGACCAGTTGCACTCTGTGGCCTGTTAGGAACTGTGCCACACAGCAAGAGGTGAGTGATGGGCAAGCCAGCAAAGCTTTATCTGTATTTACAGCTACTCCCCATCGCTCACATTACTGCCTGAGCTCTGCCTCCTGTCAAATCAGAAGTGGCATTAGATTCTCATAGGAACACAAACCCTATTGTGAACTGCACATGACCTAGGTTGTGTGCTCCTTATGAGAATCTAATGCCTGATGATCTGGCATTGTCTTTCATCACCCCCAGATGGGACCATCTAGTTTCAGGTAGACAAGCTCAGGATTCCCACTGATTCTACATTATGGTGAGTTGTAGAATTATTTCATCATGCATTACAGTGTAATAATAATAGAAATAAAGTGCACAATAAATACAGAGAGCTTGAATCATCCCAAAACCAACCCCACCCCTGGTGTGTGGAAAAATTATCTTCCATGAAACAAGTCCCTGGTTCCAAAAAGGTTGGGGACCGCTGAGTTAAGCCATCTCTTTGAGGCTGTTGTCTTTGTACCTGGTGCTTGAGCCTGCAGTCAGCAAGGGAAAAATAGGTAGATGAGAAGCAGGGGAGAGCCAAGAAACTGAAACACATGATGATTAGCTGGGACCCATGAGGACTACATGGAACCCACATTGCTCTCTCACTGCCTTCCAGCCTCTAATCTGCCTGATGCAAGTCACCTGCAAGAGAAGCTACATCTCTGTTGAAGCAAATATTAGCTGGTTGTGGTGGTGGGTGCCTGTAGTCCCAGCTACTCAGTCAGCTGAGGCAGGAGAATGGCGGGAACCTGGGAGGCAGAGGTTGCAGTGAGCTGAGATCATGCCACTGTACTCCATCCTGGGTGACAGAGTGAGACCCTGCTGAAAGAAAGAAAGAAAGAAAGAAAGAAAGAAAGAGAGAGAGAGAGAGAGAGAGAAAGAAAGAAAGAAAGAAAGAAAGAAAGAAAGAAAGAAAGAAAGAAAGAAAGAAAGAAAGACTGAGAGAGAGAGAGAGGGAGGGAGGGAGGGAGAGAGAGAGAGAAAGAAAGAAAGAAAAGAAAGAAAGAGGGAAGGAAGGAAAGAAGGAAGGAAGGAAAAGAAAAGGAAGGAAGGAAAGAAAGAAAAAGAGAGAAAGAGAAAGAAAGATCAACTGGGTGTGGTGGCTCATGTGGAGGCTAAGGCAGGCGGATCACTTGCAGTCAGGAGTTCAAGACCAGTGTGGCCAACATGGCAAAACCCCATCTCTACTAAAAATACAAAAATCAACCGGGCATGGTGGTACATGCCTGTAGTCCCAGCTACTTGGGAGGCTGAGGCAGGAGAATCACTTGAACCTGGGATGCAGAGGTTACAGTGAGCCGAGATTATGCCACTGCACTCCAGCATTGGTGACAGAGCCAGATTCTGTCAAAAAAAGAAAACTCTGGCAGGAGGTGAAGAAGTTGCAAGCCTTGCCAACAAGGAAACCTCTAGGTAAATGACAACATGCAAGAGCTAAAGTAGCCACTGGTGCCCCTGCACCAATCTTCCAGCATAAAAAGAATATGGCTGCTGTTTCACTTCTGCCTTCAAAATCTCAAGCAAAATGGCTCTTGTGGCCTCTACTAATTTAGAACTATTCAGGAAAGGGGATATTGAGAACTGTCATTCCAGCTTAGCTAAATTGATAGAGTACAAATTGTTAGCACTCAACCCAAAAAGACTAATTCCCCCTGTCATTCTTCCATATTTCATTGAATGGTCCCATCTTCTACCTAGATTTTTAAGTCATAAATATTGGGGAGTTATTCTCAGCTTCTGTCTCTCCCACATAATCTACATTGGATCAATCACAAATCTTTCTTATTATACCTTCTATAGTTGAGTCCCTTGATACCCCCTACCACTATCTAGGTCCACATCACTCTCACTGAGAGTTTAATTTCTGCAGTAGCCTTTTAGATGAATCCCCTTTACCAAATGCAAAAAAGATGAAGTCTAAAATCATTTCCAAAGCTTATAATGCTCTTTACCATCTGGCTGTTTTTACCTTGCTGCCTACCCTTCTCTAGCCACTCTGGATAGCTTTTAATACCTCATAAACCCCATGCTCCCTCTGCCCAGGACCTTGGTACATGCTTTCCTTCTTGGGCCATTCTTCTTACTCCTAGCATAGCTAATATCTCCGACTCCTCTCTGACACACAAAAGAGACAAAATTATAGAGCATTTGCAAGTGAAAACATCAAAACATCTTCTCTTTGTTCAAGCAAGAATGTCCACCTTCAGGCCGGGCATGGTGGCTCACACCTGTAATCCCAGCATTTTGGGAGGCCGAGGTGGGCAGATCACCAGGTCAGGAGATCAAGACCATCCTGGCTAACACGGTGAAAGCCCGTCTCTACTAAAAACACAAAAAATTAGCTGGGTGTGGTGGCGGGTGCCTGTAGTCCCAATTACTTGGGAGGCTGAAGCAGGACAATGGTGTGAACCCAGGAGGCGGAGATTGCAGTGAGCCGAGATCGTCCCACTGCACTCCAGCCTGGGTGACAGAGCAAGAGTCCATCTCAAAAAAAAAAAAAGAAAAATTCCACCTCCACACCTGATTCACCACATACCCTCTAAAGGGGCAGGCTCTCTCTCACTTGGTCAGATCCTGGGCTCACCCTTAATTGTGGTAACCAGACTAACGCCTCAATTGACAATGGGAAAAAAGCCCCAGACACTAAGTGGCCCTATTTATTTATTTATTTATTTTTTATATATATAGATTTTATTACACTTTAAGTTCTAGGTTACATGTGCACAACGTGCAGGTTTGTTACATATGTACACATGTGCCATGTTGGTGTGCTGCACCCATTAACTCATCATTTACATTAGGTATATCTCCTAATGCTATCCCTCCCCACTCCCCCCACCCCACAACAGGCCCCGGTGTGTGATGTTCCCCTTCCTGTGTCCAAGTGTTCTCATTGGTCAATTCCCACCTATGAGTGAGAACATGCGGTGTTTGGTTTTTTTGTCCTTGTGATAGTTTGCTGAGAATGATGGTTTCCAGCTTCATCCATGTCCCTACAAAGGACATGAACTCATCATTTTTTATGGCTGCATAGTGTTCCATGGTGTATATGTGCCACATTTTCTTAATCCAGTCTACCATTGTTGGACATTTGGCTTGGTTCCAAGTCTTTGCTAATGTGAGTAGTGCCGCAATAAACATACGTGTGCATGTGTCTTTATAGCAGCATTATTTATATTCCTTTGGGTATATACCCAGTAATTGGATGGCTGGGTCAAATGGTATTTCTAGTTCTAGATCCCTGAGGAATCGCCACACTGTCTTCCACAATGGTTGAACTAGCTTACAGTCCCACCAACAGTGTAAAAGTGTTCCTATTTCTCCACATCCTCTCCAGCACCTGTTGTTTCCTGACTTTTTAATGATTGCCATTCTAACTGGTGTGAGATGAAATCTCATTGTGGTTTTAAATTGCATTTCTCTGATGGCCAGTGATGATGAGCATTTTTTGATGTGTCTGTTGGCTGCATAAATGTCTTCTTTTGAGAAGTGACTGTTCATATCCTTCGCCCACTTTTTGATGGGGTTGTTTGTTTTTATCTTGCAAATTTGTTTGAGTTCATTGTATATTCTGGATATTAGCCCTTTGTCAGATGAGTAGATTGCAAAAATTTTCTCCCATTCTGTAGGTTGCCTGTTCACTCTGATGGTAGTTTCTTTTGCTGTGCAGAAGCTCTTTAGTTTAATTAGATCCCATTTGTCAATTTTGGCTTTTGTTGCCATTGCTTTTGGTGTTTTAGTCATGAAGTCCTTGCCCATGCCTATGTCCTGAATGGTAATGCCTAGGTTTTCTTCTAGGGTTTTTATGGTTTTAGGTCTAACATTTAAGTCTTTAATCCATCTTGAATTCATTTTCATATAAGGTGTAAGGAAGGGATCCAGTTTCAGCTTTCTACATATGGCTAGCCAGTTTTCCCAGCACCATTTATTAAATAGGGAATCCTTTCCCCATTGCTTGTTTTTGTCAGGTTTGTCAAAGATCACATAGTTGTAGATGTGTGGTATTATTTCTGAGGGCTCTGTTCTGTTTCATTGTTCTATATCTCTGTTTTGGTACCAGTACCATGCTGTTTTGGTTACTGTAGCCTTGTGGTATAGTTTGAAGTCAGGTAGCATGATGTCTCCAGCTTTGTTCTTTTGGCTTAGGATTGTCTTGGCAATGCAGGCTCTTTTTTGGTTTCATATGAACTTTAATGTAGTTTTTTCCAATTCTATGAAGAAAGTCATTGGTAGCTTGATTGGGATGGCATTGAATCTATAAATCACCTTGGGCAGTATGGCCATTTTCATGATATTCGTTCTTCCTATCCATGAGCATGTAATGTTCTTCCATTTGTTTGTGTCCTCTTTTATTGCATTGAGCAGTGGTTTGTAGTTCTCCTTGAAGAGGTCCTTCACATCCCTTGTAAGTTGGATTCCTAGGTATTTTATTCTCTTTGAAGCAATTGTGAATGGGAGTTCACTCATGATTTGGCTCTCTCTTTGTCTGTTATTGGTGTATAAGAATGCTTGTGATTTTTGCACATTGATTTTGTATCCTGAGACTTTGCTGAAATTGTCTATCAGCTTAAGGAGACTTTGGGCTGAGATGATGGGGTTTTCTAGATATACAATCATGTCATCTGCAAAGAGGGACAATTTGACTTCCTCTTTTCCTAATTGAATGCCCTTTATTTCTTTCTCCTGCCTGATTGCCCTGGCCAGAACTTCCAACACTATGTTGAATAGGAGTGGTGAGAGAGGGCATCCCTGTCTTGTGCCAGGTTTCAAAGGGAATGCTTCCAGTTTTTGTCCATTCAGTATGATATTGGCTGTGGGTTTGTCATAAGCAGCTCTTATTATTTTGAGATATGTCCCATCAATACCTAATTTATTGAGAGTTTTTAGCATGAAGGGCTGTTGAATTTTGCTGAAGGCCTTTTTTGCATCTGTTGAGATAATCATGTGGTTTTTGTCTATATGCTGGGTTATGTTTATTGACTTGTGTATGTTGAACCAGCCTTGCATCCCAGGGATGAAGCCCACTTTATCATGGTGGATAAGCTTTTTGATGTGCTGCTGGATTCGGCTTGCCACTATTTTATTGAGGATTTTTGCATCGATGTGAATCCTCCCTAACTCATTTTATGAGACACAATAAATGGCCCTATTTAAAAGGCCCAACTAGAGAAAGTAAGGAAGAGGAGTCAGGAAAACCAGGGGTTAAATTTGAAGAATAATCTTTTGGGCATTTTACATGTAGAAGGTAGAAGGAGAAAAGAGAACAGGAAAGAGATTTTTAAGAAATGTTGCTTCTACATGGTCATACAACATGGTGGTTAAGAGCCAGAATATTTGGATTTAAATTCCATTTTTATTACTTACTAGCTATGTGACCATCTAGCTTGAGCAGTTACTTAATATACCTGTGGCCTTATAGATAGATTCCTTATCTGTAAAATGGGGGCATTAATAGTTTCTACTCCATAAGGGAACTATGCCTCACACATAGCATGTGCTTAGGAAATGTTATTCATATCATGTTATGTAGAAAATTGCTCTTTGGCATTTTGTCACTAAACCTCATTAAATTTTAATTTTTATTATTTTTGGAAGTCAAATTGATATTTCTACAAATGTGACACCATGACAAAACAGTCATGATACAAGCCTTCAAATTGCAGTTCAAAGATGACCTGAGCCAGGTCCCCCATTACAGAATCTCACTTCCTCCCGCAATGTCTTGGCAACACTCATCTCACGTAATATATTCTCGTTTGGTGCCTGGTTTCCCACTAGAACACAAACTCCACAAGAGCAAGAACACTGTATCTCTTGTTCATGGCTGCATTCCCAATAGTTAGCAGAGTTCTTAGAACCTAATAGGGCCTCTGTATACATTTGTTGAGTGAATAAATAAATAAATGTATGAATGACTCAACCCACAGCCAAAGGCAGAACAGGAAATATGAAGCACTGAGTGGGTGCTGTCTCTCAAGAGCAAAAAGTGAGACTGGCTAAAGTGAGACAGTACTGTGAGTCCTGGACCTAAAGTGAAAGTATAGTGGTTTGTGTCCCATGTTATTAAGATATAATATGAAGATATAGAGAAAAGTCAAGACAATTATAGCACAGCTAAAGCCCAAACCCAGAAAAATGAAAATTTATGACATATAACTCAAATACGGAGAATTGTAATTTAGGACTTGATTATGATGATAACTGTGTGAAGATATTGACTGAAAATGAGCCCTCACTGGTAAATTTAAGATGCAAAATTTAAAAAATGAAATATTGCTTAGTATGAAAGTACTATTTACAGTTACTGAATTGAAGGACATTATTGTTGACTGGCAGGCACTATAGTCAGTACAAAAACCAGAATGATGAACTTGTTATAATTATAGCTAATAATATAAGTGTTAAATACTCCTAATTGATTATATCACTGGACTGTAGCCTTTAGGATATTGTCATGAGAATTGCATGAAGTCATTTTATTCTCAATGACCCCTGCTTATGCCAATTTGTTTAAATCAAGAAAGATAGGCAATGATTTTCTCTTTCCTCTATTATCCTAATACTGGCTTTCCTTTTCTCATCCATATTTCCCCAGAATGTGGACCTTTTACTTAATAACTTTGTTCAACATGGATTCAAAACCACCATAATTTATTTTTCCATAATATTGCCCCCAAACCAACACAATTAATAGCCGTGAAGTGTTAGTCACAACTAAATCAGTGTTTTGGGTGTTACTGCTTAGTCTGTGAAAGCCTTTAACAAGCAGATTGTGGAAGTATCTTGATCGACAGGCTACACTTTTGCCAAGATACACTTTGGCAAATTGTAAATATTTGTTCAATTACATGAAGACACTAAAATCTGGCCCATCTTTGTTAATATTATTAATTGATTTTAAGTTTTACACTACCTTTTCTTGGGCTTTCAAATTCCTTGGGAAGTGGTATAATATTTCCCATCAATTTATCAAACTGTTTATTGACCACCTACTCAAGGCAGTGTTGGTTACATCTGTAGAGGAGTAAATCACTAACCATCCCCCAACCCACTCCCCCCTATCTCCCCCCACCCCTTTTTGGCTTCATTTTATCATCTCTGCTCTCTGGCAGTTCACTTCAGTCCTGCAATCTGCCCTAACCTAGAGAAGATTCTAAAAGGAGAGAAAATTAGCCTCCAGAACTTCTTCTTCAGAATTGTCGGAGTACTGCAGGGCTGGAACAAAGAATGCTGTGTTCTGCACTGTTGTGGCATGAGCTGCCCGTGGAAGAAGAGGGAAAGCTGTGCTACTCTCAGGGTGGATGTGGGCTTCATGTGGCATTCACCCTGGACTCCTAGCTAGGTACCCAGGACAGCTGCTCCAAGGCAGAGGCAGTGCTGACAATAGAAGTTACCACTTTGAGGTCCCTCGCTATGTGCCAGACACTTTGCTAGGCAATTCATATACTTTGTCACATTTAATAGCACCAGCAACCCTATGAGAGATACTATTATTATGTCTGCTTTACAGATGCATCAACTGTGACATACAGAGTCTAAATAATTTCCCTAAGACATCAAGGGAGTGGTTCTCAAAGCCAAGTCTCTTAAACTCCCAAGACTCTGCTTTTAATCACTTACTATACCATATTGAGGGCCCATATAGTGATAAAAATAGAAGCGAAAATAAGTTCCCACAGTGTGAAGTCATTAATTCCTTCAACATATTTTAAGCATGTACTCTGTTCCCCTTTGTAAGGCCAGCCCCTTTCCTGCGCCTAGTTCCCACCTCCAAGGACGTCACTCCAGCAATTCTCTCTTCTTTCTTTTGCGTCATCATTTCCCGTTCTAGTAGATTGTTCCCATCATCACACAAATACACTGTTAATTCTCCCATCTCAAAGCAATCATTTCTCGACTCTACATCCTCCTCCTCCTACCGCCCCATTTCTCTGTTCCCCTTTAGAGCAAAACTCTTCAAATGAATCATGCATTCTCACCGGCATTCAGAAATTCCAGGTGGCTTTGTGTTCCTTCTATATATTCTCTATTGGAATTGGAGGTTTAAAATTATGCAGACATCTTCCTCACCTTTTACCGTAGGCCATTTCTTTTAGCAGATTAAACATGAGATTATATTTTTCATTTCAAATGTGGCTTTTTTTTTTTAAATTAGGTAAGAACTTAGCAATAAAGAGATATGGATTCAGCCTTGGAAGGGATGGTAGAATTCTTTTAATGCTCTGCTGTTTCACCAACATTGCATAACACTAGAGTAGGAAAGATGGAGCAATCAATAGAAATCCATTGCCACAACTCACAGAAAGCATTTAAAGAAAGTTCCCCCCTAGGCCGGGCACAGTGGCTCAAGCCTGTAATCCCAGCACTTTGGGAGGCCGAGGCAGGCAGATCACCTGAGGTCAGGAGTTCGTGACCAGCCTGGCCAACATGGTGAAACCCCATCTCTACTAAAAATACAAAAATTAACCAGGTGTGGTGGTGCATGCCTGTAATGCCAGCTACGTGGGAGGCTGAGGCAGGAGAATTGCTTGAACCCAGGAGGCGGAGGTTGCAGTGAGCCAAGATCTCACCACTGCACTCCAGCCTGGGCAACAGAGTGAGACTCTGTCTCAAAAAAAAAAAAAAGAAAGAAAGAAAGTTCCCTCCTAGTGACATCATCATGAAGTATTCTTTTATTTCTTTTTTTTTTTGAGACGGAGTCTTGCTCTGTCACTCAGGCTGGAGTGCAGTGGCGCAATCTCGTCTCACTGCAAACTCCACCTCCTGGGTTCACGCCATTCTCCTGCCTCAGCCTCCCAAGCAGCTAGGACTACAGGTGCACGCCGCCACGGCCAGCTAATTTTTTGGTACTTTTAGTAGAGACGGGGTTTCATCGTGTTAGCCAGGATGGTCTCAATCTCCTGACCTCATGATCCACCCGCCTTGGCCTCCCAAAGTGCTGGGATTACAGGCGTGAGCCACCGTGCCCACCCTATTCTTTTTTTTCTACAGATAATCTATTTGATGCAATATTTTGTTATAAGTTTATATATAAATCATTTTCGGTAAATAAAATTATGTTTTAAGCATAGGTTGCTTGCTATGTAAAAAAGACAGATGAAACAGAATAAGCAAACAGAACATAGAGGAACAAAAGAGAGCATTTTGTGAATTATTGGGATTCCCTTTGTAATCCAGAGATTGCTTTTGTAATGAAGAGCATTTATCTTTTATGTAGTTCTAAATGTTTATGTATCAGGTGTGCTTTACCAAGCATACCTGCATAGGAAGAACACCATTATCAGTTATTTTGTATTTTATCAATGTTCCTTTTGTATTACATGGTTCATTTGAAATTCTATAATGAGCTTGTACTTGGGTCTCTCTCTGTCTAATGAATTTTTAAAGCAGTTTTAAATGACTCATGAAAGATAGTGCTTGGAAAGCAACATCATAAGGTAATTCTGATATGATTATTTACATAAACTCGAGTCCCAGCTATTTATGCAGTGTTCTCAGAAAAGAGGTTGTGGCCTATTAATTGAGAACAAGCTCTCTAAAAGAAACTCACTAGAAAGTTTTTATATAAATGTAAACTGTTGTGGGAAAATAGGAAGAAAGAAAGAGAAGGAATGAAATGAGGTAGAATGGGAGATAGAAATAGAGAAGAAAGGAAAAGAGGGAGGTAGGGAGGGAAAGAGAGTAAGCAAGCTGTTTTCTAGAATAACTGACTTGTCATTATTGAGTACAGGAATGCCATATGTGTGGGGGAAAAAAGGTCTGGAACCAAACTGCTGAAAACACAACAATTTAAAAAATAAGTAACTACTTTTTCAACAATTAACAAGATATTAAGTACTATTCTTAGCATTGGATATGAAGAAGCTGTATTTAGCTAACTATATATAGATTGTTAAATCCTTGCAAAATAGACTGATAAGATTCATTTTCAAAACTTCTACAAATCAATAGAAAGAAAACATACAGCCCAATTTTAAAAATGGGCAAAAGGCTTAAACGGCCACTTCACAAAAATGGATATCCAAATAGCCAATAAACAGTGGTACCCAACATTCCTATGAGGAAACTGTAAATTAAAACCACCATAAAGTATCAAGCACACCCACCAGAATGAAAAAGAATGAGACCATCACTGTGTACCACCTGGAATCCTCATACACTGCTGGTACGAGTGTAACTTAGTACAACCACTTCTGAAGAAAGTTTGGCATTATCTACTGAAGCTGAACATATGCATATCCTATGGCCCAGCAATTCTCCTCTGTATATACCCAACAAAATGCATATTTATAGGCACCAAAAGACATGTACAGGAAGGCTCACAATACATAGTAGTCAAACACTAGAAACAACTCAAATGTCCCTCAGAAGCAGAACAAATAAACCATGGTATATTTAAGCAACAGGAACAAATAAATCATTGATACATGCAATAATATGGATGAATTGAAGAAACAAATGCCAAAGCAAAAGAAGCCAAACAAAAAAATATTAAATATGTATGATTCTATTTACATAAAGTTAAAAAACAAGAAAAACTAATTTATAGTGAGAGAGGTAGGGTGTGCTGGTTACCTTTGAGGAATGACGGTGTAAATAAATGAGAAGGGTATAAGGAGGCTTTCAGATGCTGGTAATTACCCATTTTATTATCTGGATGCTGGTTACATGGGTCTATTCCCATCATGAAAATTCATCAAGTGTGAAATTATATCTTGAGCAGTTTTCCATGTGTATATTTCAATAGAAAGTGTAGGGGAAGAAAAGAAATGGCTTCTTCAACCCTCATAGAGTCTTAGTTGAAACAGAATTCTATAATAGACAAATTAACAAGAGAAAAACAGAAGTTGATTAACATATACATATATGGGAGACACCCAGGGAATGACTTATCGAAGTGATGGCTTTGAATTCTAGCTTATATAACATCCTCAACAAAGAATAGTGAATATTTAGAGAAGTGACAAGACAAAAATGACTTTGAGTCTCTAGGTGTGACAACTCTGAGGAAGGAGTTGGCCGATAAAGGATGGTTAGTAAACCTTGTTAACGTAGATTCCTCTTGTGCCTTCTCCAGGCCAATAAGAGCGCAAAGTTGTGTTCAGTGTTAACCTCTGTTCTCCCTAGGAAAAGAGGCCAACCTATGGCCTGCTTTTCAGCAATTGAAGGTCAGAAAGCTTTCCTGAATCTGTTTCCTCTTAATTGCCTTCAGCTCAATAATTCTTCATATTTTTGGGTGGAATATTCTGGTCTCCCATAAATGTTAATTTAAAAATGGATAGTAATGGTGAGACAGACAACTAACTGCATGTGTCTGTCAAACTGCATTTTGGTTCACACTTGGTACATACCTTCCATAACCGTGATGTTAGACAAAGTCCACCGTCATCCTTCCTTCTCTTTTTCAAAGATTTTATTTTATTTCGCCATTTCCTGGACCAGTTGTTGGCAATGTTCTGTGCCCTCCTCTCCTGGCTCTTCCATGGCACCCCTCCCCATGGAAGGCTACACTCCGTGCCCCGTTGACAGCAGGTTTGGCCATCCTCAGAACTCGTATCATCCTTACCACATGTCCTTTAGGAAAGAAATCCTCACTAGACCTTCAATCCCAGCCCTGCCACTTTCGACTGGTATGATCTCAGACAAGAAATTTAAACTAAGGCCTCAGTTTCCTCATCTATAAAGCAAGATTAAAACTGCAAAGCTTTGTTATGAGAATAATATGACTTAATTCAGGTCAGAACAGGGCAACCTCTGGCTCATAGTGAGCACTCAATAAATGCAAGTTGATGTTAAAAGTGGCACAGTGGTCAGAGGCTAAATTATGCAGGGCTGTGCCTGGGTAAGAATCTGGATTTTATTTCACATATATGGCAAGAACTGTGGGACTAAGCCCAGGGCGAAAGGCCCACATGAGAAAGAAAGCAAATGTGAAGACTGTTAACTCATTCTCGCCTTGAATTTAGGACTCAGGAAATAGGGAGTAACTTGGATGCTTTGATAGGTAAGGGTTTTGAATGGCTTTCACTGATGCAGTCTATTCCCACCAAACTCCTTGCTAAAGTCAGGAAATATAGTTTGGGTCCTACCTGGGATGCTGCCAACTAAATATCTGGCTTCTCAGTAAGCTCCTTCATTCTCATCCTCTTTTGTCAGATTTGACCATTACCTTTCTAGTGATGTCCCTTAGCAGAAAAAAAAATGCCCCTAGAAGAGGTGATGTATGGAGAAAGGAGAAAAGGCAAGGAGAAGCACTGGATGCCAAGAGTGGAGACAAGGTCATTGGGAAGAAAGTAGAAAGCGTTAAAGACGATCTAAGACTTCCACACATGAAAATCTTGCCTTTCAAAGAAGTTATTAACATAGTACACAGTGTATAGCATAGTGCTCGGAACTCAAAATATGCTTAATAAATATTTGCTAATCAAATCTTCACACAGAGCTCATAATTTTCAAATATGTAAATATAGATTTTCAAGGACTCATGATGGGAGACATGGTGAATTTAGGACTAACCCAGCTTTGAAGAGCATAAATCCATTTCAAGTTTCAAGATTAACAGAACAGTATTGTTCTTTTTTGCCAGGTAAAACATCTTATTTTTCAAATGGTAACAATTTTATTTTCAATATAGTAATATTTGAAATTTTTGAAAACTATAGAATTAGGAAACACTGTACATATTGAGTACATTTGGGTCAAACACTAATTTACATATTTTATCATTATAATATCGCATTATTTTATCATTATAATATCTCAGTAAGCAGAGGTACTCAAACAAACCCAGTGTTAAATTTTTAGGAATTTTTTGAGCCAGTTCTCTTACTAACTTTACATCAGCCATGGTGGAATATTTGCACCTCAAAAACTGGCAAATGCCACAAACCAGCAGCACTCTGTCCTGAGAGCCAGTTGTTATGCATTTACCATCACACTATTGCAAGGAAGTATTATTATCCTCATCTTATAAATGAGGAAACTCAGACGCAGACAAGTTACTATCCTCTCCAAAGTTATCCATTTACTACTACAAAGTCAGGTTTTGGAGCTAGGCCTTCCACTTCAAACCCCATGCTGTATTCTTTAAGTATTGCTTCATAATTTGAAATCATCACTAACAATCTACTTCATTAGAGGTGTAATTTGAGTTTAATTGAAAAGTCTAACTTGCAATTCGAACAATCATTTTCTTAATTTACGTTACTACTTTAATATTTAAAAATTTATAAGGACCCTTCAAATGGCACAGCTGAGGAAAACTTGCTTAATTATGTTTTCATTAATTTTGCTAAGCCAATCTCATGCCAATGGCTGTGTAATTTGATCCCAGAAGCAAAATCACTTGGAATGCAGGACATGCTCAGAAAAAGATGGCTACTATCACATGAGAACAAAACAGTCTCGTAGTAATAATCACACTGTTTTATTCAACATCCAGAGACCAGTAACCTTGAAGTGGTAACCTATTTCCATGGAGAACACCTGTGGCGGTCAGCGCTGTAGTAACAATGAGGCCAAATCCCAATGTTCAAGAAAGGAAGTTAAATCCTAGGACAGTGAGTTCTCAACCTGGACTGCACATTATATGGTCCTGCACAATACCCCAGGACCATTTAATCAGAATCTCTGGCTATGGAACCTGATAATTTGTATATTTTACCAATCACTTGGGTGATCGTTCACTCAAGACTAACTCTCATCATAGGTCTTGCTTTCTTCCTCTTCCACATTGTCATAATGCCATTTGTAAACAGCTGAGTCTCTCTCCCCATCAACTTAGGTATGGAATATCCAGTAGGCTCTGTCCTACATTCTAGGCACCTTCTAACTATACATTCTGTGCTCTAGCACTCCCTTCCAGCAGACCAC
The DNA here is from genome assembly GCF_000001405.40 of Homo sapiens. Lineage (NCBI taxonomy): Eukaryota > Metazoa > Chordata > Mammalia > Primates > Hominidae > Homo > Homo sapiens. The sequence continues at coordinate 97,299,751 of NC_000007.14, read as the reverse complement.
ACCTTTTTCCAAAGAGCTCAGAACTGAAGAATCCCCAGCTTACCTTCCTTCCACCTCTAGAATAAGCAGATTGAAATTCTGATTAAAATCTCAGTATCATTTCCTTCAGATGAATTGCTTAGCTTTATACTCCTCATTCCCTCTTTCATTCATTTCTTTGTTCCATCCATTAGTGGAAAGAGTACATCTTTTAAGTCAGTTAGAGTTTCCAGTCCTGCATTCATTTCTGACTGTGCCCTTTAATAGTGTGTGACAATAGACAAGTGCTTGACATTTCCAAGCCTCAGTTTCCTTCCTTGCAGTATGTGGATAGCAATACCTAACCTGTAGTAGATTTCAAAAATCTAAATATGATATTATGTACAAAGTACCTAGCATAGTGAAGTGATTATGTTATCAATTGATTGTTTAAACAGATATTATGAATACTGCCCTTTTGCATAGCATTGTACGATGGACTGTGAAGAAACAAAATGATGAATAAGTTAAGAACCTGCACTCATAAAATCTAGAGTCTAATAAGGAAGACAATATGAATCTTTGAATTACTATAAGATAGGAAGTGCATCTCTTTTATGACATCCATAAAAGAGAGACAGGGAGACAGATTAGGGCTTTTAATAGAGAATGGGATGAAAAAGAAAAAAAAATGTTTTACTTAATCCTCCAGGTCTGCTGATGATGAGCTCCCAGGGCTAAGGTTATTCAGGAAAAATTTCCTTCCCACTTAAATCTCTCTCTGCACTGGCTGGAAACTTTTCCCAGAAGCCAGCAGTTCTGTCCAACAAGTATTTATTGGCCATTGGTCTTTTCGATCTTCTCACGGCAGGCTACTATAACCTCTATGCTTTAGTCAGGAGAATATACTCATTGCTTCTTTTCATAGGACTCATTTCCAAATCTAGTATCTAGCTCATGGTATTATTTTTTATGTCAAAGACTCTCTCTCTCTCCCCTTTCCAGACATAAAAATGCAAGTCATGCTTTACAATCCTATCCTATTCATCACTTCCTTGAAGTTTTCCCTGACAGATCTTTGGCCTAAAATAGCCATTATTTTGCACATGACTGTAAGCTCCAATTATAGTGTTTCTCAAAATTTTCAAAAATCAGATCTACTGATTCTGAATCTCTGGTGATAGAGAGCTAGGAATCTGCATTGTATATAGAGGTTAGATAATTTATATGTTATATGCACATTAATGTTTAAGAACTATCCACCAGTCTATTTTGCTTCATTTGTATGTTGCTGCAACATACAAGAATGCACATTTTCACATCATAAAAAGAGGTGGTCTTTTGTAACAACAGTCTATCTCCACCACCATCAGCACCAGCACCTATCACTGTGCTAATTGTATAGTAATAGAGGGACCTTTTATGTGCAGTCTTATGCATTAGGTTGCCCATAAGCAATTGAAGGAACCTCTGGGACCTTACTTGGGGACCAATGTGAGGGCAAAATTTCTGCAGTGTTAGAAATGATTTACGGGATAAAAATGTCAACCAAATGTAATTAAAATAAGTAACATTTTAAAATTTTGACATTCTCCTTTGCTTGTAATAATTCACTGAGATAAATTTATGAATGAAATGGATGTAAGATTTGTTTAAACGAGTAGCTTGGTCTTGTAATTTCTCAGAGCTTGTGCCATTTAGGCCTATTGCTACTTTAGAGTTTTGACTTGTAGCTGCCTTAACCTATTGGATTACTTTTTTTTCTCCAGGAAGGAGTTTCATTAAACAACTTTTGGTATATCTATTTATCCTATGGGAACAGATAACTATAAGCCTAATATTATTTAACTCAGCCTTTGCTAGAAAATATAACTACTGTACAAGGAACTTTAATGAAGATACTTTTGAAAGAATGAGAAACTTGAAACATGGGGCTTTTAGAAGAAGCATCAGGCAGTTATTGTGTCTTGTAAGATAAGGAGAAGGTTAGAAATACGTACATACCAATTGCCATAAACATTAAGTAAATTTCAAGTTTCTGTCTTAGACTGCTCAGAAAGCCAAAGTGCATATCTGCAATATTGAAAGTTTTGTTTTAGTATTTCCAAAGATTATCAACTTACAACCTTGAGACTAAGAACACTTATCATAAGAAACATTGGTTAAGACATTATTGTAAAAAATGTGTTTACTTAAAATTAAATTTACCCACTAACTTTATCAAGATTACCTATAACTAAGACATTGGAGATCTATCTCTAGCTAACACAACAATACTAAAATGAGGCATAGATTCCCTTAAAATTAGGAACATAACTAAGGCATTCCTTTCTACAAATGAAAAAAACAAAAACAAAAACTTTAAAACCTAGTGCATAAACTCAATTTTACATTTCAAACTCCTAGCCAGAAAATATATGCTCCTATAAAATTCCAGCCAGATTGGATACAGTGTTTAGAAAGAATGGGTACAGTGTTTAGAAAGAATGGGTACAGCGTTTAGAAAGAAGAAAAATAAATTATAGACTTCTGTTTCTAGCAACAAAATGTACTAGAGATCTCTATGCACTCTGGCTATAAAACACCCAAAAATGCAAGAAAAATAACGGGTAAATGGATAAAATATTCTTTTAAGTCAATGTAGGAGTTGGGAGACAGTAAAAACAGATCCCCTGAAAGTAGGAACCATGCAGGAAGGGCAATGAGCTCTTAAAGCATCATACATCACCTGACCTCTAACAGCACAGGGCCTATGAGGAGCATGGGGATAGGGGTGGTGTTAGGGACTAGACCTTGAGCCCACATTGGTACATTGGTGAAGTGTTGGACCAAAAGCCACATCACAAAAGTCTAGGAATGAAGAAAGGCTATATTGAGGAAAATGCTCAGCAGCGGCAGATAGCAGGAAAGGAAAATCTAAAATCTGGAGGAAGATACCACACAGATAATTAACACAGGGTTCAGAACAGGAGTACACAAATAATTCCTAGAAAAACACAACTCAGTATAAACATGAACATGACATGGTCAGTTCACAGAAGAGAAAACACACTGACAGTAAATGCAGGAAAATATTCCTAACCTTATTTGTAATTTGAGAAGTGTGATTAAGAGTACTTTATTTAAACAAAAAGACTTTGTTAATGTGTGCATAAATGTATGTGTGATGTTTTCACCACTGGGTTCTCAGAACCCTGGAAGCCAGTTCCCTAGCACCCATGCAGAAGATTGGATGACATTTATGTAGGGAAACTGATTAGCTGAGAGTAAAGACATAAACATATTGACATCAACTGTTCTTTCCAGATGGCTCAATGAAATCACCCAATAGGTAAGACCACAGTCAACAGAGCCCTACCTATGCATTCAGAGCTACCAATAAGCTATTTAGTCTCCTGTTCTTAGTAATGAGCAAACAGCTAAAATTATAAAGCATCTAAAGAAAATTCCCAACACAGAAGATAGAGACCACAAATAACACATAATAATAAACATAATCCCAGCACTTTGGGAGGCCAAGACGGGAGGTTGCTTGAGGCCAGTAATTTGAGGAAACCCTAGGAAACATAGTGAGACCCCATCTCTACAAAAAGTTAAAAATTAGCCAGGAACAGTGACATGCATCTGCAGTCTTAGCTACTCAGAAGGCTGAGGCAGGAGGATCCTTTGAGCCCAGGAGTTTAAGGTTACAGTGAGCTATGATCATGCCACTGCACTCTAGCCTTGGTGACAGAGTGAGACCCTGTCTCTAAATCATAATAATAACATTAAAATAAACCAATGTGGAGGAAACAAAAACTAGTCAGGGACATGGAACCTCTTATATTCAAATGGATAGGACAAGATTTTGAAATATTTGAAAAGGTTTTATTTCATTTTTTTTAATGGAACTATCAGTCCAGCCTGAATCAGCTGAGGGAATGTTGAAAGACAGTTCACCATGAGCTGCTCACATTTATGCACATATTGCCAGCAAGGTACTTACTATTCTTTGTTCCAGACTATTTAAGGATGTTTCTATAGCAAACAGTCTTGGAATATAGAGATAGTGTTTTCCTCTGGAGCAAAGGGCAGGCATACTTACTGCACATTATTAAAGATTTGGGTTCCCTACCTCAAGGTTTCTCTCCTGCAACACAACATGTGCAGATGTCATCTGGTCCTCTTTGCATCACTTTGCGGAAATTGGATCTTGGAAACCAGCACAAATAATGCTGATACTCTGTTTACTGCTATGATTTGAGTAATAAACTATCTCTGAAGATGTATCTCCTCAGTCTCTGACCCAGGAGTCTCATGTGTTCTGTCAGCATACATAAAATTGTATATGGCTGACTTATTAGCCTGCAAGTAGAGTGGAATCTCAGAGCCTTCACAGTTCTTGACAGGGAATTCATTTCTTCTGTTCTGATCTTCCCCTGAAAGCCAAAAGTGGCCAGTGCTGAGTTTAGAAGCAGGAATTACAGAGTAGCTTTTGGGTTGTTTTAGTTTACAAAACTCAGTAGCAAGTTCAAATCCAGCTGGGAAAGGAAAGGGAGCTATTGACTATTAGATAAGAGCTCTCAGGAAACGAGAGCTATGGTTTATTAATGGCCTGGCTTCAGCTTTTCTGAGAGTTTGCAGAAGCCATTCATTAATTAGTGGGCAAAGTCATAAATGAGTTCTAGGGAATATAGGGCTTACTGCTCCTGGGGCATCCAGCTGCAGAGTGGGGGAATTTTATATATCATTCTGTATTTGGTACATTTTGCCATAGGATTTTTTTTTTTTTTGAGATACAGTCTTGCTCTGTCGCCTAGGCTGGAGTGCAATGGCACGATCTCAGCTCACTGCAACCTCCACCACCAAGGTTCAAGAGATTCTCCTGCCTCAGCCTCCTGAGTAGCTGCGATTACAGATACCTGCCACCACACCGGGCTAATTTTTGTATTATTAGTAGAGACGAGGTTTCACCGTGTTGGCCAGGCTGGTCTCAAACCCCTGACCTCAAGTAATCCTCCTGGCTTGGCCTCCCAAAGTGCTGGGATTACAGGGGTGAGCCACCGTGCCTGGCCTGGAAAATCATTTTAAAGTTACTGAATTCACGGTAAATCCTAGTGCAGATCCATTGCTGTCAGCTTTCCCCTCAGACAGCAATCTGGAAAGTTGATAGCTACATGGTGTCTATGACCCAACAATTGTCTGGTTCTTAAATAAACACTCCAATTCCAGGCCAGGTGCGGTGGTTCATGCCTGTAATCCCAGCAATTTGGGAGACCAAGGTAGGTGGATGACCGGAGGTCAGGTGTTTGAGACGAGCCTGGCTAACATGGTGAAACCCCATCTCTACAAAAAATACAAAAATTAGCCAGGCGTGGTGGTGCATGCTACTCGGGAGGCTGAGGCAGGAGAATCGCTTGAACCCAGGAGGCGGAGGTTGCTGTGAGCCGAGATCGCGCCACTTCACTCCAGCCTGGGTGACAGAGCAAGACTCTGTCTCAGAAAAAAAAAACAGAAACACAACACTCCAATTCCAGAAATAAAGAGTGAGGTTCATGAGTATGTGAGGAGGTTTGTGTTATAGGTAACGAACTAATACTGTCCTTAAATTCTTGAAAATCATAAAATTGTAGTAATACCTCTTCTTCTGACCCAGCTCCTAGAAACTGAGTAACATTTGGCAAAATTAAGAGTTCAATGAAATACTCCCTCTAGAAAATCATTTAAATGGGCCTGTTGAGTGATTTAAAATTTATTTTTGAGACCTCACTCATTATACATTACCCAGATTAATTTACACCAAAATAATATAGTTTGGGATAAAAGAGAAGACGAAAATACAGGTATTGGAGTAAGATATAAAGGAAAAAAATTAAAGCTAAAGAGAGAGCAGTGAAAACCTCTGAAATGATGAGTTATCACAAAAGAGTATACCCGGGTAGAAGAAAATTTTAACAAATTTTCTATACTTTTTCTTAGTGCTTTAAATTTGAGGTTACAGCTTTTAATTCTTCAAAATATTTACCCTTGGAATTTGTCTTTGCACAAAGAAAAATATTTTTAAAACCAAATCAAAGTAAGAGATTATTTCAAAACTTCTTCTCATTTAGGCATTACCTATCATAAAGATATATTTAGAGAATTTTAAAAACTTTTTCCTCAGCAATATTATAAAATAATATTCTTTCCTAGTAAATAATAATAGTCCCTTCTAAATAGATATTAAGCCTATTGAATAAGCATATTATTCTACATTTATAACCATTTTACACAAACATGATTCACTAATATTATGCTATAAATTGTATTCTGTAATTCCAAGGAAAAAATATTAAGGCTGATTTTTGTACCATCATTTCATTTGAATAGTTTCTTTGATGCAAACTTCTTAATATGACTCCAAGACATAATATCATAATTAAGTTAGTTTCTACCAATTTAGTAGGAGAGAAGCTATGTTGTATTACTCCAGCAAAGCATGATGGGAAAAGTCATTCATTTACTGATGTGACACACATTGATTCACTGTCTGTAGCTGTAAAGCGCTGTGTTAAATTCCATAGGGAAACACTGATGATTGGAAAACAAGGCTGGCATCAAACTCACTGTCTAGTAGAATGAAATGTTCACAAATGACAAAAATGTAGTGAGTATCATTAGAGCAATACGTATAAAGGATAATAAGCTCTGTGAGGATAGAGATCACTTACATCCCACTTTCTGTTGCATCTTCTGCACCAGGAACGTGCTCTGGTACTTTGTGTTTCCTGAAGAATAAAGAAAGAGGAGGCATTTGACCTAGGCTTGAAAGATATAAGGATATAGACAAAAGACTCTAAAAAAAACACACATTTGTAAAAATCAAAGTTATACTTGTAAGTCTTATTTCATTAATTCACTTCTTTTCCAGCTTGTGATGAATGTCAGAGTGTGGTTCCAAACCTCCCTCTCTGCATTGTCCTGTAACTGCAATCCAGAAAATCATCAATAGGCCTAAGGGCATTGCAAGCCCAGGAGGTATCATGGTTGCTCCATCCAATGAGTGTAGCATCTTTCAAAGGAGTCACTTTGAAATACACTAAACAATATCATTATTCAATATACACTTGAAACTCTTATTTATAAAACACCTTCAGAATCTGCATCAGTTGCTTTTAAACATCATCAACATCCTCATATTCACAAAGGATCAGAAATCAGAATGGCCTTAGGTCCCTTAACAAGCAAAAAAAAAAAAAAAAAATCAAAACAAAAAGACAGTTGAGCAAAGTCTGCAAAATTCTGAAGGAACTGGATTATGGGACACATTTACTATCTATATTATAGGTTTCTGATTCATTTTACCCTTTTCAAAGACTATGTAATATAATATATTATAATAGTAGTTGGGGAGAAAACAAGATTGAGAAAAAATCTGTGTTTTCCCCACCCCAATCACTCTAGTGTGACTAAGAAAAATGGAAGCCCCTTTTCTAAGTATAAATTCCAACTCAAGAGTTTTTACTTCGGCCTTTGGTAAAAATATACCCTACCCTATTGTTGCTTCTTTTTTAAAACAAATTTATTATCAAATATTTAAGACACATAAAAAGATATAAAGATTTATAATCATGAACACCTAGATGGCCACCATTCAGTTTAAGAACTAAAATATTATGATAGCTTAAGCTTGTCACATTCCCCTTTTTCCTTCCTGAGCAGGCAGCGATCATCCCAAATTAGATGCTTCTCATTCCTGTGCATTTCTTTATACTTTTCCTACATCTGCATAGAACCCTAAACAATATATTTTTTCATAAAATTGTAAAACTTTAAGCAGCAACATACTACAATATTCTTTTGTAATTTTTTTTTTTTTTTTTTTTTGAGACAGACCAGGCTGGAGTGCAGTGGCAGGATCTCAGCTCACTGCAACCTCCACCTCCCATGTTCAAGCGATTCTCATGTCTCAGCCACCTTAGTAGCTGGGATTACAGGCGTGCACAGCCATGACCAGCTAATTTTTGTATTTTTAGTGGAGACGTGGTTTCTCCATGTTGGCCAGGCTGGTCTCGAATTCCTAACCTGAAGAGATCTGCCTGCCTAAGCCTCCCAAAATGCTGATTACAGGCGTGAGCCACTGCGCTCAGCGTGTAATGTGTTTTTTGTGCAACATTATGTTAATATACATAGTTCTGGTTCATTGATGGACTTACAGTTTGTCTCCTTTTTTTCCTGTTAGGTTGGTACAAAAGTAATTCCGGCTTTTACCATTACTTTCAATGGCAAAAGCCGCAGTTACTTTTGCACCAACCTAATACTATGACCAATACGACCCTGAAGATTTTTGTTCATGTATCTTTGAGTTTATGAGTGAGCTTTTCTTTAAGTTTTGTACATGCGAGGAGATTTTCAGGCTTTTATGGATAATAGGCATTATCAGTTCACCATCTATTACCAAATTGCTTTCTACAGTGGTTGAATTGATTTGTATACTCTCACAAGGAGTGTATAAAATTACACTTGCTTCACATCATCCTTTATACTTTTAAAATTTTGTCAATCTGATAGATATTTTAATTTTCATTAAAATGACTACTAGTAAGGTTTGTGTGTGTGTGTGTGTGTGTGTGTGTTTCCTCTTCTGATTGCTCTTCTGTGAATTGATGATGGTGTTTTCTGCCCTTTTTCTATTAAGTCGTATACTCTTTTTTAAAATTTATACAAGTTCTTCATATATCTTGGATATATGTTGCAAAACTTGTACATGTTGCAAATGGCTTCTTCTAGTCTGTGGCTTGTCTTTTTACCATAATTATGTTATCTTTTGTTAAAAGTTTCAGTTTTCACGTAGTCAACTTTCTCAATTTTTTTATGATAGTTTGTGTTTCCTATACCTTTTTTATCTTGTGCTTTTAAGGGTATTCTCCTATATTTTTTCTAAAATGTCATATATTTTTTCTTTTTTTTTTTTTAGATCTTTAATCCATCTTTTGTGTGTGCTGTGAAGTAAGGATTTGACTTTATTTTTTTCTATTTTGGTAACTAAATGTCTTGGCACCAAATACTGGCTACTAATCTATAAAGCCACCTCTGTCAGATATCAAGTTTTTATATATGTCCGTGTCTAGACTATCCATTCGTTTCCATGGTTTCTATCAGTCCCCATGTTATTATAACACTTTTAAAGTCACTATAACTTTATTATAAATCTTGTTGTTTAGTAGAACAAATCATACCCATTCCCATCCTCCCCCTTCTTCTTCCTCCTTTTCTTCTTCTTCTTCCTCCTCCTCCTTTTCTTCTTTCTTTTTTCTTCTTTTTCTGTCTCAGATGATTATGCTCCTGTGATGTACATTTTCGACCATTGCTCTTTTCTTGCACATTTTCAAATTAGCTTGTCAAGTTCCATAGAAACTGTATTTTAGTTCTGATTGGAATTACTAAATAATGTTTTGGATGAAACTCTACAAAATCACGCCTAAATTGACAGGTGGGACTTTTATAATGTGATTCTGTGTAAGACACAAAAAAATTTGCTTTTTAAGTAGCTAAGACTCTGTAAGAGTATGTAGTCCTATCTATTACTTAACTTAATATTCTTTTAACTCTTCTGGACTAAGAAACTGTAGTCATTTTATGGTTCTAAAAAGAGACCAATTTTAAGCTTTTAAAATTTTGGTAGCTCTTATTTTATGTATAAACATTTTACTTTTGATTTTTTAGAAAAACAAAATTTCAGCCGGGCGCGGTGGCTCACGCCTGTAATCCCAGCACTTTGGGAAGCCGAGGCGGGCGGATCACGAGGTCAGGAGATCGAGACCATCTTGGCTAACACGGTGAAACCCCATCTCTACTAAGAATACAAAAAATTAGCCGGGCGCAAGGTGGCAGGTGCCTGTAGTCCCAGCTACTCGGGAGGCTGAGGCAGGAGAATGGCGTGAACCCGGGAGGCGGAGCTTGCAGTGAGCCGAGATTGCGCCACTGCAGTCCAGCCTGGGTGACAGAGCGAGACTCCGTCTCAAAAAAATAAATAAATAAATAAATAATAATAATAATAATAATAAAATAAAGAAAAAATTTCTTTCTCAGAACTGGGATCTTCATTGTAATTAAAAGCATGTTAAGCAGGCACGTGATAACCAGCACTGCCACATATTCTCTGCCACAATCATCTAATAATCGTCCATTTACATGAAGAGCAAAACAGGCAACAAGAGAGAAAGCGGTATTTGAAGGCTGAAAAAAGAAAACAACATAGTTTGTCTCTTCTAATGAGTATTTCTGTTGGGGGAGTACACAAAAGGAAAATGGAGGATCAAAATAATTTGAAAGTTACAGAAGAAAGCAATTGAGTTAAAAACAAAAATGAAAAAATGGATATATTGATTAGCTTGATTGCAGCAATTATTTCACTATATGCATATATCAAAACATCATGTACACTTAAATATATGCAACTTTTTCTTATATCTCAACAAAGCTGCAAAAATACTAAAGCAATGACACTAAAAGTGGAATAAAAAAGAATAAACAATAAAGTAATATATTTTTAAAGTAAAAATATTATTTAGAGTATGTTTTAGAGGAGTCAGCAGTATTGTTCTATCAAAAATGCTCTTAGTAAATATCATTATATTTTCAATTCTCATCTCTTCCCAGCCTGTTTTGTGAATCTCCATTTTTGCTGTGTCTTCTGATTTTTTCACTAGCTCTTACTTGTATTCTCTATCACTTTAGTCTAACAGCTTCAAATTTAATTAACTGCTGATTGTTCCTGAAGATATGCTAAGGTAAGGGTTTCTACAACTTTTTTTTTTTTTTTTTTTTTCAGTTTGCTGAGTGAATGAGAACTGGCTGTTATGGTTCCTCAGTTCCTGGGTAACTGTGAAATCTCAAAAGCTTTAGTAGCAGTACACTATTAACAGCTAATATTTTTAACGCCAAGACTATGTGCCATCTCAAAAATTATGTGAGAGTTTATTTTATGAGGCTTAGCAAAATTAACTTGCCCAAGTTCACACATCCAGTCAATGTCAGATATGAGACTTAAACCCAGAGATGTCCAGCTCTAAAGTTTACGAGAGAAAACATCAATGTGTCTGTTATTTATTGATATTGCCGTAACACACAATTTACTCCTGTAAAAGCATGTGAAATGCATTCTGTTTTTCATATTGTTAATTTCAGCTGAAATAACACTTTTATATATATATGTTACAGAATAGGGGATATTTGCAGCCAGAAGGAATAACTTCCTACTCCCTAACATTGTGTTTTAACTGTTATAACCTATTATTGTTTCCAAAACTCTTCTGATTTCTTTATTCTCTTTTTTTGCTGCTCTGATCCTTAGATTTGCTCAGGTGATTATCAGAATTTCAAAATTATATCACTAAAGCTTTTATAATGCTTAAGAAAGACAGAAGTATATGTCTCAATCTTTTCAAGCTGCTATGACAAAAGATCATAAATTGGGTGGCTTATAAACAACAGATACTTATTTTTCACAGGTCTAGGGACTGGGAAGTCCAAGATCAAGACACCAGCATTGGGTATCTGGTGAGGACTCACTTCCTAGATGGCCATCTTTTCACTGTAGCCTCACCTGGCAAAGGTGTGAGGGATTTCTTTCAGGCCTCTTTTATAAGAGCAGTAATCACATTCATGAGGCCTCTGCCTCCTATAACCTAATCACACCCAAAGACATCACCCCCCACCTCCTAATACCATCCCCTTAAGGATAGGATTTCAACATATTAATCTGGCAGGAGAAACAATAATTCAGACCTTAGCAGATAAAATAAATTAAGTAATGTAGAATGAAAAAGAAAAATTTTTTTTCTTTTTTTCTTTTTTCTTTTTTTTGACAGAGTCTTGCTCTATTGCCTATGCTGGAGTGCAGTGGTACGATCTCCGCTCCCTTCAACCTCCACCTCCCACGTTCAAGCAATTCTCCTGCCTCAGCCTCCCAAGTAGCTGGAATTACAGGTGCCCACCACCATGCCCGGCTAATTTTTTGTGTTTTTAGTAGAGATGGGGTTTCTCCATGTTGGCCAGGGTAGTCTCGAACTCCTGACCTCAGGTGATCCACCCACCTCAGCCTCCCAAAGTGCTGGGACTGCAGGCATGAGCCACCTCACCCAGCCTAGATGTTTTCCTTAAAAATCTCAATATTCTAGACCAAATGTTATTCATAAAATAATACTCCAGGGAATTAGGGGAAAATAAATTATACAGTGATTACTTAGACTGAGTGATCTATATATATTATGCCCCATTTATATTGTATAAACAAACAATTTTTAAGAGCTATTTGGGTTTCCAAGACTAAGTAATTAAAATGGCAATTGTCATAATACTGTTACTTATTAATCTAATAAATGATTATCCCACTTGGCACTCCAAATATGTCAAATTGAAAATAGCTTCCTGGCCAAATAAGAATATATACAACTTTCACTAAAATGATTACAAAAGTATATTTTTTCATAGCATTAAAGTAAGTATCATATATATTTCTAACCTGAATAATGTACAAAGATAAATTGTTCTGATAATATTACTGGCCTCAAGTTGTATAACCAGCCAAAGCCTCTGATACTTAGTATCTCTATTGCTTTCCTAGAGATCAAGATTCCAAAAAAATCCAAAGAACGGGGTTTACAGAAGAAGACTGAGTATTGTCTGACCTCAAGCTTACGGGATGCCAGAACAGGTAAGTGAATTTGTAAAAATAAATAACAGGCTTGGTATTTCTAGAAAGAAATAATAAACAACAACACCTAGTTCAATGTGGTAAGGGGAAGATATTTTTTAAATGATAGGACATATCTGAGACTCGATAGTTAAAAAATGAAAATAAAAATACATGATGTGGTAAAACTGGCTTTCCAGTTTGAAAAAAGAAAGAAATAGAACATTCTATTTTCTCACATCTTTCTCCAAAATAATTTCCAGGTAGATAAAAAAATCACAAGAAAAAACAGCTTATGGATAAACATTAGTATATATTGGAGGAAGGTCTTCCTTACCATGAGATACCATGTCAAATCCAAAAGAAAAATATTGTTGAATTTAACTCCCAGAAGTGATTTAAAATTAATAAATAAATAATTAAAATAATAATAATAGGCAAAGCTAAAAGTAAAAAAATAAATCTGTATATTTGCATTAATATGATAGAGGATTAGCTCCAATAAAAATGGTTTCAATAATAGATGGACTGGACAGTAAAAAAAAAAAAAAAAAAAGATACTAACAGGCAGTTTCAAATAATTAGAAATGCAAATGGTTAAAAATCACATGAAATGATAGAAATGCAACTTCAGACTTGAGGATGCTGTTTTTCACTTATCATATTAGTAAGTATCTTACAAAACATTAAAAATATCCTGAATTCATAAGGGCATGATGAGACAGGGTTCCCACATGCTATTGATAAGAATATGAATAGGTACAACCAGATTTGTAGGGTAAGTAGGCAGTATCAACTAAAAGTTTAAGTGTGCATATCGTTTAACCCAACAATTCTACTTCTAGGTATTTATCCTAAAATGTTTACAGTATAAATATGTAATGTGTAATGACCATGTATCTAGTCCAGCAATTTGATTGCAGCATTATATGCAAAGCAAATGTGTAAACTAATCTAAACATACATACTTAGGAGATTGCTTAGATAAGCTATTGTACATATAGCTTTTTAAAAATTGAGTAATTTTATATATATTACCATAGAAAAATATCCGTGATAATTTAAGTGAAAAAAAGTAAGTGAAAAGTAATGTTTTAAGTGAAAAAAGCAAGCCGTAGACTAACATGTCTAGTACATTTGTTTAGAATAATCCTATCTATAACATGTTTATATATGTGTGTATATTATGTATAATTTTATGTATGTATCTATGTTACACAATATTGAATTTGTTATAGAATTATATATTTATTATTACAATTGATAATAGAATAGATGGATGGATAGATAGATCAATAGATCTGATTTTCTTCCTCTTCGTCTCCTATTTCCATTTCTCACTTCTTTGGTAAGGTATCCTTTCTTATTTAGAATGGTGACACTTCAAAGCTATGCTAGAGAGCTGGTTAATATGAGCAAGAGAAAGGTGTGTAAAAGCTTCCATTGTGAAAAACCGAAAAGGTCCCCCAAGGAGGACCTCCCAGGACCTTCCAGGAGAGAGCCAGGCACCAGTGTCATTACCTTGAGAGCCTTCCAGAAGGGAGGGAGTCCTCCATAGTCTGGGACAGACAGGGAAGTATCTGGAGTGGGGAGTGGAGAAGGAAAGAAACTGGAATGAGAAAGGCCTTCCAAAGTCCATTGCAGGCAGACTCTGAATGGACTAAGGGCAACAACTTGAGAAAAATGAAGAATTACTTTGTAGTTGTTTGTTCCATATTCTATTTGTATTATCAGTGGACGAATAGTAAGAGAGTTATCTTTCTTCCTCTTTCTGGTAATGGAGTATACCTCACACTTTTCCAGATGTTGTTACAGGAAGCACTAGGGATATTTATCAGAAGATTCTGAGATTATGCTCTGAATTGTTAAATCCTAGGAAACAGAATGGGGATGAATGTAAAACATTTTTCTACTTCATTCAGTTCTAAATTTTTCAGTTTTTTAGAATTAAAACATAAATTACTAGAAAAAAACTATTATCAATCTTTTTTTCTGTTCCTGTTTTTCCTTAGGCAAAGCATCTCAGAAAGATAAAGATTTGGTTTCCACCATTTAATTATTTTCATTCATCTTTAGTAGAAGAGGATGTAGGAATCAACACATATTTATAAAGCATGTGTTATGTGAATATAGCATTCTGCTCTAGAACATGAAGAAAAAAAAAGATGTTGAGCTTTGATTTTGGGAAACCAGACTACACACATGAAAAGTGATTAATGTAAAGCAGAAGTTACATACCTAGAAATAGTAAGCTTTATGGGTGATAAGATATGACGTGAAGTAACTACGGTCAGAGAGAGAGATTCATATAACCAAGAAAAAGATAGTCAAGTCACTACTCTAAGCCAAAATCCATTAGTAAGCTTTGAGTATGTGGTGTCAGCAATGTGTTTAGAAGTTAGCTAACAGAGACTGAAAGAATTATGAGAAAACATGAGTCTAAATTGGAGGCATGTGAAGAGCCTTGAGAAAGCTCTTCTCTTCATAGAATCATAAACTTTAGCACTAGCAGAAATCTGATAAATCAGCCTCTTCATTTTATACGTGTAAGTAAGTGAGGCCTGGGGAGGATCAAATAACCAGCGAAAGGTCTGTAGTCCGTGAATTAAGGCTGGAATCCAGACCTATTGGCTTGCTACCATTCACAAGAATTACATTCTTTAAGTTATGATTTTGGGTTCTTATTGTCTATCAATAAAACTAATGTTCAAATATATGTTCTTTTTTAAAGCCTTTTAAAGTATTTTAAAGTCTTTGAGTGCCTATCCATGAAATCTAGGAAGCCATAGATGATCATTCTATGCTTTTTTAGAACAAGATTACTGAGAATGCAACTGAATTTTAGAGACTACCAGTCACCAAGTAAGTTGCTCAGGCACTACTGAGATTATCCCGATAACATTTGGATGTTCAGGAGGGTCTTGGTTAGCACCAGTGCCTATCCCTGCTTCTGCTGAGGATTTTAGCCACAGGTAGGCAAAGATCCCCAAGGTGATAGCAACAGTTTGAAATACACCATTTATGGCTGTCCAGGCAATCTTTCAAGCAGATTAAAATTGAGTCTGTCACTGGTTTTAATGGCATAGATTTAGTACCTTTCAGAAAGTCTTTTACTGAAGTGTTTGAAAATTGGAGACACTATCAAATCACATTTCTATTTTATACTCACAACCTTTCGAGAATTTATAGAAATGCTTTATTTTATGGGATTAAATGACTTAATGTATAATGTACATGGAAAATATTGCTTTGAATTGTCTTTCACAGAGTTTAGAAACTATTATGAAAAAATGACCTGCTAGTCAAATATTAAATGGTAATGTTTTCCTTCATAATTATTATGCACTGGGGTAGTGCTAAAATTACTAATTAATGGCTGTATTAGGCAGGGTCCAATTAGAACACAGAAACTACAGAGTAATTTGAACAGGCAAAGTTTAACATAAAATTTAATACACAGAATTATTCACTGTAACAGGGGATGGAAGAATTAGCTAGTGAGAAGTAAAGAGAATGCTCAAGAATATAAGAATAGCAGTTGTAGGAGCAGCTACTGCCCTTAGGGCTGAGACATAGCATTTAAAGAAGAGACAGATCTGGGAAAGACTCCTTCCAGAGATCCGTCCCCCATTAGAAAGAGCACAGCCATGGTTCGGTGGATGGCAGAGAAGTCTGCTGAGGCTTTGTTTGCTGCTGGTGTATTGGGGAACGCTGTTCACAGGGGTTGCAAGGCTGGCAGCACTCTGCCGCAAGGCCTCCTGTGCAGATGCCAGGGGCAGTCACCCACAAAGAAAGTCCAGGTGACGTTGGCCCCTGGCTGCTGCTGTAGCCTGGCATGGCAGAAAAAGAGCCCACAACAGCAGCCTGCCCAGAAGAAGACACTGCTGCCAGGAAGAGAAAAGTCATTTCTCCTCCAGCATCCCTTGGGCACTCTTCTGACAAAGCTTGACAGCTGGCCAGCTGGCAAAGGAGAAATATTTTCAGGGTCCCGCTGCACTGCTCCAGTGCATAAAATGAAGGGCAAAATTGGGCTGAGGTGCAGTCAATTGATCAGCAGCACAACTGTTCAGTTGGGTTCTGAAAAACAGTTCTGGTTATCTGTTGTATTAGTCAGGGTTCTCTAGAGGGACAGAAGTCATAGGATAGATGTATACATAAAGGGGAGTTTATTAAGGAGTATTAACTCACATGATCACAAGGTCCCACAATAGGCTGTCTGCAAGCTGAGGAGCAAGGAAGCCAATCTGAGTCCCAAAGCTGAAGAACCTGGAGTCTGATATTCGAGGGCAGGAAGCATCCAGCAGAGGAAAAAATGTAGGCTAAGCCAGTCTAGTCTTTTCACGTTCTTTTGCCTACTTTTTATTCTGGCCACGTTGGCAGTTGATAAGATTGTGCCCACCCAGATTAAGGGTGGGTCTGCCTTTCCCAGCCCACTGACTCAAATGTTAATCTCCTTTGGCAACACCCTCACAGACACACCCAGGATCAATACTTTGCATCCTTCAGTCCAATCAAGTTGACACTCAGTATTAACCATCACATCTGTATTCTTCAATTTTATCTCTGTTAAAATGACAACTCCTGTTTAACTGATATTAGTTGTGGGTATGGAGGGTAAGTAAATATCTCCTTTTCACCTCACTCATGTTTCATGGGGAGGAACTTCCTCTCTCCACTGCTTCATCTGGGAGTGGTGTATCTGATTGACCAGTTTGGGAGGATAAACAGGAACATTTGGCTCAGTGGCTTCCTCCTGCTCTTGCCAAGCCAGCCTGCCTTCAGGATGTGTACTTGTTTCATCACCATGAAGGTACATTCAGAAGGACATGTGTCTAATTCAGGGGCAGAGAGTGTTAGGTGTGCACACATCTAAGCCACATTCTTCAATTCAGCTTTTATCAGTAATAGATGATTTCAACCTCTACCTTATTTCTGTATGTCCACTTCTCAGTTGGTTCTGAATTCATGTGGGAAAAGACAGGAATGATATTTCATTGACCCAGCTGAAACTCCAATATTAATCTACCCAGCTTCTTAAAGAGAGGCCTATGAATTTCTCATTTCAGCCTGTAGAAACTCTAAACTTGCCCTAACCTCAACCCTCCCTTTACAAGCCCTACCCTAACCACCATGGTGAAGTATACATTTTGCCCTACAGGAACCCTGCTTCCTCCTTTCCATTCTCTCTCCTCTCCACAGTTTGATGTACAAAAGGCACTAAAACACACACATACATACATATGTTCATTTTCAAAACTTGACTTTCAGTCATTTCATTGCCACCTCCGTAGTAAAGCTATGTGTTATCTTTGCCAAGGGTGATGAGTTTTTGAATCTGTGTTCTAACTTTGAAACCTAAGGCTATGAGTAAAATATCCTGCATCAGACAGCTGATGGGGCCACACATATTTTTCCTGGTGCACTTGAAATTGTAGCCACAGACAGTTCCTAAATGACCTACCCAACTCGCCAGTTTTCTGCCTGGGTGCCCCCTGCTTTCAAATGCTAAGACTGAAAGCTTCTATTGACATATGCCCAAATTCCAAAGCCCTTTTCACTTAAATTTGACATTCCCTTGCAAAAATGTGTAAGGCCTCAAGAAGAAAATGAACCACATACAGTTTGTGTGCTCAAGAGTTTACAATCTAAAAGTCAAAATAAAACAAGTACAGAAAAGAGTTACATACGTAACAAATAATATGGGGTTCACAAAAGGTGAAATCACACTTGCTTGGAGTCAGCAGGAAAGGCTTCACTGCAGAGTTTGCATTTGAGAAGGCTTTGCAGCGTAGATATGAGTTGGACATACGGAAATGGCACAGGGGCGAGTGGGTGGAGGGTGGGGGATAATAAGGTATGCTAGTGGCAGGAATAATACAAGCCTTCTGACTCTCCAGCCAGGCTCTCAAAGCTTCCATTTACTTTAGGATCTTTAGTACTGGGGCAGGAACGCCACCCACATTGCATTGTTTGGACAGTCAATGACATCTGAATGTTAAAGCTCCTAGGCCCATTCCAGGCACAGAATAGATATTCAATACATGACAGCTAGTGTGAGCAACATTCTCTCAGAAAGGCCAAGCAATACACACAGAACAGTAAGCAGTCGCTTTACTGGGAACTATAGAGAGAGAAGATAGAAAACTAAGTTTGGAACAGATGGCGGAAAGCCTTTAGTAGCTGATTAAAAAGTGTACACTGTATGCAGTTTGTGCAGTAGAGTCAAAGATTTTGAGCAGGAGAGCGGCATATCTTTTCATTTCTTTTCTTTTCTCTCTCTCTCTTTCTCACTCTCTCTCCTAGAGAGGCTTGTGTTACCACATTTGTCCTTTTGGAGGGCATACTTTTCAATTTTGTTCCTTACGTGTATCTTATCGTATTATTTTCTCTCACGTCATTCTCCATTCCCGTTCCCATTTCCTTCTCCCACATTGGTTGTTCCTCCAATGTTAATGTTTTTGGAAATGTATGTATCTCTGAAAAAATATGCATACTGTATGTAATTTTAGATATGGGTATCTCTGTTTAATGTGTGTAATTTAATATTTTGTAAATATACTGTAGAGACTTTTCTTTTGCACTGTAGAGATTGTTCTTTCTTGATCTACATAAATGCTTTATATCATAGAGGCTGTTCTCTTCCTTACTTTTTTCCTCAATAGTGTTTGTAATACCTCTCCACGTTGCTGCTCATTGTGCATCTAGTTTATTACTTTTCACTGATGCAGAGAACTCCCTAGTTGTTTCTTCCAGAGCTTACAAATGATTTCCCTCGTCATCAATAACTACATTGCCTCCGACTCCCTGCTGTCATAAGCAATGCTGCAATAAATATCACAATTCGTATCCTATTTACCGAGGACTTGGATTTGTGGAGTCAAAGGGTCATTGTATATACAATTTCACCAAGCCTCAGAAAGGCTGTGCCCATTTAAATGTCCAATAGCAATGCCTGCAGAGTCCTGTTTCCTCACATCCTCACTAACACTCTATATTCTCCAATCTGTAGCTTTCGTCAGTCTTACAGATATTGTGTCACACACAAACATACATACATACTTATGTACAGATTTTTTTTCTTAGGATAAAATGTGGAATTAAAATATTGTTAAGCATAATCAACAAAAACAGACTACTTTGAACCTACAGAAGTTTTGAATAGATGCTGTGCTCTGAAAGGCCTTATTTTGATAGGAATTTCTTAACAAAGCTTATTGTAGCAACAAATGTTGACTGGCTAAGCCAACAGAAGCAAGAAGCAAGGTGCTGATAGTAAATTTAACTGTTTTTCTTTACTTGATGTAAAAAGGTAATAAATCAGGTCAAAAAATCTCCCATTGCATTTAAATACCTGCAATGTAATCTTGATGTTTTAAGCCTGAATTAGTTTATGAAATACATTCCTGTTATCCTTTTTTTTTTTTTTTTTTTTTTTTTTTTTTTGAGACGGAGTCTGACTCTGTCACTCAGGCTGGAGTGCAGTGGCGTGATCTTGGCTCCCTGCAAGCTCCTCCTCCTGCATTCATGCCATTCTCCTGCCTCAGCCTCCTGAGTAGCTGGGACTACAGGCGCCCGCCACCAAGCCTGGCTAATTTTTTTGTATTTTTAGTAGAGACGGGGTTTCACCGTGTTAGCCAGGATGGTCTTGATCTCCTGGCCTCATGATCCGCCCACCTCGGCCTCCCAAAGTGCTGGGATTACAGGCATGAGCCACCTCGCCCGGCCAATAACATTTTCTTTTCTCTAGCATACTGTATTTTTGCAAATACTGTTATAATGTATAACCCATATAACATACAAAATCTGTGTTAATTGACTCTGTGTTATCAAGAAGGCTTCCAGTCAATAGTAGGCTATTAGTAGGTAAGTTTATGGGGAGTCAAAAATTAAATGTGAATTTTCAACTCAGTGGGTGGTTGACACCCTTAAACCCTTCATTGTTCAAAGGTCAACTGTATATTCTTTTCCATAAAATAATCTGGTTTTCCATTGCAGTGAGATTTTTTAAAGTTATTTCCTGATTGATGTGTGAGGCCAAGTGTATTATAATGTCAAGATTGACTATTTATTATGTAAGGATTATCTCTGGGCTCTGCCCCTTTGGTCTATTTTTCTACTCTCATGTAAGTTCCAAACTTTTTAAATAACTTTTTAAATATTATATTTTCAAATATGAGAGAGCATGCCCCTCACTTTCACACTTCATTTTCAAAATTATCCCAGCTATTAAAAGACCTGTATTCTGCCATGTTATGCTGATTGTTAAGGTACGGTCTTTCAGCTTCCAGTTAACCTCTGTACTCTCTTTGTAAAATTACATTTCTCCTTTTCCTAGTGGCTTCCTTTTAGACTCTGTCACTGGGGGATATTAAAGGGGGCCTGGGAGGAGGAAGACAAGGGACTTGTTCTTTCCTATCTGCTTTTTTTCCTGTTAGTGTTGCCCCAGCCAAACTTCTTCACCCCAACAGCAGTGTATAACCACAAATATTGATTTATTTGTTTTTCCCCATAGATCCATTTATTGCTGCTTTATATACTTGGAGCTATATTATTATATGCATATGTGTTATTAATCAAAACTTCGGTCTTTTTTTTTTTTTTTCTTTTTTTGAGACAGAGTCTCACTCTGTCACCCAGGCTGGAGTGCAGTGGCGCGATCTTGGCTCACTGCAAGCTCCACCTCCCAGGTTCACGCCATTCTCCTGCCTCAGCCTCCCAGATAGCTAGAACTACAGGTGCCTGCCACCACGCCGGCTAATTTTTTTTTTTGTATTTTTAGTAGAGACGGGGTTTCACTGTGTTAGCCAGGATGGTCTCAATCTCTTGACCTTGTGATCTGCCTGCTTCGGCCTCCCAAAGTGCTGGGATTACAAGCATGAGCCACCGCACCTGCCCCCTGGGTCTACTTTTAAAATCAGTATATATACGTGTCCTCCTTTATCTCATTTGTTTTAGTTTTCAATTAGTTTTGCATGATGTTGAATAGTTACCACATCATTATTTGGTTCATTTTTCTGTGATACACATTTTTTATTTTCAATTACTCTGCATCCTTTGGGTTTAAATATGTTTTTAAAGACAACACAGTAATAATTTAATCCAATTTGAGAGCATCTGTCTTTTTATTGGCATTTTAAACACATTTACATGCAAATTATTATATTAGTATTACATTCAGATTCTGATTTCTGCTTTTTTTTTTTTTTTTGAGGGGGAGTCTTGCTCTGTCATCCAGGCTGGAGTGCAGTGGCATGATCTCGGCTCACTGCAACCTCCGCCTCCCAGGTTCAAGCAATTCTCCAGCCTCAGCCTCCCAAGTAGCTGGGATTACAGGCACGTGCCACCACACCCAGCTAATTTTTGTATTTTTTAGTAGAGACAGGGTTTCACCATGTTGACCAGACTGGTCTCAAACTCCTGACCTCAGGTGATCCATCCACCTTGGCCTCCCAGAATGCTGGGATTACAGGCGTGAGCCATCGAGCCTGACCTGATTTCTGCTTTTTTACTTTCTGTTTTCTATTTCCACACTTCCTTTAATTTTTTCTTTTTTTCTACCTTCCATTGAATAGGTAAATTTTTCTTCTGTTAGAAACTTAAAACCTATATTGAGTGTTACAATAGATTTTCTTGGGCTTCCCCCCACCAAAAAAAACAAAAATCTTAGCATACACTTCCCTTGCTCTGCTCCTGTTGCAATAATAAAAATAGGAGAAAAAAGAAAATATTTCTAGTAAAACAATCCAATAGGTTCCCATTACAATTACAACAGTAGTGTAAAGAAACAATCAGGTCATACAAAACTAAGGCACACCAGCTGATTAAGATGATATTGTAATAATCCAAACAATGTAATAAGAACTTGATCCAGAGGGTTGGGAATGGAAATGTAAAAATTGAAATTGTTAGTTTCTTAGAGCTAAAATAAACTTAACCTCAATTTCTATGTTCTACATATAAACATAACACATTCACAACTTTATCAAATTTTCTTTTCATATATGTGAATATTGGATTAAACATGAATGAACAAGGGGGAAAATATCTGGTTATAATTGAATTAAAATGTGAGAAGAAAGCCTTAACCAGGACATCTGCAGCTGGTGGGCTCGCACTATTCCCACTGGAGTTCTAGGAAACTTGAGTTATTGAAACTGAATTGTGTTAGGGTCATAAATCACTCTGAAAAAAAGAGCAGAACAAGCACACAGCTTTATAGAAAGTGTAACAATTCAGCCTATAGCTGAAGCCTGAGGAAGTACTTTTACAATTAAGTGCCCGGTATTAGGTCTAGTCTCAGTAAATAATTTCTCAGTGATGAATTTTGCCTGATTTAATTGCTGATGATGGATGGCCAGCAGTTGGAAGACTAAATCAAAATTGCAGAAGCAAAGATATTAACAAAATACATTTATTCATAAGATAAACATAGTCTACCCTAGAAAAAGAATGTAACTAAATTAAATTATATTTCTTTATTGCATTGGAGTCTTCATTTTGACCAACCTAGAGATGGTTTTGGAGAATATCTCATGATGAATAAATATTAGCTAACAATTTTTTAAGCTCATTACTCCTTTGTCAACATTAATCATTATGGATCTTTCCTTCTTCCACAGAAGTAATGCAACATGACATGTAGACTGTAGTTGAAGTTTTAAGAAAGAGTTTAAAGGAGCTTTAAAGTTTAAGTTTGAGCTCCCTCAAGTTCCATAATTTCACGTCTTTGAAATGAGTATTTATTGAAATTTAGATTTATCAATTCAACTAGCATTTGTCAAGCTCCTAATATGTGTCAAGCATTATACTACTTGATGAGATACAGAATTTCTGCCCACAGGTCTTTCTGAAGTGAGTAGATGAAAATAGAAATGTGGGCATAAGTTTTGCAAGCGAGTACACTAGGGACCCAAAGGGAGGAATGGTGGATGGTACTATATATCTAGCCCTGTCAGGTATAGTAGAGAGATATAAGAATGTTGAAGAGGCAGCCCTTGCTCTGTAAAACAGTTTTGCACTGTAAGAAAGGTCAGTACTTTGCCCAAAGTTATAAAGCTGCTAGGAACCAGAGCCAGGACTCAAACTAGCCCTATCCTGTAAGTAAAGAGAAGGCAGTGTGATTTGTCCCCAACCCCAAATTTGAGAGCTTTTCTGGCTCCTTCCTGGGAATTTCACTTTAAAGCCTTCTGACTGACACCCCTCCAAACACAAACACACACACACACACACATACACACACCACACACACACACACACACACACACACACACACACACAGCTCAGGTCAGACCTGAGTACCTAATTCTTCATTCTTAATAATTAATAAACAACCAAAATCACCAGACATATAGAAAAACACAGCTACATGAAAGGAAAAGAAACCAGACTATTTAACCTTGTACGTAATTGTTATAGAAACAAAACAGAGCTTAAGATGGGGGGAGGAAGCCCTTAAGAAGTCAAGAAACTTGAGAAGCTATTTCAACCATAAAACAAGAACAAGATACTAAGGAACCAATTACAGAACAAGGAAGAACTTTAAAAAGTTAAAGTAATTGCTCTAGTAAAACAATTCAGTAAGACGGATTGAAAAACAAAGCTGAGAATGGTTCCCAAACACAAAGCAAGAAGACAAAGATATAGAAAATATGAAATAAAGAAAAAAAAACAAAAATGAAATCAGAAGGTCTACCATTTGACTAACAGTGACCCCAAGAAAAGTGAATGGAGGAAATGGAGTGAAAGAAGTTAATAGGAAAATTAGAGAAAAAAAATTTCTGGCCACAGAGAAGGCACACAGAGTGCTGAATACAGTAAATAATATACTTTTTAAATCCTAGAAACATCCTGATGAAATATTAGGCTGCCAAAGATAAAAAGAAGACAGTAAAAGTTTCCGGAGAGAAGAAAATCAATAAGAAACAATTGAGAATCACATGGTTGTTATTTTTAAAACCAACGTAATAATGGTGGATTACCACAACCTTAATGTTATAGTCCCATCCATCAAGGTCCCTTTAGCCAATACCCAATATTGTTCAAATTGCTCATCCAATTCAATCAGGAACTTCTAAATATTTTACTCTCATAGACTGGCTAACATGTTTTAGTGCCTACTTCAACAATCTCTCAGCTGCAGTTTGCCTCTACCGCCAAAGGGACACAATATACCTTTTCCAGGCTACTCATGGGGTAGGCCTCAACAGTTTGGTCATCATGCACAGTCTCTGCAGACAAGTTCTTAATTACATCCATCATCTCCAGGAGCACAGTTACAGCATTATGTCAATGCTGTCCTCCTCCAATGAGGTTCATATGATACACTCTTTAAGGACATACAAGTCAATATCTTTTCTTACTTTTTGGGTTCTGAAGGCAACGTATTTACCATTTACAAATTAAAATCAGCAGGCACTCCTATTAATGCCCTCATTAATTTCCCTTCTCCTTCTCTGCACTTGAGAACCTCAGATTAATTCTGAGGCTTTGGCAACCTCTTCTCATGCTTCCCAAGATCTCCAAACCACTTCTGATGGCTATAAGTTGCTCTAGAGCCTCTGATGCAAAAATCTGCCTCTTTTGGCCTCAGGGTATACACCATTAAAACAATAAATGACTGTCTACCCACTGCCCTCTACTAAAAATACAGATTCTTGTTGACCTCGAGCCTGTGACACTCTATACCCAGGTGCTCATTATGCATTAGGTTATAGAAACAGCGCCCCACAAGCTCAGCATGGCTACTGAGGCCTCAATACAGGATGGAACCAAACCTGGGGCCTCTGGTATATTCCACCTGAAGGAGTTGGCTTCCCTTGTCCCCAGTTTCTTGCCAGATGCCAGAGTACTGGGGAAAGTCATTCCTCCCCCTGACCTCTTGACTATCTGGAAAGCCCCTTAGGATAAACTGAGTGAACAGTAACAAGAGTTTGTAGACTATGCATGCATGTGGCACTCTTAACTATCATATGTGATGAGCTTAGTGGAATACTGCCACTTTCTATCCCTTAGCCGTCATGTCCCTAATAAAGAATGGGACCCAAAAAAACACATTTAGCCAAACCTAAGAGAGCTCTCTTAGTACTGGATGTCCTGGTCTCATCTTCACTTTCGTTATAAACCCTTGGGTCATTACCTAAAACTTGTACCTTTCAAAATTTAAAAAAAAAAAAAATCTGGGAATCTCTCGCCTCACAACACCCAAAAGTTTATTTTATCCAGGTCTTGGCCTATCTTTATAAATTTTCAATCTTGCCCCCATTCCACAAGGGCTGGAGGCCAGATGGAAGGCACATACTTTCCTGGGACTCATTAATAATAGATTTTCCTATAGGCCAGGCATTTGCTCATCTGATAGATAACCCATTTACATCTAAACTTCCACATGCTCAAAACAAACAAACAAACAAACAAACAAAAAACACCCTGTCAGATGCAGCTGCACACCATTCTGTTGATGGCCTTATCACTATTGGTTTGGGCATTTATACTGATTTGCAATCCAGAGGCCTACATCAACTTAAGTAGGTACTCACTTAAAAGGATACCCCAGTCCTACAATCCCACACAAGCTTGCAAGGGCCCAAAATAATGCTTCAGCTGTCATTGCCTAAGATGACATTGCAAGACCATCCCAAGACCTTATTGTTGGAGATGACTTTGCCCCCTGTGCTGGAGACTTCACCTCTTACACTAAAGTCTCCACTCAGCAACACCCATGGGCTGCCTGTCCTAAGGCACAAAATTGACACGTTTAAAATGTTCTTTCTGAACTCACTGTCTGCTTAGCCCGTGATCCTGGTATAGTCCTTGTTCTCTTCTAAAATACACCGCTACACTTCCATGCCTAAAGGAAAACCTGATAGAGGTTACTAAATTAATGATGATTATTGCTTTCCCCAGGAGGCACCTATCTCATATTAAACAACCCCTTGGCCCCCTGGGGAGAAGACTGACTACTCTGTGGTGCCTTCTCCTACTGTAACCCCATCCAGCTTTCTACCACAGCCTCTTGACTTGCATCTCCAACCACAACCACTCCTTCCCCTTGGCTAGACACAATACCACTAATATTTACATATACTTTGCTCAATTATTAGTTCATAACCAACAACATAACTGCCATACTGAATGCTTACTTTCTTGGGAATGATATTATTCTCCTTGCAGTCAATATCTTCACCACTCAAGCTACAACTGTCTTACATTTAAAATATCATGCCAGGGCACCCAGAGGTGGATTGTCATCAATTTGTTTAATAAAGTGCTGCCTCAGCACCCATTTTTAGGACTGCCATAAGTTATTTGAAGCCCAGTCATATACTGTCACCTTTGGCCCAGTTAAAACTTTCCCTCCCTGTGTGGTTGTTTGCAATACAGCCCGTTTTTTCCTCATCTCATTGAACCAAACCCAACATATTCCACAGGTGCTGCCGTGATAAAACTTAATGGTTAACACCAGAGTCTTGTAAACAAGTTCCCCAATTCACAAGTGTTTTCTTTAAAGTAAAAAATTCACAACCCCTGAGGAAAGTGTAAGGGCTAACACCCGTGCACCTTAATAAAGACCTGGCCCCACAGCTCTTCTCTCTGTCTCTTGCTCCCCACCCGTTGGTTGAGCTCCCTGCCACCTCTAGCCTTCCCGTCAGCCTCCTGTTGACACCCCTAACCTCTATGTGATCTGTAAGTAATAACCTTCTTGTGTTTCATGCATTTGGTTTTACTTCCTCATTTTGTCTCACCTGCCTGATACACCCGAATCTAACTTTCTCCTAGTCAGGGCTCTCCTAGAAAGTGGTTATCTTGGTTTATGGTCACTCTTGAGAGAAAGACCTCAAAATCAAATTAAAAGTAAACCGTAACAATAGAAATCATAACAGTGACTTTTGCTATTAAGAAGGCAAATTTGCTATTAATAAGATGTACTATAATAGGAAAAAGCTATAACCCATAGACACATCTAACCATAGACACACTCAAAGCGTATCAATCAGCCCTCTGGATGGAAGCGTCTCAGAAATTAATCGAGAGTAGTTTTTGGCTAACTGCCTATGCTGATTCTCTGACGTTACAGAGCAGTGCATTCTAAGGGGACAAAATGACTTTATCAATCAAGGAAGAGCATGAATAAAGCCATTTTCAGACAAGCAATGACAGAAAATTTAGCCTTTCCTCAAAAGTCATTTAAAGATGTATTCAAAATGCAGGAGGGAAGGAAGAAAGCACAGTTTAAGAAAACTGTATAGCTCCAACCCAAAACGGCCAGGAGCGGGGATTCCTAGGACGATGGTTATGCAGTGAGCCTAGAAAGCAGCAGGTACAGACAGGAGCCAGAGGCTGCTTCAGAAGGGAGTTTTCAGGGACAGGGCTACTACAAACAATTGAAAAAATGCGTGAAAAGTGAATCCACATGATCATGAAGTTGCAACATTCTCCCTGGTGTATGGATCAGTTGGGGATAGTAACCCTGGACCCCTGAATAAACCCTGCACTTATCTCCAAACTACTAGTTGGTATTATATTAACAATTAATTGTTTGGTTATTCCACTTTCAATTCATACATGATACGGAGTGGGTGTAGGATAGAGAGGGATGGGGAGACTACAGCTTCTCAATTTTAGCTCTTTGTATTATTTAATTTGATACCATTACATATTTTGATTTTTAGAAATTTAGGTTGATAGAAATCACTAGGTATAACAAAATTTTAATATCGTCTGTTTACAAAATCTTCACTCCGAAACTCTCACTGTATTTTTCCATTAGTTGTATTCGTGCTGCCTCAGTTTTCTGGGAAAAGCCATTTTACCTTCCAAAAGGAATTGTCTTTCGCTTTTGGACAGAAAATAAGGCACTAATTACCTAATCCCTTCCCAGGAACTAACTTCATATAAAGACTAAAATGCCAGTACGGTTTTGATCCTTGAACAATACAGGTGTTAAGGGAAATAATCCAACACACAGTCAAAAATCCATGTGAAACTTTTGAACTCAGTAATTCCAGTGATAGTCTCTGTAGTAGTAAGTCCCCAGCAGGTCAGAACTGGGATCTGGAAAGTATTTCTGGAGACCTAGGCTAGCTTCTACTCTTTTGCCTGCCCTATACTTTCCTAAGCACTGATTCCTGCTATTAAATCTCTTCCTGATTAGTAATTGAAAGAAGCCATCATTTTTCTGCAAAGAACCTTAACTCCAAAGTTGTATTTGGTTCATTCTCTTTCATTACACCCCAAGCTAAGCAGTAAATAAGTCCTGCCAGTTCTTCTGCCATAATTTTTGTGCCCAGCCACTCCTTTTCCTTTCCATATTTTTATAATGTAAAGGGAAGAGCAACCTTGGATCCTAGAATCAACTGGCGGCCTTGCTATTCCTAAGCTATGTTTCTTTGGAGAAATCACTTAATTTCTTGGAATATTCCACAGTTGTAAAAGGAGATTGTTGCCAGTTTATAAGATATTGTGAAAATTAGAGATACTATTTGATGCTCTGCAAAAATCATCTGGCCTAATTTTTGGTATTTAGCCTTAGCCATGCTATTATTATTAAACTCCTACCTGCTCTTCTTGTTCTTGGATCTTTCTCAGTCTAGCTCTGGAAAGAGAGTATGTCCCGAGTATGTTTTGAATAACCATGGAAATACAAAAGTAGCCCTTGACCTCAAGGAGGTTTCATTTTAAATAACAAAACTGAAGTTTTCTGAAAAGCATGACTCAGATTTGAAAACAGAAAAAGTGACCTGAGATTGGTTTTGGGGGTTTTAGACTAAGAACCTTTTTGGTGAAATCAATGGAGGAATTTTTAGTGTTGATGATCTCTCTGACCAACCAGTGATTGAATTATTTTCCCTCAGTGTCTGAGATAAAAAGATTAACTTCAAAACTCAAATTATATTTGCTTTTGGAAAGATGGAGTAAGTATATTTTTCCCTATTCCTCCTGATAAGTGCAACTGAAATCTCTGGAAACAGTGTAAGACAAACAAGAAAATGCTGAAAGGTAGAGAAAATAAGCTGGCCATTAGGGAATATGGGAATAAAGAACAACATGGTGATGAGTTATCTGGGTATTTTTCTTTGGCCTCAAATATTTCAGACTGGAATGAGATTACCATTTGAGTTGGGAGCCTGAGTAAAGCAGATTGTTTTCCCTAATGTGGGTGGGCCTCATCCAATTACTTGATAGTCTGACTAGAACAAAAGGGCTGACCTCTGAGTAAGAGAGGATGTTTTCCTGATTGATGGCCTTTGAAATGGAACATTGTGTTTTGTTGTGCTGTTTTCCTGGCTTTGAACTCAGCTGAAACATTGATTCTTCCTGAGTCTCAAGCTGGCTTTTGGCCTGGACTACATTAGTGGTTATCCTGAGTTCTCAGGTTTTGGGGGGACTAGATTATTGGGAATGAAGAAGGAAGAGAGTAAGGAAAAATATGGGTAAACACTAGGCTTTCCTTCTCCTCCTAAGTTTTCTAAATTATGTTTGGTTGTGGAAGAAAAAAGTATTGGCCAGGTGTGGTGGCTCACGCCTGTAATCCGTTTATTTTACTAATAACTTCCCTACCTACCCCCACATCTACTCCTTGACACTCAAAACAACCTTCCCCTCCCCACCATGGATAACTGATACTTGACTTTTGTGGTAATAATTTTCTTGCTTTTCTCTACACTTTTCCCACCTAAATATGAGCTGCTATACACTATAGCTAGGCTTTCCAGATTTTCAGTGAGATTATTCTTAATCTCAATTATGTAAAGAATAATTTCATTTATGTAAAGATTAAACACCTGGAAAGCTAAGCTACAGTGTTTAGCAGTTCATACTTAGATGGGAAAAGTATAGAGAAAAACAAAATTATTACAATTTTATTACAATGTTGCTTACATGGATAAGTTCTCTATTTGTAATTTCTGAGCTCATAGTGCACCCGTCACCCAAGCGGTGAACATTTTACGTGATATTTAGTCTTTTATCCCTCACCCTCTCCCAACCTTCCCCCGCAAGTCCCCAAAGTCCATTGCATTCTTATGCCTTTGCATTCTCATAACTTACCTCCCACTTATATGTGACAACATAAGACATTTGGTTTCCCATTCCTGAGTTACTTCACTTAGAATAATTGTTGTTCATTTTTATTGCTTGACAGTATTTCATTGCATGTCTATTCCTCAATTTATTTCGTTTTATAATTAACATAATTCTATATGTTTATAGCATAAAATATGATATTTTGATATATGTATACATTGCGGAATGTCTAAACACCTTACTAATACTTTTTTAATCTTGCTAGTTATTACGGTAAAGGGATCCCCCAAGGGACACCATCATGACATAGCAATTGTAAATCCTAGGTTATATCCTGGAGTTTTTAAATGGTGCATCTACTCTCCACTCTTAGAAAGGTAGGTGATTTCCCAATTACTCTTTTCCAGGGGTCTTCTCCCCTCTCATTATCTTCATTTTCCACTTCCATCCACCTTCCAAAGACCACCAAATTCAATGTGGCATTCCCATTTGGCATTCTTGTTGTCCGAAAGAGGAAACCCTAGGTTATGCGTGGAGAAAATGAGTGTAGCCTGGAGACAGTGGCAGATTATTTCTCTCTCATGGCCCTCTTAGATTTTAACATGCCTCCCCCATGACTCCCTGCCAAGACCCTTTTATTTGCAAAGGTACCTCTATGGTCTCAGCCTCCAGACTTTGGATCACTTCATCAACTTAGAAACACTGGGGATTCTGTAGAAGTAGAGCTATAAAAGCCCTTTGAAGTCTAGAAAGAGTTTTCCATAATTCAGGCAGAGTATTCTTACTGGTTCCTACAGTAACGTTTCAAATGATGAAGAATGTTTCCACTGACCTTTCCTAGGCAACATGCATGCTAATAGTTCCAGTAGGAAATGTCTTTGCATGGCTTGGTACACTTAACAGGTGATTTACCAATGGTAAGAACAGAAGCAACAGACTTAATCTGGAAAATAATTTTAGTTGCAAAATGAGTAATAGTTCTTTTTCACAAATTAACTTTTATTGGCACTGAACTGGTACCAATACTGTATTTCATGGGAAATAAAGAACTCTGAGTAAATTTTTGAGCTCCTTATCTGTGAGCCACTGACCCACATTTCCTCCTTGAGTACACATACCCAAACCTGACCACTTATCTATACGTTTCCTTTCAAAAGAGTGCTGTGGGCCACTGCGCTTTCTAATAATAAAACTATTACACACTTCTTGTAATAATTTAGCTATATGAAAGTATGTGATATAAAATTAACTCTTGATTTTAATTAATCTTTCTATGCTTACAGGAAATATGTATATACACATATAAGGGTCCTTATATTTCTATTTTAATTTAAAAATCCAGACTATACATATTGTCCTAAATTTTTTCATATAACATATAGTAGACATTTTTCCAAATCAATCCTTTTTTGACCACATATCATAAATCACATATGCCACATATCATCTGAGTTTCTTATAGTGGAGAGGAACCCTCACATTGCCAGAAGCAGATAGAGCAGGTCTCCAGATAGCATGTGAGGACTACCATGTGCCTGTCAGAAATCCACACATTCGGCCAGGCGCGGTGGCTCACACTTGTAATCCCAGCACTCTGGGAGGCCGAGGCGGGCAGATCACGAAGTCAGGAGATCGAGACCACGGTGAAACCCCATCTCTACTAAAAATACAAAAAAAATTAGCCTGGTGTGGTGGCGGGTGCCTGTAGTCCCAGCTACTCGGAGAGGCTGAGGCAGGAGAATGGCGTGAACCCGGCAGGCGGAGCTTGCACTGAGCCGCGATTGCGCCACCGCTCTCCAGCCTGGGCGACAGAGAGAGACTCCGTCTCAATAAAAAATAAAAAGAAATAAAAAGAAATCCACACATTCATGATTAACATTTTCACATATACCTAGTCGTCTGTTTTTGGTGATAATGAAATAAAACCCCCCTCAACTAGAGCTCTTAATTGCTTGAGAGTAGAGTTGAGGATAAGGAGAAAATACTGGGGCTCTAAAAAGGGGAACCAACTTACAACTCTTAAATTATAATCAAACTAGTGGCCCCAATGTATTGAGTATTTACTATGACATAAGCATTGTGGTCAACAATTCACATACATTCTCACAACAACTCTATGAAATGGCTGCTATTTTCCCATTTACAGGCAGGGGGCTGGGACATTGAGAGGTAACTTGCTCGAGGTTATCTGGCTGGTAACTGATTACATTTTCAATTTTTTTTTTCTGATAAAAAAATATAATAGTACAAAACAATTTACAATAGAAGATAAATACCAATTCTGCCCACCCAAACGTCAGTTCTGTTATATGTCAGGGATAACTTCTTTTAACTATTTCTGGTTTTATATTTTCTGACGGTTACATAGCAATAAGTTATGATTTAACTCTGTATTTTGAATTAACACCTTTGGGCATTGTCTACTGACTCCTAACTATGAAAGATGGGAATTTAAGTCCTTATGTTACCCCCCAAACTGCCCAACTCTACTCTACATTTTTGACATTTATATTATCTTCATCTTACTGTATACTTTTATGATATGGAACATACATAATCAATGCTTATGACTTTTATTAAAATGTTTCAAAAAACATTCAAGTAGAAAGAAAAAAGATAATAGCCAGTAGAGTTTCTACTCCGAGATGCTTAACTATGAACATCAATTCTCATTGATATAGAACCTCAGATATTTAAATTATGGTTAAGAAAAATGTACTGTATACTTCCAAATAGCTAGAAGAGAATAATTGTAATGCTCCCAACATAAAAAGATGTTTGAGCTGAGGTGATGGATACCTCAATTACCCTGATTTGATCATTACATATTGCATGCAAGTATCAAAATACCACCTTTACCCCTAAAATTTTAGTGTACAACTATTATAGATGAGTAAAAAACTTTTTTTAAGAAAAGTTTTCATCTACCAGCAATGACTAAAACTCTAAAAGAAAGTAGAATTTAAAACTTGAAAGTAAAAAAAAAATCAGATATAGAAGTGTTTAGATAAATTGGATATCACATGTGAAATTCTAGAGTAGATGCTGAGTCTTTTTGAGATTTTTGCTTCCCCATTCCACTTCTCCTCAATTGATCAATGTAAACAGTTTCATGCATGTGTTTTCACACCTTAGATGGTGGTTTTAACATCAATGATGTATATAAATGTAGACCTATGCTTTGGTGGTGGGGAGGAGACTGTCATTGCTTTTTTTTTTTTCCATGTGATAATCAATCATATACATTCCAGAGTCTTGCTTTTTGTCACTCAGCTATACATGATGGAAATCTCTTCAAGTCTACTGTTAGAATTCAAGCTGATTATGTGTTTATTTTAATAAATATTAAGTTCCTTTCCAAAAGGCTATAACACTTCCTATTTTCATTAGCAATATGAGTACCTTCTTCGCCACTTTCCCCAGTTAACTGCAAGCTCCATAAGGACTGAGGTTTTTTTTTTTTTTTTTTTTTTTTGAGACGGAGTCTCGCTCTGTCGCCCAGGCTGGAGTGCAGTGGCGGGATCTCGGCTCACTGCAAGCTCCGCCTCCCGGGTTCACGCCATTCTCCTGCCTCAGCCTCCCAAGTAGCTGGGACTACAGGCGCCCGCCACTACGCCCGGCTAATTTTTTGTATTTTTAGTAGAGACGGGGTTTCACCGTTTTAGCCGGGATGGTCTCGATCAAGGACTGAGGTTTTTGTCTCTTGTTCACTGCTGTATCCTCAACACCTGGAATCATGCCTGGCTCATGTAAGGCACTTAATAAATATGTGTTAAATAGAAGAATGCATGAATAAAGAAATGCCAGAACTAGGTTCTCATTCTTGTTAATTTTTGCCATTGTGATGAACAAGAAGTGATACATGTATATTACTTTAATTTGCATTTTCCTGCTTTTTAGGGAGGTGAAACATCTCATGTTTATTAACCTCTGGGTTTTCTCTTATGATTAATTGCTTTTTCATAGCACTTGTTCACTTCTCCATTGGGTTATCTTTCTCATATTGATTTACAGCAGCTTTTTGTAAATTATGTCTACTAACCTCTTTTTCCATCATATATATTACAAATATTTTTTCACAATTGGCATTTGACTGTGGGTGTGGTGTTTCTTACCACACAAAAAGTATTAAATTTTTCTATAGTCAAGTATTTCCATTTCTTCCTTTTGGGTGTATTGGTAGCCAGGCCCAGTGGCATGCACTTGTAGTACCTCCCAGCTACTCAGGAGGCTAAGGCAGAAGGATTGTTTGAGCCAGGAGTTTGAGATTGTAGTACACAATGATGGTACTTATGCATAGCCACTGCATTCCAGCCTGGGCAACACAGTGAGACCCCCATCTCCTAAAAAATGATCAAAATGCAAACATACAAATTTTTTTTTTTTTTTGAGACAGAGTCTCTCTCTGTCACCCAGGCTGGAGTGCAGTGGCACAATCTCGGCTCACTGTAAGCTCTGTCTCCTGGGTTCATGCCATTCTCCTGCCTCAGCCTCCCGAGTAGCTGGGACTACAGGCACCCGCCACCACGCCTGGCTAATTTTTTTTCTATTTTTTAGTAGAGACGGGTTTTCACCATGTTAGCCAGGATGGTCTCGATATCCTGAACTCGTGATTCACCTGCTTCGGCCTCCCAAAGTGCTGGGATTACAGGCATGAGCCACTGTGCCTGGCCCAAACATGTAAAATTTTAAAAACTACCTAGTTCCTATTTTATGCTTACAGTCTCTGAAATTTTTTCCAGATTTATATTCTGTTTTAGTAAGTTTATTTTTACATGTCCTTATTTAAACTGTGTGTGTTCCAATAAAACTTTGTTTGTAAAAACAGGCAGTGGGCCAGATTTGGCTCACGGGCCATAGTGAACTCTTATTAGAACGCATCAGGGTGATAAAAATTGCAGGGAGGAGCCAAGATGGCTGAACAAGAATAGCTCCGGTCTACAGCTCCCAGCGTGAGCGACACAGAAGACGGATGATTTCTGCATTTCCATCTGAGATACCGGGTTCATCTCACTAGGGAGTGCCAGACAGTGAGCACAGGACAGTGGGTGCAGTGCACCGTGCGCGAGCCAAAGCAGGGAGAGGCATTGCCTCACTCGGGAAGCGCAAGGGGTCAGAGTTCCCTTTCCTAGTGGAAGAAAGGGGTCACAGACGGCACCTGGAAAATCAGGTCACTCCCACCCTAATACTACGCGTTTCCAATGGGCTTAAAAACCGGCTCACCAGGAGATTATATCCCACACCTGGCTCAGAGGGTCCTAAGCCCACAGACTCTCGCTGATTGCTAGCACAGCAGTCTGAGATCAAACTGTAAGGTGGCAGCGAGGCTGGGGGAGGGGGCGGGGCACCCGCCATTGCCCAGGCTTGCTTAGATAAACAAAGCAGCCGGGAAACTCGAACTGGGTGGAGCCCACCACAGCTCAAGGAGGCCTACCTGCCTCTGTAGGCTCCACCTCTGGGGGCAGGGCACAGACAAACAAAAAGACAGCAGTAACCTCTGCAGACTTAAACGTCCCTGTCTGACAGCTTTGAAGAGAGCAGTGGTTCTCCCAGCACGCAGCTGGAGATCTGAGAACGGGCAGACTGCCTCCTCAAGTGGGTCCCTGACCCCTGACCCCCAAGCAGCCTAACTGGGAGGCACCCCCCAGTAGGGGCAGACTGACAACTCACATGGCCGGGTACTCCTCTGAGACAAAACTTCCAGAGGAACGATCAGACAGCAGCATTCGCGGTTCACGAAAATCCACTGTTCTGCAGACACTGCTGCTGATACCCAGGCAAACAGGGTCTGGAGTGGACCTCTAGCAAACTCCAACAGACCTGCAGCTGAGGGTCCTGTCTGTTAGAAGGAAAACTAACAAACAGAAAGGACATCCACACCAAAAACCCATCTGTACATCACCATCATCAAAGACCAAAAGTAGATAAAACCACAAAGATGGGGAAATGACAGAGCAGAAAAACTGGAAACCCTAAAAAGCAGAGCGCCTCTCCTCCTCCAAAGGAACGCAGTTCCTCACCAGCAACAGAACAAAGCTAGACGGAGAATGACTTTGACGAGTTGAGAGAAGAAGGCTTCAGACGATTAAACTACTCCGAGCTACAGGAGGAAATTCAAACCAAAGGCAAAGAAGTTAAAAACTTTGAAAAAAATTTAGACAAATGTATAACTAGAATAACCAAGACAGAGAAGTGCTTAAAGGAGCTGATGGAGCTGAAAACCAAGGCTCGAGAACTATGTGAAGAATGCAGAAGCCTCAGGAGCTGATGCGATCAACTGGAAGAAAGGGTATCAGTGATGGAAGATGAAATGAATGAAATGAAGCAAGAAGGGAAGTTTAGAGAAAAAAGAATAAAAAGAAACGAATAAAGCCTCCAAGAAATATGGGACTATGTGAACAGACCAAATCCAAGTCTGATTGGTGTACATGAAAGTGATGGGGAGAGTGGAACCAAGTTGGAAAACACTCTGCAGGATATTATCCAGGAGAACTTCCCCAATCTAGCAAGGCAGGCCAACATTCAGATTCAGGAAATACAGAGAACACCACAAAGGTAGTCCTCGAGAAGAGCAACTCCAAGACACATAATTGTCAGATTCATCAAAGTTGAAATGAAGGAAAAAATGTTAAGGGCAGCCAGAGAGAAAGGTTGGGTTACCCACAAAGGGAAGCCCATCAGACTAACAGCGGATCTCCCGGCAGAAACTCTACAAGCCAGAAGAGAGTAGGGGCCAATATTCAACATTCTTAAAAGAATTTTCAACCCAGAATTTCATATCCAGCCAAACTAAGCTTCCTAAGTGAAGGAGAAATAAAATACTTTGCAGACAAGCAAATGCTGAGAGATTTTGTCACCACCAGGCCTGCCCTACAATAGCTCCTGAAGGAAGCACTAAACATGGAAAGGAACAATTGGTACCAGCCACTGCAAAATCATGCCAAATTGTAAAGACCATCGAGGCTAGGAAGAAACTGCATCAACTAACGAGCAAAATAACCAGCTAACATCATAATGACAGGATCAAATTCACACCTAACAATATTAACTTTAAATGTAAATGGACTAAATGCTCCAATTAAAAGACACAGACTGGCAAATTGGATAAAGAGTCAAGACCCATCAGTGTGCTGTATTCAGGAAACCCATCTCACGTGCAGAGACACACACAGGCTCAAGATAAAAGGATGGAGGAAGAACTACCAAGCAAATGGAAAACAAAAAAAGGCAGGGGTTGCAGTCCTAGTCTCTGATAAAACAGACTTTAAACCAACAAAGATCAAAAGAGACAAAGAAGGCCATTACATAATGGTAAAGGGATCAATTCAACAGGAAGAGCTAACTATCCTAAATATATATGCACCCAATACAGGAGCACCCAGATTCATAAAGCAAGTCCTGAGTGACCTACAAAGAGACTTAACTCCCACACAATAATAATGGGAGACTTTAACACCCCACTGTCAACATTAGACAGAGCAACGAGACAGAAAGTTAACAAGGATACCCAGGAATTGAACTCATGCTCTGCACCAAGTGGACCTAATAGACATCTACAAAACTCTCCACCCCAAATCAACAGAATATACATTTTTTTCAGCACCACACCACACCTATTCCAAAATTGACCACATAGTTGGAAGTAAAGCTCTCCTCAGCAAATGTAAAAGAACAGAGATTATAACCAACTGTCTCTCAGACCACAGTGAAATCAAACTATAACTCAGGATTAAGAAACTCACTCAAAACCGGTCAACTACATGGAAACTGAACAACCTGCTCCTGAATGACTACTGGGTACATAATGAAATGAAGGCAGAAATAAAGATGTTCTTTGAAACCAATGAGAACAAAGACACAACATACCAGAATCTCTGGGACACATTCAAAGCAGTGTGTAGAGGGAAATTTATAGCACTAAATGCCCACAAGAGAAAGCAGGAAAGATCCAAAATTGACACCCTAACATCACAATTAAAAGAACTAGAGAAGCAAGAGCAAACACATTCAAAAGCTAGCAGAAGGCAAGAAATAACTAAAATCAGAGCAGAACCGAAGGAAATACAGACACAAAAAACCCTTCAAAAAATTAATGAATCCAGGAGCTTGTTTTTTAAAAGGATCAACAAAATTGATAGACCGCTAGCAAGACTAATAAAGAAGAAAAGAGAGAAGAATCAAATCGATGCAATAAAAAATGATAAAGGGGATATCACCGCCAATCCCACAGAATTACAAACTACCATCAGAGAATACTACAAACACCTCTATGCAAATAAACTAGAAAATCTAGAAGAAATGGATAAATTCCTGGACACATACACCCTCCCAAGAGTAAACCAGGAAGAAGTTGAATCTCTGAATACACCAATAACAGGCCCTGAAATTGTGGCAATAATCAATAGCTTACTAACCAAAAAGGGTCCAGGACCAGATGGATTCACAGCCAAATTCTACCAGAGGTAGAAGGAGGAACTGGTACCATTCCTTCTGAAACTATTCCAATCAATAGAAAAAGAGGGAATCCTCCCTAACTCATTTTATGAGGCCAGCATCATCCTGATACCAAAGCCTGGCAAAGACACAACCAAAAAAGAGAATTTTAGATCAATATCCTTGATGAACATTGATGCAAAAATCCTCAATAAAATACTGGCAAACTGAGTCCAGCAGCACATCAAAAAGCTTATCCACCATGATCAAGTGGGCTTCATCCCTGGGATGCAAGGCTGGTTCAATATATGCAAATCAATAAATGTAATCCAGCATATAAACAGAACCAAAGACAAAAACCACACGATTATCTCAATAGATGTGGAAAAGGCATTTGACAAAATTCAACAACCCTTCATGCTAAAAACTCTCAATAAATTAGGTATTGATGGGACGTATCTCAAAATAATAAGAGCTATCTATGACAAACCCACAGTCAATATCATACTGAATGGGCAAAAACTGGAAGCATTCCCTTTGAAAACTGGCACAAGACAGGGATGCCCTCTCTCACAACTCCTATTCAACATAGTGTTGGAAGTTCTGGCCAGGGCAATTAAGCAGGAGAAGGAAATAAAGGGTATTCAATGAGGAAAAGAGGAAGTCAAATTGTCCCTGTTTGCAGATGACATCATTGTATATCTAGAAAACCCCATTGTCTCAGCCCAAAATCTCCATAAGCTGATAAGGAACTTCAGCAAAGTCTCAGGATACAAAATCAATATAGAAAAATCACAAGCATTCTTATACACCAATAACAGACAAACAGAGAGCCAAATCATGAGTGAACTCCTATTCACAATTGCTCCAAAGAGAATAAAATACCTAGGAATCCAACTTACAAGGGACGTGAAGGACCTCTTCAAGGAGAACTGCAAACCACTGCTCAGTGAAATAAAAGAGGATATGAAGAAATGGAAGAACATTCCATGCTCATGGGTAGGAAGAATCAATATCGTGAAAATGGCCCTACTGCCCAAGGTAATTTATAGATTCAGTGCCATCCCCATCAATGACTTTCTTCACAGAATTGGAAAAAACTACTTTAAAGTTCATATGGAACCAAAAAAGAGCCTGCATCACTAAGGCAATCCTAAGCCAAAATAACAAAGCTGGAGGCATCACACTACCTGACTTCAAACTATACTACAAGGCTACAGTAACCAAAACAGCATGGTATTAGTACCAAAACAGAGATATAGATCAATGGAACAGAACAGAGCCCTCAGAAATAATGCTGCATATCTACAACTATCTGATCTTTGACAAACCTGAGAAAAACAAGAAATGGGGAAAGGATTCCC
Organism: Homo sapiens; assembly: GCF_000001405.40. NCBI lineage: Eukaryota > Metazoa > Chordata > Mammalia > Primates > Hominidae > Homo > Homo sapiens. The sequence continues at coordinate 97,259,320 of NC_000007.14, read as the reverse complement.
TATTTAATAAATGGTGCTGGGAAAACTGGCTAGCCATATGTAGAAAGCTGAAACTGGATCCCTTCCTTACACCTTATACAAAAATTAATTCAGGATGGATTAAAGACTTAAACGTTAGACCTAAAACCATAAAAACCCTAGAAGAAAACCTAGGCATTACCATTCAGGACATAGGCATGGGCAAGGACTTCATGTCTGAAACACCAAAAGCAATGGCAACAAAAGCTAAAATTGACAAATGAGATCTAATTAAACTAAAGAGCTTCTGCACAGCAAAAGAAACTACCATCAGAGTGAACAGGCAACCTACAAAATGGGAGAAAATTTTCACAACCTACTCATCTGACAAAGAGCTAATATCCAGGATCTACAAAGAACTCAAACAAATTTACAGGAAAAAAACAACCCCATCAAAAAGTGGGCGAAGGACATGAACAGATACTTCTCAAAAGAAGATATTTATGCAGCCAAAAAACACATGAAAAAATGCTCACCGTCACTGGCCGTCAGAGAAATGCAAATCAAAACCACAATGAGATACCATCTCACACCAGTTAGAATGGCAATCATTAAAAAGTCAGGAAACAACAGGTGCTGGAGAGGATGTGGAGAAATAGGAACACTTTTACACTGTTGGTGGGACTGTAAACTAGTTCAACCATTGTGGAAGTCAGTGTGGTGATTCCTCAGGGATCTAGAACTAGAAATACCATTTGACCCAGCCATCCCATTACTGGGTATATACCCAAAGGACTATAAATAATGCTGCTATAAAGACACATGCACACGTATGTTTATTGCGGCACTATTCACAATAGCAAAGACTTGGAACCAACCCAAATGTCCAACAATGATAGACTGGATTAAGAAAATGTGGCATATATACACCATGGAATACTATGCAGCCATAAAAAAGGATGAGTTCATGTCCTTTGTAGGGACATGGAAGAAATTGGAAATCATCATTCTCAGTAAACTATCGCAAGGACAAAAAACCAAACACTCCATGTTCTTACTCTTAGGTGGGAAATGAACAATGAGAACACATGGACACAGGAAGGGGAACATCACACTCTGGGGACTGTTGTGGGGTGGGGGGAGGGGGGAGGGATAGCATTAGGAGATATACCTAATGCTAAATGACGAGTTAATGGGTACAGCACACCAGCATGGCACATGTATACATATGTAACTAACCTGTACATTGTGCACATATACCCTAAAACTTAAAGTATAATAATAATAATAATAAATTGAATAGGGAATAAAAACAAAAACAAAACAAAACAAAAGAACCCAGGTAAAGGTGGAAACCCATCTGCCATTGTTTTTTACATGGGACTCTCCTAAAGCATAATTCCTTATGTAAGTGCATTGGGCACACTCAGGCCACTCGGAGGAGGCAGGAAGTAGGATGCACAGGAGCCTCAAGCACTGGCTTCACCTGCACCAGCCATGTGGCTGAAAGCAATTATTTACTGCTCATGCCTTAGCTTCTCATCTGTGAAATATTTGGGAATATAGTTTGAAATAAGTCACCCAACTTAATTTTTTCAAGTAGATAGCCATTGCTATCAATAAAGTTTATTAAACTATCCTTTTCATACTAAATTAAACTATTACCTGTCATATATTAATTTTCTAATTACTCTGCAATGTATTATGATAGCCTCTATTTTGTCTCATTCACCTAAATATATTTCTCTGGCTAATATGCTATTTCAATTGTGTGGCTCTATTTAATAAATTTCCCCCTCACAGCTTTTATTTTTGATAATTTGTGACTGTTCATATAGTCTTGTATTAAAATTTAAGATAATTTTATCCAATATTCCCCCCAAAAAGCATTGGAATATTAATTAAAATTGAATTATATATAAAGCTTGAAATAATTGAATTTTTATCATTTGTTTTCCCACTTAATAATGTTAAATGTCTCTTATTTGTCTTTCAATAAGTAATTTCTTCATGTTGATCCTATACATTTTTTGTTAAATTCATATCTAAATACTTTACAGCTTTATTGCTATTAATAATAGATTTTCTATCTTATATTACTAGAGATGTTTGAAATTGTATATATTTTATATTCACTCACATTAATAAATAACCTTTGATTTTTATACTTAAAGTTTTGATTTTTATAGTTTTTAAGAAGTAAGCCTTCTAGAACTTTGTGGGGATAAAATTTAATGATCGGCAAAAGAGGTCACTTCTTTTTTTCAAAAGCTATGCCAATGATTTCATTTTCTCATCTTATATTCTATGTAATCTCTAGTCAAATGATAAATTATAACTGTGATAGTTTTAAAATATATTTTTGTGGGAAACTTGAGTTTTATTGGTTCCTGTTCTTGTTTTCTATTTGTATAATCACATAATTTTTATTGATAGTCTGATTTTGGATCATATTTGCATGCTAGGATAAAATCCTGCTTGGTATTATTGCATTATAATTTTCCTATTTGGCTAGATTTAATTTGATTTTTTTTTTTTGGTGAGAAAGTCTCGCTTTGTTGCCCAGGCTGGAGTGCAGTGGTGCAATCTTGGCTCACTGCAACCTCCGCCACCTGGGTTCAAGCAGTTGTCCTGCCTCAGATTCCCAAGCAGCTGGGATTACAGGTGCATGCCACCACACCTGGCTATTTTGTATTTTTAGTAGAGACAGGTTTTCACCATGTTGGCCAGGCTAGTCTCGAGCTCCTGACCTCAAGAGATCCACCTGCCTCGGCCTCCCAAAGTGCTGGGATTACAGGCATGAGCCACCACACCCAGCCTGATAATATTTTGATGTAGAATTTTTACACGAGTCAGATTGGTCTACAGTTTTGTTTTTGTTTTTGTTTTTGTTTTGAGACGGAGTCTCGCTGTGTAGCCCAGTCTGGAGTGCAGTGGCTGGGTCATTGCAACCTCCGCATCCGGGGTCCTGGTTTGAGCAATTCCACCTCAGCCTCCCTGAGTAGCTGGGATTACAGACACACGCCACCATGCCCAGCTAATTTTTGTATTATTAGTAAAGACAGCGTTTCACCATGTTGGCTAGGCTGGTCTTGAACTCCTGACTTCATGATCTGCCCGCCTCAGCCTCCCAGAGTGCTGGGATTACAGGCATGAGCCACTGCGACCAACCTAGTTTCCTTTTTTACACTGACTTCATCAGCTTTTGCTGTTTAACTTGAATGCTGGCTTCATGAAATTGTTGCAGTGTTCATGCTTTGTCTGGAATTGTTTAACATTGTAATTGGCTATTCGTGAAGCTATTTGCTTCTGGTATCTTTTGTAATGAAAAATTTTGACTCTCAATTTTTTAAATTGAATTGATCCATTGAAATTTTTAACTTATTTTTGGAATAATTATGTTAATTTATATCTTTTAACAAATAATCTTTTTCTGTAGGTTTTCAAATTTGTTGCCAGAGTAGTTGCAGATAGTACTGTTACAATTATTTTAATCTCATTCACTTTCATGCTTATTTTCCTTATTTTGCCATTGATAGTCTTGTATGATTTTGCTATTGCCGTGTTAATTCTTTCCCTATCAGGCTCTTAAAGGTATTATCTATTTTTTATTGCTTTTTCATTTTCTAAAGATGGATACAAAATTCCTTTATTTTAGCATTGTATCTTTAATACTAAGTACTTTTAAACCTATAAGTTTTTCTCTGAACTGCTTCAACTGAGTCCCATTGGTTTAATACGAGGTGTTCTGTTTTATTGCTTTATAAATATCTTGTCATTTCAGTTTTAATGTCCTCTTTGATTCAGGGATTATTTAGACTCTTTAAATTTTAATCAGTTAAGTTTTTATAATTCATCTTCTAATTTCTAATTTCATCAGATAAAGATCAGAGTACATGGCCTAAAGAATTCTCAACTTTATTTTTAAAAATGGTAAGGTTTTATTTGTGGTAAAACACAAATTTATAAAGAAAAATATTTAGATATATATTCTATCTATGACACTAAAAATTCTATACCTAGCTATTAAATAAAACTGTAGACTCTCTATATTCCTTTTATTGTATAGTATATCTTATTCTAAAAAAAAATTAAAATATTTATTGTACTTTCATCAACATATTTTTGCATATCTAATAGTAGTTTCTTTATACAGTTAGCTGCATTGTCATTGTATGCATATAATTCATCATTGTTAAATCATCTTCATAAACTGTACTTATGATGCATCTACTTTTTAAACTCATTTTTATTGGCAAAAATTGTATATATTTATGGTATACAACATGTTTTCATCTATATACATTGTAGAATCAATGTATCAATGTTAGTCAAGATAATTAACTATGCATTACTTACATTTTGTGGTGAGAACACTTAAAATCTACTCTTAGCCGTTTTCAAGTATATAATACATTATTGTTAACTATATTCACCGTGATAGTTCACCATGATAGATCTGTTGAACTTATTCCTCTTGTCTAACTGAAGCTTTGTATCCTTTGATCAACATTTCCCTAATGCCCTCCCATTCCCACCCAAGCCCCTGATAAGCAATATCCTACTCTCTACTTCTATGAGTTTAGCTTTTTTAGACTCCACATCTAAGTGAGATCATGCAGCAGTATTCAACCTTCTGTATCTGGTTAATGTCAGTTAACATAATGTCTTCTAGGTTCATCCATGTTGTTACAAATGGCAGAATTTCCTTTTTCAATGCTGAATAGTATTCCATTGTATATATCTATATCACATTTTCTTTATTCATTCATCTATCAATACATACTTTGGTTGATTCCATATCTTAGCTATTGTGAATAATGCCACAATGAATGCGGCATGCAGATATCTCTTCAATAAACTGAATTTATTTCCTTTGGATATATACTCTTGCTGGATCATATGATTGTTTTACTTTTAACTTTTTTAGGAAACCCCATACTGTTTTCCATAATGGCTGTACTAATTTCTACCAACAGTGTACAAGGGTTCCTTTTTCTCCACATCCTTGCCAACATTTTCTATCTTTTCTTTTTGGTAATAGCTATTCTAACAGATGTGAGGTGGTATCTCATTATGGTTATAATTTGCATTTCCCTGATTAGTGATATTAAGCATTTTTATATATTAAAAATGTGACCGTTTCTATGTTTTCTTTGGCTTAAATGTCTATTCAAGTCTTTTGCCCTTTGTTTGAGTTATTGTCTTACTATTGAGTTGTTTTAGTTCCCTGTATATTTTGGATATTAACCCCTTATCAGATGTATAGTTTGCCAATATTTGCTCCCATTCCACAGGTTGCCTCATTACTCTGTTTTCTTTGCTGTGTAGAAGCTTTTTAATTTGATACAATCCCATTTGTCTTTTTTTGTTTTTTGTTGTTTGTGATTTGGGTCATATCCAAACAGTCATTTCCCAGACCAATATACCAAGAGGTTTTTTTTTCTGTTTTGTTTGTTTTTTGTTTGGTTTGGTTTTTTAGTAGTGTACAGTTCATGCCTTACATTTAGGTCTTTAATCCATTTTCAGTTGAATTTTATATATGACATGAGATAAGTGTCTAATTTCATTCTTCTGCATGTGGATATCCAGTTTTTCCAACACCATTTATTGAAGAGGCTGTCCTCTTACTGTGCATTCCTGACACCTTTGTCAAAGGTCTATTGACTATAAATGCATGAGGTTTATTTCTGTGCTCTACATTCTGTGCTCTACGTGGTCTATTTGTCTGTTTTTATGTTAGGATCATGCTGTCTTTGTAGTAGATTTTGAGATTAGTAGTATGATGCCTCTAGTTTTGCTCTTTTTGCTCAGGGTTGCTTTGGCTACTTGGGGTCTTTCAGGGTTTTTTATTTCTGTGAAAAAATGTCAATGGAATTTTGATAGCAATTGTATTAAATCTGTAGATTAGATTGGGTAGTATGGACATTTTAACAATATTCTTCCAATCCATGGACACTGGATATTTTTCCATTTATCTGTGTTTTCAATTTCTGCCATCAGTGTTTTATAGTTTTTAGTATATAGATCTTTCACTTCCTTGGTTAAATTTATTCCTAAGTATTTTATTTTATTTTTGTAGCTATTGTAAACTGGATTGTTCTCTTCATTTCTTTTTCAGATTGTTCATAGTTACTATACAGAAACACTACTTATTTCTGTACATTGATTTTGTAGCCTGCAACTTTACTGAATTTGTTTAGTAGTTCTAAAGATTTTTTGGTGGAATCTTTATGGTTTTCTATATACAATTATGTGTCACTTAAGGGTAGAATGCATTATGAGAAATGCACTGTTAAGTGATTTTTGTCATTGTGTAAACATCATAGAGTATACTTACACAAAACTAGTTGGTAGAGTAAAAATAAGGTTTTCATTATGGCCTTATGGGGCCACCATTGTATATGCAATCTATCACGGACTGAAACATCATTATGTGGCACATGACTATATAAGATCATGTCATTTGAAAACAGGGACAATTTAGATTCTTCCTTTCTGGTTTGTATGCCTTTTACTTCTTTCTCCTTCATAACTGCTCTGGCCAGGACTTCCAGTACTATGTTGAATAGAAGTGGAGATGCTATTTTTTCTGATATTAATATAGCCACTCGTGGGAAGCCCATTGTTAAGTTTGTGGCTCCCAAAGTGTCATTAGGTGTAGAAAACTACTATATGGCAGTATTAACACATAAACTATAAAACTTTCTATTTCCTGGATTATTCATTTAATTTCTCTAGAGTAAACCTCTCAGATTTTTGGCCTGGGAATATATTCTCTCTGGTCTGTATTTAGGGAGGTTGAGGATAGGATTATATACGAAGATATCTTTACCGGTAAATTTTTCTTCGTCAACCTCACTTTTTATTCCTGGCCTCGGTTACAACTGCTGAGTCTAAATCAGAATTAATCTGAGGTTCCCATGCAGAGAAGGAGAAGGGAAATTAATCTGAGAACATTTATTTGCTTAGGAAAGTTCAAGATCTGTTAGTACAAATACTTGTTAATATTCCTGAGGGCACAGGATTGGCAGAAGATGGAAGTTTGGCTGAAGAGCCAGGAAAATGTATTTTCTCTCCATTCGTCCGTCATAAGAAGGCTTCTGTAGAGATTACTAGTTGCCCCAACTTTATCTTTTTCTTTCCAGACAACATGGTTGTTCCCAGTGCAATATCAGGACAATTAACAATGAGGCATTTTGGTTTCTATCAGGTTGTAAGCATGGAAAGATAGATTCTTCTCATGATTCCATTATTGACTATGGGTCTATGATTGGAAATAGTACCTAGTGGTAAAAGATATGAGTTTAGACATAGACTTCATTGACTCAAATCCTGGTTCCATCATTTAGCAATTTTTGTACCCTTGGCCAAGTGTCTTCATTTCTATAAACTTCAGTCCTCAATTTAAGAGGATGGCTATAATTATGCCTATCTCAGGGTTAACATGAGGAGTAAATGATACAATGTGTTTGTGTTTAATACACCACCTGCCACCCAGAAACCTCTTAATAAGCTGTAGCCATTGTTGCTACTGTTATTAATATTGCTGCGTAACATGCTTCAGTTTTCTCATCTTAAGATGAAGTGGGTGGCAGTTAATTTAATTGCTATCTCCTTAGAAATGTGCACATGCAGATTTTCTCTGACAGCCTCTCTGGCTTAAATGTATTTAAATCTATTTTAAACGTTGAGACATATAGTTCTTGTTGTCTGACATGGTATTAGTTTCATCCCATTATCAGCTCCCTGTGGTGCTCAATGCTTACCACTTACTAATTACTATAGCCCACCTAGTACTTAGAACACCACTCCTGTAGCTTCGTTTTCTCAGCAGCAATTGTCTGTTACACTTTTGACTAAAGGACTTGTGTTACATTTCTGGCCTTGAGGCACAGGAAGAGAGTGCCTCAAGGTTGAGGGAGTCCATGTTTTTTTGTTTGTTTGTTTTTAATCTAAAACAAAATGAGAATTACAAAGGAACTCTGAATTTATACAAATCCCAAACAACACATTGGAATTTTGTTGGCCTTCACTAAGGAAGTAGAAAACCAGATTTATTTATTGACAAAAGATGACAATAAAACACTGTAAAACTAAGAATGAGCACTTAGCTGAAGTCCATGAAGGGAGAAAGAAATGAGATTCAAATAAGCCTAAGAAAAGTTAAAGCAAAAATTATAAGGACAGACTGTGCAATATGCTAATGCTGTTTGTATTAATATGTCAAACAGGCATTTTTTTCTTTTAAAAATGCTCATAGGGATGTGACTAATATAAAGTTTTAGACTAATCTAAAAAACATGTTTAATCACAGTTTAATGAATTAGGCAATAGTCATCAGTCTTATCTATACTTTATAGAGTCCAAGGCAAGTGTGTCAGTCACAAAGTAAAACCAGCCATTTTGCAAAAGAGGACAGGCGTTGGAGTTAGGGCTGGCTCTGAAATCTGACTCTGTGATTTACTATCTTGGTGACTTCAGACATGTTTTTGTTTCACCTTTGAGCCCCAGTTTCCTCAATTATAAAATGTCAGAACAGCTACCTTAAAATATTGCTGCAGTGACTGGAGATAATGCTCATGGCTTAGAATATATAAGATAATTAAATGGCAGCTATTGAGACCAAAGGATCATGTGTCAGTACTGATGTGAGAAGTATACAGGTATTTAAATTTGTATTAAGATTTGTGTATCATCACCATGGAATACTATGTAGCCATATAAAGAAACGAGATTATGTCCTTTGCAGGGACATGGATGGAGCTGGAAGCCATTATTATCAGCAAACTAATACAGGAATGGAAAACCAAACACTGCATGTTTTCACTTACAAGTGGGAGCCAAACAATGAAAACACATGGACACATGGGGATGGATAACACCCACTGGAGCCTGTCAGAGGGGCAGGGGGAGGGAAAGCATCAGGAAGAATAGCTCATGGATGCTGGGCTTAATACTTAGGTAATGGGTTAATCTGTACAGCAAATCACCATGGTACATGTTTACCTAAGTAACAAACCTGCACATCCTGCACATGTACCCCAGAACTTAAAGTTGAAAAAAAAATGATTTATTTGTGTATTGGAAGGAACTTAACCTTGCCTAAAGGGAGGTCTGGCCTATGCTGTCAGCTCCTGGGAGGTAATCTTCAAGCTCTTAGAATGTCCTGCCTCATAAAGATGTTTTCTTTTTTTTTTTAACCTGGGGGCCTTGGATCACACCAGATAATCTAACAGTATGACTGGAGGACAGTAGTCCTGAGTTGAGTGAGAGTGAGTTCAGCCATGTGGATGGCCAACCATGTCCACATGACTGAGCCCCATATAAATTCTGGACTCGAAGCTCAGGTGAGTTTCTCCGGTGGGCCCTATTCCGTGTGTACTATCAGACTTAATTTTCAGGAGAAGCAAACACAGGCCATGACTCCAGAGGGAAAGGACAGCTGGAAGATCAGTGCTTGAAACTTTCCTGGACTCTGCATTGTACATCTCTTCCCTTGGCTGATTTTGGTCTGTATCCTTTTGCTGTAGCAAACTGTGGCTCTGAGCATGATAGATTACAGTGAGTTCTACAAGTCCTTTTAATCAACAATCAAACCTAATGGTAGAATTGGTGAACTCTGGACCTGCAACTGGTGTTAGAAGTGAGAGTGGTCTTGGGAACCCAGAAATCTGCATTTGGTGTCAGAAGTAACAGTGATTTTGTGGATTGTTCCCCAACTTTCCTATTGGCTTTGAAACTTCCCTGTAAATCTAAAATTATTCCAACTAAAAAGTTTTTATTTAAAAACAAAACTAAAAAGAACATAGAATCTAGATAGATAAAGCCAAAAGGCTTGGGCTTAATATGGAATATTAGGTAAAGGATTTTCAAAGCTAAGGAATGAAGCACCAAACAGCACCATCAAATTTCTCTGTCAGCAGTAACTTGACTTTACTACATCCACTAGTAATGCTGTCACCAGGGCTACTGCTGCCTCAGAAACATAACTTTGTGAACTCTGGAAAATGACCACCACTGCTGCTCCTGTCACCTGTACCAGCAAAAATAAGAGCCCCATTTACAGTAGACCAATCAAATGTACACTACCTGTAAAGAAAGCTTAGAATTTGAGTTCTGACGTCTCCCTTGGGGAGGGATGACTTATTTTGTGGGTAGAGTATTTTGTGGAAAAGAGGTATAACCAAGTAGATGATAGAACAAATATATCAAAGAGGAATACAGAGGAATAACTTACTTATATATTATTAGAAAGATATTATTAACTACACAGAGAGGTAGAGTTGGCAAATAAAATAGCAATAAGAGATATTATTAGTTCACCATTTATTATGTGCCAAGCACTGTGAATGCACTGCCTCTTAACTTCCCAACCTCCCAGTATGGCAGGTATTACTATCCCCACACTATAAATGTCAAAACTGGAGTCAGAGAAGTTAAACATGACCAATATCACACAGCCAGCTGAGCTAACTGATTCCTCCCCTTCCTCATACTGCTGCTTTCAGCATGCCACCAAAAGAGATACCTGAAATTAGGTAAACATTTTTACATAAATGTAGAAAAACTATATTTGAAGTTCATTTATATTCAGTTTTTCTGGAAGAATGATTTCGATTCTAAAATCTTAGTCAATGCCATGTGATCCAGGCATTGTTGTAGTAGAAATGTCTGAGTCCAGCTAAATGCTAATGAGTAAGAAGTCAAGAAAGGCGTCCACTGAGATGGTCACAGTGTGGAATGTTATACAGTTGATGTTAGACATGAAGGATCAGGAGGGTCTATCTGGCTTCAGGAAGAGTATGGAGGTTCTTCTTTTTGAAGAAGGGAAGATTGAGTCAGGCCATCATCCCTCTGTTTAGCTCCTCATCTGGTGGAGCCTGCTGAGGCCATGGTGATGACACACAGTAAAAATGGCCTTGCCTGTTTTTACACTTACAACAAGTTTATCATTAGGAAATTGTTTCTTTTACCTTGTGAACTGTCATTAGGTTTTTGCCAGAAACTTAAAATATATACTTCTATATTTAGCTGAAATATTACTGGTTGAAGATTATAAAAATTTGCAATAGAAATCTACATATGGGAAAATATGAAGGTGGCAGGATAATTATTTTGACTTGCCACATTTAAAAATTTCTCTTATCTGTGAAGATTTCAATGATACGGACTTACTTTTGCAAGTCTGTGGTATATGGTTCAGTATCTATGAACAATGCTTTCTTTAGTATCTAAAAGAAAGTGTACCAGAGTGATCTATTTAGTAGGTAAATTATATCAGCTGATCCTCTGCTTAAAACACTTCAATGGCTCTCCTTTGCTTTTAGAATAAAATCCAAATTTCATACCACAGTGAAAATTACTTGCTTGCATTTTTATTTTATTTTCTGCTTATAATCATATATAATTATGAAGTACACAGTGATGTTATGAGATATATATATATATATATATACACACACACACACACATATACATACGGTATGGAATGGTTGAATCAAGCTAATTAACATAGCCATCTTAAATAATTATTTATTGCCTACCATCTAACTGCAACTTTCTACCCTTTTACGAACATCTCCCCATTTACCCCACCCTTCAGACTCTGGAAGCCAGCGTTCTACTCTCTGCTTCTAAGAATTCCATTGTTTTAGATATTTCACATGTAAGGGAGAACACGTGGTTTTTGTCTTCCTCTTCCTGGCTTATTTCAATTAATATAGTGTTCTCCAAGTTCATCCACGTCATTGAAAAATGGCAGAATTTCTTGTTTCTCAAGGCTGAATAGTATTCCATTGGGTAAATCTACATTTTCTTTATCCATTCATCTGTTGCTGGATACTTAGATTGACTCTATAACTTGGCTATTGTAAATAACACTGCAATGAACAGGGGAGTGCAAATACCTTTGACACATAGTAATTTCAAGCTCTTAGAATATTTACCCAGAAGTGGGATTGCTGGATCATACAGTAGTTATATTTTTGGTGTTTTCAGGACCTTATATATTATTTTCCATAATGGCTGTGCTAATTTATATTCCCATCAACAGTGTGCAAGGGTTTCCTTTTCTTTACATTCTAATCAACATTTGTTATTCATATTTTTCATGGAAATAAAAAGACAGCTGCCATACCATTCTGAGATGTGTGAAGTAAAATTTCATTGTGGTTTTAATTTGCATTTCCCTAATGATTAGTGATGTTAAGCATTTTTTTCATATACTGGTTGGCCATTTGTATATCTTCATTTGAGAAATGTCTATTCAGGTCCTTTGCCCATTTTTAAGTCAGGTTATTTGTTTTTTGCTATTGAGTTTGAGTTCCTTATGTTTTTGCATGTTAACCCCTTACTAGCTGTGTTGCTTACAATATTTTCTCCCAGTCTGTAGATTATCTCTTCACTCTGTTGATTTCTTTGCTGTACAAAAGCTATTACTTTGATTAAAATCCCAATTGTCTTTCTTTGCTTTTGTTGCCTGAGCTTTTGGGGTCAAATCCGAAAAAAATACTGCCCACATAAATGTCATGTAGTTTTTCTCCTATGTTTTATTTTAATATTTTTATAGTTGTAGGTCGTTCATTTAAGTCCCTAAACCATTTTTAGTTGATTTTATTATGGGGTGAGATAGGATCCAATTTTATTCTTCTGTGTCGTTTTTGTGATTGCCTAGTTTTTTCAGCACTCTATTGAAGAGACTTTCCTTTCCCCATTGTGTGTTCTTGGAACCTCTGTCAAAAATCAATTGAGTATAAATGCATAGGTTCATCTCTGGGAGCTCTATTCTGGTCCATTGGCTGCTGTTTCTGTTTTGATGCCAGTGCCATGCTGTTTTAATTACTATAGCTTTGTAATATAGTTTGAAGTCAGGTATTGTGTTGTCTCCGGCCTTTTTCTTTTTGTTCATGATTGCCTTGGATATTCAGGATTTTTGTGGTTCCATATGAATCTTAGGGTTTTTCTATTTCTGTGAAAAATGACATGAGAATTTTGATTGTATTGCATTTATAGAAAATTTGGGGTAGTATGGACATTTTAACAGTATTCTTTCAATCTGTAAACATAGAATATCTTTCAATTCATGTCTTCTTCAGTTTCTTATATCAACAGTTTATAGTGCTCAGTGTACACATTTTTATTTTGTAGCTGTTATAATAAATGGGATTATTTGGCCAGGTGCAGTGGCTCATGCCTTTAATCCCAGTACTTGGGAAGGCTGAAGCAGGCGGATCACTTGAGGTCAGGAGTTCCAGACCAGCCTGGCCAACATGGCGAAACTTCATCTCTACTAAAAATACAAAAATTATCTAGACATGATGGTGCCTGCCTGTAGTCCCAGCTACTCGGGAGGCTGAGGCAGAAGAATTGCTTGAACTGGGGAGGTGGAGGTTGCAATGAGCTGAGATAGCACCACTGCACCCCAGCCTGGGCGACAGAGTGGGATTCTGTCTCAAAAAAAAAAAAAAAAAAAAAAAAAAAAAAAAATGGTGGGGGAGATTGTTCTCTTGATTTCTTTTTTGGATAGTTTGTTAGTTCATAAGAATGCTACTGATCTTTGTATGTTGATTTTTTTAAAATTTATTTTATTTTATTTATTTTTTGAGACAGAGCCTTGCTCCGTTGCCCAGGCTGGAGCACAGTGACGTGATCTCAGCTCACTGCAAGCTCCACCTCCCTGGTTCATGCCATTCTCCTGCCTCAGATTCCCGAGTAGCTGGGACTACAGGCGCCCACCACCACGCCCGGCTAAATTTTTCTGCATTTTTAGTAGAGACGGGATTTCACCGTGTTAGCCAGGATGGTCTCGATCTTCTGACCTCGTGATCCGCCCGCCTTGTCCCCCCAGAGTGCTGGGATTACAGGCGTGAGCCACCACGCCTGGCCTGTATGTTGATTTTATATCCTGAAACATGATTGATTTTTTTGTTATTAGTTCTGTAATAGTGTTTTGGTAGAGTTCTTAGGATTATCTATGTATAAGATCATGTCTTCAACAATTTTGCTACTTCCTTTCCTATTTTTGAATGCCTTTTACTTATTTCTGTTGCTTAATTGCTCTGGCAAAAACCTCTATTACTATATTATATAGAGGAGTGATGAGAATGAGCATCTTTGTCTTGCTCCTGATCTTAGAGGAAAAGCTTTCACCTACTTCCTTCCTTATGTGGATGCCTTTTATTTTTTCTCTTGTCTAATTGCTCTGGCAACACTATGTTTAATAGAAGTGGTAAGAGTAGGCATCCTTGTCTTGTTCCAAAACTTAGAGAAAAGGGCTTTGTTACTGTTGAACATAAAGTTAGTTGTGGGCTTGTCATATATGGCCTTTATTGTTTGGAGGTATATTTCTATACCTGATGTGTGAGGAGTTTGTATCATGGAAGATGTTGAGTTTTGTCAATTTTTTTTCTGCCTCTAATGAGATGACCATATGGTTTTTGTCCTTCATTCTGTTAACATGATGTATCACACTTACAGATTTGTATATGTTGAACCACATTTTAATGTGTTGTTAAATTTGGTTTGCTAGTATTTTGTTGAGGATTTTTGTGTCTATGTTCATTAAGGTTACTGCACTGTAATTTTCTTTTTTTATAATGTTTTTGCTGGCTTTGATATCAAGGTAATGCTAGCCTCACACAAAATGCTTGGAAGTGTTTCTTCCTCTTCAATTATCTGGGAGAGTTTGAGAAGGGTTGGTATTAGATCTTCTTTAAATGTTTGGTGGGATTCAGCAGTGAAGCCATCAGGTTCTGGGTTTTTCTATGATGAGAGATTTTTGTTACTGATTCCATTTCCTGACTTGTCATTGGTCTTTGAAGGATTTTTTTTATTTCTTATTGATTCAGTACTGGTAGGTTATGTGTGTCTAGGAATTTATCCATTTCTTCTAGGATGTCTAATTTGTTGGCATATGATTGCTCATAGTAATATCTTATGATTCTTTGTGATACGGATTTTATAATATCTCCTTTTTCACTTCTGACTTTATTTGTATCTTCTCTTTTTTTCCTAGTCTAGGTAAGAATTTGTCAGTTTTGTTTTCAAAAAGCCAATGTTGGAAAGAGGGGAGACAGTTTGATCAATGGGTACAAAATTACACTTACATAAGAGGAATAAGTTCTGGTGTTACATTGCACAGTAAGGTGATGACATTGTATATTACAAAAGTAATATACATTGTATATTACAAAAAAATTGTAAGTAAGACATTGTATATTACAAAAAAAGTGAAAAAAGAGGCTTTTGGATGTCCTCATCACAAAGAAATGATAAATGAATGAGGTGACAGATATGCTGAATATCCTGATTTGTTCATTATGTAACATATATGTATTGATGCATCAAATTGTACCCCCATAAATACCTGCAATGACAATGTGTGAATACAACAATTTAATAATTTAAGTTTTTAAAACCAACTCTTGGCTGGGCACAGTGGCTCACGCCTGTAATCCCAGCACTTTGGGAGGCTGAAGCGGGCAGATCACGAGGTCAGGAGATCAAGACCATCCTGGCTAACACGGTGAAACCCCATCTCTACTAAAAATACAAAAAATTAGCCAGGCGTGGTGACGGGTGCCTGTAGTCCCAGCTACTGGGGAGGCTGAGGAAGGAGAATGGCGTGAACCCGGGAAATGGAGCTTGTAGTGACCCGAGATCACACCACTGCATTCCAGCCTGGGTGACAGAGCGAGACTCCATCTCAAAAATAAATAAATAAGATAAATCAAATAAAATTAAGTTAAAAAAAAACAACTCTTGGCTGGGCGCGATGGCTCACGCCTGTAATCCCAGCACTTTGGGAGGCTGAGGCAGGTGGATCACGAGGACAGGAGATCGAGACCATCCTGGCTAACACGGTGAAACCCCGTCTCTGCTAAAAATACAAAACAATTAGCCAGGCATGGTGGTGGGCACCTGTAGTCCCAGCTACTGGGGAGGCTGAGGCAGGAGAATGGTGTGAACCTGGGAGGCAGGCTTGCAGTAAGCCGAGATCGCACCACTGCACTCCAGCTGGGCAACAGAGCAAGACTCCGTCTCCAAAAAAAAAACCAACTCTTGATTTCGTTGATTTTTTTAAATTGTTTTTCTATATATTTTATTCCTTCTCTGGTGTTTATTTTCTTCCCTCTACTGACTTTGGGCTTCGATTGTTTTCTAGTTTCTTGAAGTATAATGTTAGGTCATCTATTGTAGATTTTTCTTCTTTTTTGAGATAGAAATTTATTGCCATAAATTTGCCTCTCAGAACTTATTTTACTGCATCCCATAGGTTTGATATGTTGTGTTTCCATTTTTGTCTGGCTCAAGATATTTTTTGATTTCTTTTTTTCTTCTTTGGCACATTAGATATTTAGTAGCCTGTTGTTTAATTTCCACATACTTGTGAGTTTTCCAAGATTTCTTATGTTATGGATTTTGTAACTTGATACTATCATATTCAGAAAATTTTGTTCAGACATGTTTTGTTTCTTTTGTATTTGAGACGGAGTCTCACTCTGTTTCCCAGACTGGAGTGCAATGGTACGATCTCAGCATACTACAGCTTCTGCCTCCCAGGTTCAAGCAATCTTCCACCTCAGCCTCCTGAGTAGTAGTAGATATGCAACACCATGCCCAGCTAATTTTCATATTTTTAGTAGATACAGCGTTTTACCATGTTGGCCAGGCTGGTCTCAAACTCCTGACCTCAGGTGATCTGCCCACCTTGGCTTCCCAAAGTGCTGGGATTACAGGTGTGAGCCACCAGGCCCAGCACATTTTGCTTCTTAATATATGATTTATCTTGGAGAAAGTTCCAGGTACCCTTGAGAAAAATGTGTATTCTGTTGATGTTGCATAGAATGTTCTGTATACATCTGTTAGGCACATTTGGTCTAAAGTATAGTTCAAGTCCAATGTTTCCTTATTTTTTTTAAATTATACTTTAAGTTCAGGGATACATGTGTATAATGTGGAGGCTTGTTAATAGGTATACATGTGTCATGGTGGTTTGCTGCACCTATCAACCTGTCATCTATATTTGGTATTTCTCCTAATGCTATCCATTGCCTAGCCCCCCACCCCGCAACAGGCCTTGGTGTGTGATGTTCCCCTCCCTGTGTCCATGTGTTCTCATTGTTCAACTCCCACTTATGAGTGAGAACATGGGGTGTTAGGTTTTCTGTTTCTATGTTAGTTTGCTGAGAATGATGGTTTCCAGCTTCATCCATGTCCATGAAAAGGACATAAACTCGCCCTTTTATGTGGCTGCATAGTATTCCGTGGTGTATATGTGCCACATTTTCTTTATCCAGTGTATCACTGATGGGCATTTGGGTTGGTTCCAAGTCTTTGCTATTGTGAACAGTGCTGCAGTAAACATATGTGTGCATGTGTCTTTATAGTAGAATGATTTGTAGTCCTTTGGGTTATAATCCCAGTAATGGGATTGCTGGGTCAAATGCGGTATTTCTGGTTCTGGATCCTTGAGGAATCACCACACTGTCTTCCACAATGGTTGAACTAATTTACACTCCCACCAACAGTGTAAAAGTGTTCCTATTTCTCCATACCCTCTCCAGCTTTGTTCTTTCCTTTTTGATGGCCATTTTAACTGGCGTGAGATGGTATCTCATTGCGGTTTTGATTTGCATTTCTCTAATGACCAGTGGTGATGAGCTTTATTTCATGTTTGTGGGCCACATAAATGTCTTTTGAGAAGTGTCCGTTCATATCCTTCACCCACTTTTTGATGGGGTTTTTTTTTCCTGTAAATTTGTTTAAGTTCTTTGTAGTTTCTGAATATTAGCCCTTTGTCAGATAGATGGATCGCAAAAATTTCTCCCATTCTGTAGGTTGCCTATTCACTCTGATGATAGTGTCTTTTGCTGTGCAGAAGCTCTTTAGTTTAATTAGATCCCATTTGTCAATTTTGGTTTTTGTTGCCATTGCTTTTGGTGTTTCAGTCATGAAGTCTTTGCTCATGCCTATGTCTTGAATGTTATTACCTAGGTTTTCTTCTAGGGTTTTTATGGTTTTATGTCTCATGTTTAAGTCTTTTTTTTTTTTTTTAGATGGAGTCTCTGTCACCCAGACTGGAGTGCAGTGGTGTGACCTCAGTTCATTGCAACATCCACTTCCCAGGTTCAAGTGATTCTCCTGCCTTAGCTTCCCAAGAAGCTGGGACTACAGGCACCCCCCACCATGCCCAGCTAATTTTCGCATTTTTAGTAGAGACAGGGTTTCACCACGTTAGCCAGGCTGATCTTGGACTCCTAACCTCGTGATCCACCTGTCTCAGCCTCCCAAAGTGCTGGGATTACAGGCATGAGCCACCACGCCCGGCACATTTAAGTCTTTAATCTATCTTGAGTTAATTTTTGAATAAGGTGTGAGGAAGGGGCCCAGTTTCAGCTTTCCGCATGTGGCTAGCCAGTTTTCCCAGCACCATTTATTAAATAGGGAATCCTTTCCCCATTTCTTGTTTTTGTCAGGTTTGTCAAAGATCAGATGGTTGTAGATGTGTGGCATTATTTCTGAGGCCTCTGTTCTGTTCCATTGGTCTATATATCTGTTTTGGTACCAGTACCATGCTGTTTTGGTTACTGTAGGCTTATACTGTACTTTGAATTTAGGTAGCATGATGCCTCCTGTGTTCTTTTTGCTTAGGATTGTCTTGGCTATACAGGCTCTTTTTTGGTTCCATATGAAATTTAAAGTAGTTTTTTTCTAATTCTGTGAAGAAAGTCAATGGTAGCTTGATAGGGATAACATTGAATCTACAAATTACTTTGGGCAGTATGGCCATTTTCATGATATGGATTCTTCCTATCCTTTTTTTGAATCTCACTCTGTCGCCTAGGCTGGAGTGCAGCGGCACAATCTTGGCTCACTGCAACCCCCACCTCCCGGGTTCAAGCAATTCCCCTGCCTCAACCTCCTGAGTAGCTAGAATTACAGGCACATACCACCATGCCCAACTAATTTTTATATTTTTAGTAGAGACAGGGTTTCACCATGTTGGTCAGGCTGATCTCAAACTCCTGACTTCGTGATCTGCCAACCTCAGCCTCCCAAAGTGCTGGGATTACAGGCGTGAGCCACCTCTCCTGGCCAATTCTTCCTATCCATGAGTGTGGAATGTTCTTCCATTTGTTTGTGTCCTCTCTTATTTCCTTGAGCAGTGGTTTGTAGTCCTCTTTGAAGAAGTCCTTCACATCCCTTGTAAGCTGTATTCCTAGGTATTTTATTCTCTTTGTAGCAGCTGTGAATGGGAGTTCACTCATGATTTGGCTCTCTATTATTGGTGTATAGGAATGCTTGTGATTTTTGCACATTGATTTTGTATCCTGAGACTTTGCTGAAGTTGCTTATCAGCTTAAGGGGATTTTGGGCTGAGATGATGGGGTTTTCTTTTTTTTTTTTTTTTGAGACGGAGTCTCGCTGTGTTGCCCAGGCTGGAGTGCAGTGGCGTGATCTCAGCTCACTCACGGGTTCATGCCATTCTCCTGCCTCAGCCTCCCGAGTAGCTGGGACTACAGGTGCCCACCACCAGGCCCGGCTAATTTTTTTTGTATTTTTAGTAGAGACAGGGTTTCACTGTGTTAGCCAGGGTGGTCTCGATCTTCTGACCTCATGATCCACCAGCCTCAGCCTCCCAAATGCTGGGATTACAGGCGTGAGCCACTGCACCTGGCAGATGGGGTTTTCTTAATATACAATCATGTCATCTGCAAACAATTTGACTTCCTCTCTTCCTGTTTGAATACCCTTTATTTCCTTCTCTTGCCTGATTGCCCTGGCCAGAACTTCCAATACTATGTTGAATAGGAGTGGTGAGAGAGAACATCCTTGTCTTGTGCAGGTTTTCAAAAGGAATGCTTCCAGCTTTTGCCCATTCAATATGATATTGGCTGTGGGTTTGTCATAAATAGCTCTTATTATTTTGAGACGTTCCATCAATACCTAGTTTGAGAGTTTTTAGCATGAAGAGGTGTTGAATTTTGTCAGTGGTCTTTTCTGCATCTATTGAGATAATCATGGTTTTTGTCATTGGTTCTGTTTGTGATGGATTATGTTTATCGATTTGCATATGTTGAACCAGGCTTGCATCCCAGGGATGAAGCCGACTTGAGCATGGTAGATAAGCATTTTGATGTGCTGCTGGATTCAGTTTGCCAGTATTTTATTGAGGATTTTCATATCCATGTTCATCAGGTATATTGGCCTGAAATTTTCTTTTTTTGTTGTGTCTCTGCCAGGTGTTGGTATCAGAATGATGCTGGCATCATAAAATGAGTTAGGAAGGAGTCCTTCTTTTTCTATTGTTTGGAATAGTTTCAGAAGGAATAGTACCAGCTCCTCTTTGTACCTCTGGTAGAATTCAGCTGTGAATCTGTCTGGTCCTAGACTTTTTTTGGTTGGTAGGCTATTATTGCCTCAATTTCAGAACCTGTTATTGGTCTATTCAGGGATTCAACCTCTTTCTGGTTTAGTCTTGGGTGGGTGTATGTGTCCAGAAATGTATCCATTTCTTCTAGATTTTCCAGTTTATTTACACATAAGTATTTATAGTATTCTCTGATGGCAGTTTGTATTTCTGTAAAATCAGTGGTGATATCCCCTTTATCATTTTTGTGTCTATTTGATTATTCTCTTTTCTTCTTTATTTGTCTGGCTAGTAGTCTGTTTTCTTAATCTTTTCAAACAACCAGCTCCAGCCAGACACGGTGGCTCATGCCTGTAATCCCAGCACTTTGAGAGACCGAGGCAGGTGGATCACGAGGTCAGGAGATCGAGACCATCCTGGCTAACATGGTGAAACCTCATCTCCACTAAAAATACAAAAAATTAGCTGGGCATGGTGGTGCATGCCTGTAGTCCCAGCTACTCGGAATGCTGAGGCAGGAGAATTGCTGGAACCTGGGAGGTGGAGGTTGCAGTGAGTGAGATTGTGCCGTTTCACTCTAGCCTGGGCAACAGAGCGACACTGGGTCTCAAAAAAAAAAAAAAAAAGTACAGAAAGAATAAAAGAATAAAAAGTTTCTGTAATCATTGATTTTTTTTTTTTTTTGAGACGGAGTGTTGCTCTCGCCCAAGCTGGAGTGCAGTGGCACAATCTTGGCTCACTGCAAGCTCCACCTCCCAGGTTCACACTATTCTCCTGCCTCAGCCTCCCAAGTAGCTGGGACTACAGGCGCCCGCCACCACGCCTGGCTATTTTGTATTTTTTAGTAGAGATGGGGTTTCACCGTGTTAGCCAGAATGGTCTCGATCTGCTGACCTCATGATCCGCCCGCCTCGGCCTCCCAAAGTGCTGGGATTACAGGTGTGAGCCACCACGCCCAGCCAATTGTTTTTTGTTTTTTGTTTTCTTTTGAAGGGTTTTTCATGTTTCTGTATCCTTCAGTTCTGCTCTGATCTTAGTTATTTCTTGTCTTTGCTAGCATTTGAATTTGTTTGCTCTTGGTTCTCTAGTTCTTTTAATTGTGATGTTAGGGTGTCAATTTTAAATCTTTCCTGCTTTCTCCTGTGGGTATTTAGTGCTATAAATTTTCCTGTACACACTGCTTTAGCTGTGTCCCAGAGATTCTGGTACATTGTATCTTTGTTCTCATTGGTTTCAAATAACTTATTTATTTCTGGCTTAATTTCCTTATTTACCCAGCAGTCATTTGGGAGCAGGTTGTTCAGTTTCCATGTAGTTGTGTGGTTTTGAGTGAGTTTCTTAACCTTGAGTTCTAATTAGATTGCACTCTGGTCTGAGAGACTGTTTGTTATGATTTCTGTTCTTTTGCATTGACTGAGGAGTGTTTTACTTCCAATTATGTGGTCAATTTTAGAATAAGTGCTATGTGGTGCTGAGAAGAATGCATATTCTGTTGATTTGGGGTGGAGAGTTCTGTAGATGTGTATTAGGTCTGCTTGGTCCAGAGCTGAGTTCAAGTCCTGAATATCCTTGTTAATTTTCTGTTTTGTCGATCTGTCTAATATTGACAGTGGGGTGTTAAAGTCTCCCACTATTATTGTGTGGCAGTCTGGGTTTCTTTGTGGGTTTCGAAGTACTTGCTTTATTAATCTGGGTCCTCCTGTATTGGTTGCATATATATTTAGGATGGTTAGCTCTTCTTGTTGCATTGATCCCTTTACCATTATGTAATGCCCTTCTTTGTCTTTTTTGATCTTTGTTGGTTTAAAGTCTGTTTTATCAGAGACTAGGATTGCAAACCCTGCTGTTCTTGCTTTCCATTTGCTTGGTAAATATTCTTCCATCCCTTTATTTTGAGCATGTGTATGTCTTTGCACATGAGATGGGTCTCCTGAATACAGCACACTGATGGTTCTTGACTCTTTATCCAATTTGTCAGTCTGTGTCTTTTAATTAAGGCATTTAGCTTGTTTACATTTAACTTTAATATTGTTATGTGTGAATTTGATCCTGTCATTATGATGCTAGCTGGTTATTTTGTTTGTTAGTTGATGCAGTTTCTTCATAACATCAATCGTCTTACAATTTGGTATGTTTTTGCAGTGGTTGATACCAGATTTTCCTTTCCATATTTAGTGCTTCCTTCAGGAGTTCTTGTAAGGCAGTCCTGGTGGTGACAAAAATCTCTCAGCATTTGCTTGTCTATACATGTTTTTATTTCTCCTTTGCTTGTGAAGCTTAATTTGGCTGGATATGAAATTCTGGGTTGAAAATTCCTTAAGAATGTTGAATATTGGCCCCTACTCTCTTCTGGATTGTAGGATTTCTGCATAGAGATCCGCTTTTAGTCTGATGGCCTTCCTTTTGTGGGTAACCCGACTTTTGTCTCTGGCTGCCCTTAACATTTTTTCCTTCATTTCAACCTTGGTGAATCTGACAATTATGTGTCTTGGTGTTGCTTTTCGTGAGGAGTATCTCTGTGCTGGTCTCTGTATTTCCTGAATTTGAATATCAGCCTGTCTTGCTAGGTTGGGTAAGTTCTCCTGGATAATATCCTGAAGAGTGTTTTCTAACTTGGTTCCATTCTCCCCATCACTTTCAGGTACACCAATCAAATGTAATCAATCAAATACCAATCAAACCTCTTTTTGGAGGCCCCAGCAGACAAGAGTCCAGCTGCCCACATCAGTAACCCCTCATCAACATACACTTTAGTGACTCTCTTTCTTCACTGTCACACTTCTCCTTCCCCTTCACCATGCTTCCACCACCCACCTCCCCCATAAATTCTTGCACCTAAATGCCATCCATCAACACTGTGTTGCTCTTTCGGTACAGTTGTTTGCTGCTCATTGCTGCTTATACTACGGAGACAATGGCACTGCAGTTCTAGGAAACACACGACCATTTTGTTGTCCTGGCTTGATGTTTTTGTCACGTCAAGTTCTTCCCCAATCTACATTGAATTCCAAGACCCTTTCAGCCCACATTCTCTCTGATAGAGCTCAAGTAGTCTCAGTTGGAGCAACAACAGATTTTATACACAGATTAGTTTTACATACTGATTTATGAAGGATTAGTGGTCATAAATATATAACCACATCCTATAAGCAACAGAGAGTCTTTGAATGGTTTTTAAGCAAGGAATAACATGAATTTTATTTTACAAAAATCACTCTGGAAGCTAAAGTGGAACATGGGATGAAGGAGGGTAAGAATGAGGATAAAAAGCGAGGAGGCCATTTATAATAAACCAGTTAAGAAAATGAATTCAGGGAATATAGTTGGTGACCAGGAGACAGATTAGAGAGAAATCATAGTACAGTATTCTTAAAATACTCTACTATGCACCTAGAGACAGTAAGCACAAATGTCTCTAGGTGCCATAGACATTTGGTGACATCAAGTTTTTGTTTATATTCAAAATTATGAGTTCTACAAAAGGAAAATTAATAACAATAAACAACATATCACAGTCTACAACTGCCTCAAATGGTCTCTAGAGCTGGGACTTAACTTCTTAGGGAGTGCTATGAAAGAGTTTTCCAGAATCTGGAAACTACTGATGGTATGTATGTGTAATTATGTGTACTTTTGTGGAGGGTTCATAGCTTTACAAATACTCCAATGGGTCTAAGACTCAAAAGAGAAAGCTTTAGCCCAAGAAATGAGACAGATTTCAAACACCGTTCCTTCTCATTGAGGCCTGTAAGCCAGCTGTTGGTGCATGTTATGCAGAGCTTCTTCAGAATGGAGAGTAACTAAGCCGGGCAACATGCAAGTTTACACTGAGAAAATTCTAATCAATGAAGAAGACAAGGCCTGGATATTAAGGCAGGAAAGTATTTGGCAGTAACTGATAGGAAAGTGTGAGATGGAGATACAGCACAAAGGCCTTCTTAAGTTTATGTCAAGTACCTCCATCAAAGCTGACTGAGAAAATCAGCTTGGGTGCAGTGTCTCATGTCTGTAACCCCAGCACTGTGAGAGGCCAAGGCAGGAAGATCACTTGAGCCCAGTATTGGGGGAATTTGCCTCCAATATTTCAATGTAGTTTCTTTCTATTTTCCATAAGTGTCGGCTGGCTGAGAAATAAAAAGAGACAGTACAAAGAGAGGAATTTTACAGCTGTGCCACCAGGGGTGACATCGCATATCAGTAGGACCGTGATGCCCGCCCAAGCCTCAAAACCAGCAAGTTTTATTAAGGGTTGCAAAAGGAGAGGGGGTGTAAGAACAGGGAGTAGGTACAAAGATCACATGCTTCAAAGGGCAAAAAGCAGAACTACTGATAAGGGTCTAACAAAGATCACATGCTTCTGAGGGAATAGGACAAAGGGCAAAAGCAGAACCGCTGATAAGGGTCCAACAAAGATCACAAGGCAAAGGGCAAAAGCAGAACTAATGATAAGGGTCTATGTTCAGTGGTACACGTATCATCGTGATAAACATCTTAAACAACAGAAAACAGGGTTTGAGAGCAGAGAACTGGTCTGACCACAAATTTACCAGGGCGGAGTTTTTCCCCACCCTAGTCAGCCTGAGGGTACTGCAGGAGACCAGCGCATATCTCAGTCTTTATCTCAAACGCATAAGACAGACATTCCCAGAGCGGCTGTTTATAGACCTCCCCCGCCAGGAATGCATTCCTTTCCCAGGGTATTAATATTAATATTCCTTGCTAGGAAAAGAATTTAGCAATATCTCTCCTACTTGCACGTCCATTTATAGGCTCTCTGCAAGAAGAAAAATATGGCTCTTTTTGCCCAACCCCGCAGGCAGTCAGACCTTAGGATTGTCTTTGTTCCCTAAAAATCGCTATTATCCTGTTCTTTTTTCAAGGTGCACTGATTTCATATTGTTCAAACACACATGTTTTACAATCAGTTTGTACAGTTAACACAATTATCACAGTGGTCCTGAGGTGACGTACATCCTCAGCTTATGAAGATAACAGGATTAAGAGATTAAAGACAGGCATAAGAAATTATGAAAGTATTATTTGGGAACTGATAAATGTCCATGAAATCTTCACAATTTATGTTCCTCTGCCACGGCTCCAGCTGGTCCCTCCGTTCAGGGTCCCTGACTTCCCACAACAGCCCAGGAACTTGAGACCAGCCTGGGCAACATAACGAGACCCCATCTAGAATAAAAACAAAAATTAGCTGGGTACAGTGGCACACTTAGATCCAGTTCTTAGGAGGTAGAGGCAGGAGGACTGCTTGAGCCCAGGAGGCTGAGGCTTCAGTGAGCCATTGTTACACCACTGCACTCCATCCTGAGTGACAGAGTGAGAACGCCTCTCTTAAAAAAAGAGGAAAAAAAATAAGCACAGGCTTACAGGCTTTACAGAATGGGTGAGGATAAACGAGAGCTGTTTTCAAATATGGGAGGGGAAGATGGAAGCAGTATCAGTGCCTAAGGGGCCAAAAAGTGACCAGAAAAAATGCTATTGGTCAAAGCTATACTAGCCCACATTGTGCTTTGTGGATTTTAAAAAGCCTCCCTGCTTTTTCCAAGGGGATGCCATCTTGAGACTGGGCCCACAGCTTAGTGTGAGGCATCCAGACTGGATTCCAGACTCCACCAACCTGCTCAGCTTGCTGTTTAGTGCAGGGCTACACCTGCACAGCAGTACACATGGCCCTGCCTCTGGCCTACATGAACATTTGGGTCAGCATATCCACAGCCCTCCTGCCACATCCTTGCAACATTCCCTAGCCATTCCCTTCTCTACACCCAGCTCTTCAGACCTCTAACCCCTATCAGAGCCATGCTAGATATTCCCTACACCCTTCCCATTATCTAGACAAAAAGTTTGTTTACTCATTATCACCCTCTAACAGGCTTCTTAGCCAGGTCTTCCAACATCTTCCCAACCTCGCCCTTCTCAAGGCCACCTCTATTACATTTACACCCTGTTGTTGAGATCATCCCTAATATTATGCACCCATGATTTTCCCAGAAGCCCCTCTTCCCTTTTCTCATTCTTTTTTTCTTCACATTTCTCTCTTGCTTTCCTGATGTGTGTTATGTGAGCATTTCTTTGCTACCCATTGGTGTCTGCCATTTCTTCCCCTGTGGTCTAGTTTAGTATGGTGGTGTTTTACAGAAGAGGATGGTTCTCCAGCAAAGGCCCCACCCTCAAGCCTGGATCCCCATGGCCCTAGGTGAGAAGTATTCTTGTTTTTGTGCCCAAAAAGTTGCCTTTTGGCCTGCCATGCCCCCTATCCTGTACCCACATAAACTCCAAACCCCAGACTCCAGAAGCAGCAGACAAGGAGACAAACAGTAGAACAACACAGAGAAAGAGAAGGAATGTCTGGAGGAGTTCCGGTGGCGACAGTTAGAGAATCAGCCACTGGACGGCCAAACTCCAGGGGAAGATAATCTTCCCACTACATCCCCTGTCCAGCTCCCCATTCATCCTGCTGAGAGCCACCTCCACCACTCAGTAAAACTCCCACATTCATGCTTCAAGTCTGTGTGTTTCTCAATTCTTCCAACACGCTGGACAAGAGCTCAGGATACAGAAAGCTGTCACACTGGCCCCCTGCCTTTGCAAAAAGGCAGAGGGCCCACTGAGCTGGTTAACCCTTAAGCCATCCTGGACAGTGAGGCTAAAAGAATGCACTGTAACATGTGTCCACTTGGGCTTTGGGAGTCAGAGACACCCACCCGTAGACGCTGCTGTGGGGCTGGAGCTCAAAAACACTCACCCCAGTTCCTGCACCTGCCTGTGTGCCACCTCTCTGGTAAGGGGTTTAAGCTTGCAGCTGCTGAACAGAGAACCACACCCCTGTCACACCTCCTGTGGCGGGGCCAGAGAACTCTCCCATTTCACTAGGACCCTCATGGCAGTTACACTGCCAAGGTCTGCAAGATCCTCTGTTGCTCCTAACTAGAGCTAGGCTGTCAATGTTCAATGTCAAAGGGGCTGATGTCTGCCCCAGGGGGTGTCATCTGCCATTGATGCCAACACTCATACTGCTAGCATCTTAGGCTATCAACATCTCATTATCCTTTTATCTTTTTATTTTTTATTTTGAGGCAAGGTCTTGCTTTGACACCCAGGCTAGAGTGCAGTGGCAGGACCACAGCTCATTTGTAGCCTTGACCTCCTGGGCTGAAGCAATCCTCCTGCCTCAGCCTCCGAAGTAGCTGGGTCTACAGGTGTGCACCACTGCATCCAGCTTCACCATTCTTTTCAATATATTCCCATGCTATTTTCAAGAATTAATTAACCTGTTTTTCTCTTGTTATATACCAAAGTTATTAGAATTTGAGCTGCCAACAGTTTGGTAAATTATCAAAGAAATTTCAGTTAACATGAAATAGCAGTGAATATCTGTGAATCTAATATCTGGGTCAAACCTGTGTAAAGAATAAATAGTATTTCATTCCACTGACAATTATAAAGACTTCAGTTTAATTAATTTTCATTGATTTAATATTAGAGGGGAGCTCAGGGTGAGAAATACATTTATACCACTTCAGAGATTAATGAATTTCCTGCTACAGTACTTTCACCTCTTTTCCCTAGAAATGTTCCATTTCTGGCTACTATTTATTAAAGCTGCCTGTGATCTTAATTCTAAATCAGGATTCAATTGTACAAAGATAAGAGTGGAAGGCATAGACCATGCCTGCTGTGGGATTTCCCCTAAGATCCTTACTATATGTTTTAGGTTGACATGTACCCCCAGAAAGATGAAGCCCTAACTTTCAGTATCTCAGAATGTGAGCTTATTTGGGAATGACATCATTACAGATGGAATTAGTTAATACATGATCATACTGGAGTAGGGTGGGTCCTTAATCAATATGGCTGGTGTCCTCAGAAGATAAAAATTTGGACAGAGAAGGGAGACAGCCGTGTGAGGACTGAGGTAGAGATTGAAGATTTGCTGCCACAAGCCAAAAAACACCTCAGGCTACCAGAAGCTGAGACAAGGTAATCCCAGCACTTGGGGAGGCTGAGGTGGGTGGATCACCTGAGGTCAGAAGTTCAAGACCAGCCTAGCCAACATAGTGAAACCCCATCTCTACTAAAAATACAAAAAGTTATGTGGTGGTGGGCACCTGTAATGCCAGCTACCAGGGAGGCTGAGGTGGCAGGAGAATCGCTTGAACCTGGGAGGCGGAGGTTGCAGCGAGCCGAGATAGTGCCACTGTACTCCAGCATGGGTGACAGAGCGAGACTCCGTCCGGAGAAAAAAAAAAAGGGGATAGATTTTCCCCTTTGAGACAGGAGAGTTCCCTGGCCCCCCTCATGAGATGCGTGACAGGGGTGTGATTGTTTGTTCAGCCACTGCAAGCTCAAACCCCTTACAGGACAGGAAGCAGGCACACAGGCAGGTGCAGGAACCAGGGTGGACACTTTCGGGCTCCCACCCCATGGCAGCATCTAGGGGTGGGTGCCTGCAACTCCTGAAGCCCCAGTGTTACGGTACTCTTTTAGGTCTGCCATCCACAGACAGCTTAAGTGTTAACCAGCTCAGTGACTCCTTGGTACCTGGGCCCTTGTCCAGTGTCCCAGAAGAATAGGGTCACACACGACTTGAAGGATGAATGCAGGGGTTTTATTGAGTGGTGGAGGTGGCTCTTAGCAGGATGGATAGGGAGTTGGAAGGGGGGATTGAGTGGGAAGATGATCTTCCCCTGGAGTTTGGCCGTCCAGTGGCTGAACTCCTCTCTGACTGCCCCAAGTCGAATTCCTCTCGGTGTTCAGACATTCCTTCTCTTCTCTCTTTTTCTGCTGTGCTGTTCTGCTGTTTGTCTGCTTGTCTCCTCATCTGCTGCTTCTGGAGCCTGGAGTTTGAGGTTTATATGGGGACAGGATAGACGGCATGGCAGGCCAAAAGGCAACCTTTTGGGCACAAAAACCGGCATGCATGTCCTCACTTAGGACCACGGGTATCCAGGCCTGAGGGGAGGCCTTTGCTGCAGAACCACCCTCTTCTACCTAG
This sequence comes from Homo sapiens, assembly GCF_000001405.40. Classification (NCBI taxonomy): domain Eukaryota; kingdom Metazoa; phylum Chordata; class Mammalia; order Primates; family Hominidae; genus Homo; species Homo sapiens. Next base: position 97,229,978 of record NC_000007.14, on the reverse strand, counting down.
TATTTCCCTGTCTCCTGTCCATATCACCTAGAGAATTCAGAGGGAGCATGACTCTGCTGACTCTAGAACCATAGGAGAATATATTTCTGTTGTGTAAGCCACCCAGTTGGTGGTACTTAGTTACAGTAGCTCTAGGAAACTAAAACACCATCCAAGCAATAACCCTGCTGTTAGTACATTTGTTGAATTAGTCAGCAACCACTTATTAGGTGTCCACTGCTGGCTCCCTAGGCTAAGTGCTAGGAATACAGAGATGAATGACGTGGTTTCTGCTTTTGAGGAACTCACAATCCCAGGAAAGCGGGGTCGGGGGCAGGGGGCAGACACACCAGCAGCCAGGACTATCCAGAGAAATGCATGGTAAAAGACAGAAGTAGGTACCAGACACTATAAAAGTAAACACATGAACTTAATGCCTAAGGCAATTGAGAAAGTCTTGATGGAGGTGACACTTAATCTAAGGAACAAGTAAGAATTCTATACAATGAAAGGAATAAGGGCTTTCAGAGACAGAGGGAACAGCATTAGGAAAGGAATTCACCGTGATATTTTGCTGGCATAGCAAGTTAGATCAGATTATCAACTACATTGAAATCCACAGGGATAACCTCCTATATTGGCATTGAGGAAAACAATCATAGAGCTCTGACCTCTAATATTACAGGGAATTATCTTAAATTATTTGTTTGACTGCTCAAAATAGGTAACTGTTGTCAAATGATAGACTCCTTCAAAAACATCGGGCTTAGGCTCATGCCTGTAATCCCAGCACTTTGAGAGGCTGAGATAGGTGGATCCCCTGAGGTTTGGAGTTCGAGACCAGCCTGACCAACATGGTGATACCCCATCTCTACTGAAAATAGAAAAATTAGCCAGGCATGGTAGCACATGTCTGTAATCCTAGCTACTCAGGAGGCTGAGGCAGGAGAATTGCTTGAACCGGGGAGGTGGAGGTTGCAGTGAGCCGAGCTTGTGGCACTGTACTCTAGCCTAGGAGACAGAGAGACTTGGTCTCAAAAACAAAAAACAAAAACACCTGGCTTAGATAAGGTACAATTCTCCCTAAACTGTTCACCTTAAATAATTTTAGTATTAATGTCTTCTAGAAATAATAGGATCCAAAACAGTCACTAGTGCCAAATGACAGGTTCCTATGGTGAGAAGCATTGGTGCTTTTGCTGCTAGTAAGACCAGAAGAGGACCATTGCATTTCTGTCAGATTGATTAGCTGACTAGCAGAGGGTCATTTGGACTAAATGAGAGCTAAATGAGTTCATTTAGCTGGTGTCAATCCGTGGCAGATTGATTCATCTGTTTTTTATGCAGAACTCCCAGGGAACAATGCCAATTATTTCCACAAATGGAAAGGAACAATCCAGCTATCTGGGGAGTGTCTTTAACATGCCTATTTCTTTAGGGAATTAGACGTTTCTTTCTTCTTTCCTTTCCCTCCCCATTCTTCTACTTTCCTTCCTTCCTTTCTTCCATCCTTCTTCTTTAGGAAAATTATTTTGAAAATTAAAAAGGTAAAGTTCAACATAAGTTTAAATTCTTCCAAGGCCTTTGCTAGGAACATCAACATTGTCAGGGACATCAATTGTTAGCATTTATTGACTACTTTTTATTTGCCAAGCACCATGTTAAGAGCTTTACAAGTTCTACCTCATTTCATCCTAATAACTCTTTGAGGTAGGTATTACATTTCCATTGTGTTGCAAATAAGAAAATTGAGGCTTAATGATATGAAGTAACTTGCCCACAGTGGCACCTTTAGAAGAAAGACTATGACAGGTAGGACTCGACTCAGTCCTTCTAACATCATAATCCATCTTCCCAATTGCAGTCCTAGTGCTTCTTAAACTTAATGTGCATGGAAACTACCTGAGACCCTTAAAATGAGGGGCCTGAGATCATGCATTTCTACCAAGTTCCAGGTGATAACAGTCAGCAGCCACCTTTTGAATCACTAGGCTATTTACTGACATAATCTGCTCTTTCAAGAAAAGCAGAATCCCAGTTTTCTGGAATGCTAAAAGTCAAATGGTGAAACTACCTGTTCAATTTAAAGTCTTCAGATAGCTTCTATTCCTCTGTGCTCTGCTGATTCATTCCTCCCTCTCTACTAATAGACTTCTCTACTAATTTTCATCCCTTTTTGTCTTTTCCCGTGTCATTTAGGACAACCCTTAAATTAGCAAAGGAATGTTCTTTCCATAAATCCTTCCTCTGTACCATCATGCTCCCAGGTAAAACCTCAGGTTCTTAGTCTGTATTTTGAAGTCTTTCCCCATCTTTATTTAGCCTCTTTCACTTCCTGCTATTCATCCTACTCTTTATTTTACCCAATCCTGAAATACGCCCTCTCAGTCCTTTCTTTAATCCATCAGGAGCAAAACACTACTTAAATTTAAACCTGCAATCTTTTCTATGTTAGGATCATTTTTGTGAGAAAACAAGTTTAGAACCAATGTCATAAAATAATAAATATTTGATTAGCCCCAGACTTTATGAAGTCATCACAGTTGAATCTTTGGGCACATTTTAAGTGTGAAATGAAGACCTGTGGATCTCAAGAAGGCTTGGCAATTTGTTTGTTTTCATGTCACTGAGGTCAACAAACGAAAGGAATCATATTGTATTCATTTTCCCCAGGGGTTGATAAAGTTCCAAAGAGCTCTTTTGAGCCCCGGTTCTTCTGGCCTCTCCATATTCTCTCCATTCCCCAGTCACTAAAGTCTCTAAGACCTTTTCAGGCAAAAGTATAGCATACACTGGTCTCTAGCATTGCTATAAAACCAAGGGGAAAAAGCCAAAAGAGCTGGAGGTCATTCTGAGAACTAAATAACTCAAGATCTATAACGTAGGTTATTAGTTTTAAAACTGAGAGCTGAGGCCGGGCACAGTGGCTCAGGCCTGGAATCCCAGCACTTTGGGATGTCGAGGCTGGGGGATCACGTGAGCCCAGGAGTTGGAGACCTGACTGGCCAACATGGCGAATCCCCATCTCTACTAAAAATACCAAAAAATTAGCTGGGCTTGGTGGTGCATGCCTATTGTTCCAGCTACTCAGGAGGTGAGGCAAAAGAATTACTTGAACCTAGGAGGTGGAGGCCACAGTGAGCCGAGATCACACCACTGCACTACAGCCTGGGCGACAGAGCAAGACACTGTCTCAAAACAACAACAAAAACAGAGAGTGGCCCATGAAGAACAGTGAAAGCAAAACTCAGAACACAAAACTCTCAGTGGATGCGCTTCACCAACTATGTCCTCAAAAGAACTGGTTTCAACTGCACAGGAAGTCAGTCCATTTATTAACATGTTGCATAATCTATATATACTGTCCAATTAATCACCTACTGTATTTGCCAAACTTTACTGTTTTCCAAAATTGAACTCATCTTCAAAGAAAAATACACAGCCCCTAAGAAATACTCAAAATAATTTGCCAAGGATATTTATGGTCCGCCCCTGCCCCACGAGATGGAGTCTTGCTGTCACCCAGGCTGGATTGCAGTGGGGCAATCTTGGCTCACCGCAACCTCTGTCTCCCAGGTTCAAGTGATTCTCCCGTCTCAGCCTTCTGAGTAGCTGGGAGTACAGGTGTGTGCCACCACACCCGGCTAATTTTTGTTTTTTTTAGTAGAGATGGGGTTTCACCATGTTGGCCAGGCTGGTCTCTAACTCCTGACCTCTTGATCCACCCACCTCAGCCTCCCAAAAGTTTTATGTTCTTAATCTCTTCTTAGTTATCCTTGTAATCTGGACCAAATGAATTGTTATAATTAGGTTTCAGTTCATTAAGTTTATAAAAATACACTGAACTGAGATTTTTGGTGAGCATGCTGCAGTGAGATGAATACCACTTGTCAGTGAGAGGATTTTTCATTTCTAAATTACTTAAATCATCTTTCTCAGTCCTCCTTCTGTAATAATTATGCCCCTTCAACTTCTTTCTGAATCTTTATATCATTCTAAGTAGGTAAGGATATTCCTATGGCAAGGACTTAGGAAACAAGTTGATGAAGAAAGGTAAGCCAAATAGATCCCAAAACAGCAAATAAATGGTTACATCATTGATATTCAATGATTGATTTTTGTTTTGTTTTGTTTTGTTTTTACTTGTGTACCACAGTTCCTTTAGGGATTTTTTTTTTTTAAGAGATAGGGACTCATTCGGTCCTCCAGGCCATCATAGCTCACTGCTGCCTCAAATTCAAGGGATCCTCCAGCCTCAGCCATGCAAGCATCTGGTACTACAGGCCCATACCACCATGGCTGGCTAACTTTTAAAGTTTTTGTAGAGATGAGGCCTCACCTTGCTGCCCAGGATGGTCTCAAACTTGTGGGCTCAAGAAATCCTCCCACCTCAGTCTCCTAAAGTGCTGGGATTACAGACATGAACCACCATGCCCAGGCCCTTTATGGATTTTGACTCAGGGTGTAATGATCTGGTTCTTCTCTTCATCATGTTTTTAGGTCCCATTGAGGCAGTGCTGTGGACTGAATTGTGTCCCCCACCCAAGTTTAAAAATTAGAGCTCTAACCCCCAGTGTGACTGTCTTTGGAGATAGGGGCTTTAAGGAATAATTAAGGTAAAATTGATTTTGGACGTCCAGCCTCCAGAGCTAGGAGAAAAGAAATTTCTGCTCTTTAAGCCAACAACTCTGTACTCTGTTAACTTCACTGTTATGGCAGCCCAAGCAGACAATACAGGCAGTTTCACTTTTGCCTCAAGTTGATAAAATGCCACCCAACACAATTGTTTTGTATGTAATGCTATTAATAAAATTTTTCCAGAAATTAAGTGCGTTCAAAATAATATAAAATATGCTTAGAGAGTTTAGGCTTGTAAAACTGAATATTATAAATGTGAATTGAAACCAAGTGACTTCTATACAAGTCATATTAGAATAAGAGTGAGTAAAATACTTCACAAATCTGGAAATAGCACAGAGATAAGAGCTAGTCTGACGTGGCATGATATTTTAATTCAAAGGTATCAATTACACATAGCCTATCTGGTCATGTGTCTTCTGCAGTGCTAAAGCTCGGAGATTTAGAATAGATTTGCCCCCAAATTATGGAATTATATAATGTTACAGCTGAACTAACTGCTAAAGCAATACAGTCTGAATCTCTCTTGTGGCAGCTAAGGAAGCTGAAAACCAAAGTGAGCAGGTAATTTGTCCAAAGTCACAACTTAGTGCAAGTAGTTTTAGTGGCCCATCGCCAGACACCAAGTCTGGGGAGTTTTTAGGTTACCTTGTTTTTGCTTTTAAGTGGTCAGTGTTTTGGTCCACACAACATCTATTCTAACCTCCTTATTTGACTTCCTGGGCCACTGATGTCAGAAAAGCTCAAAACTGCAATTCCCAGACTCCCTTTCAGCCAGAATTCCATATGTGACCTGGTGAAAGATAAGAATTAACAGCTGGACTGTCACTCTTAGTTTTAGGGATGCTTGAACATAGTTTGATCTGTAGTTGAACTTCTTGACATATCCACTGTGGCTAAATAAGCCTTCTAAGACCTTCCTAAGTACTGTACCTAGTTGTCGAGATGGTTCATTGTGTAAACTGTAATATATGGACCGCAGCTGCACTAAAGAATGGAAGCATGGCATACAGCCTTTGGAATGCTGAGGATTAGCTGAGACTTCAGGCTTCAGGGATCCTAAACTCTATGACTTTCCTATGCTGATGTGATCCACATTCACTTCAGCTTGTCATTTGTTGTGACCAAAACATGCCCCAATGTATGTGCCTGGGGACATCAGAAGCTGCACCGAAGGCTTCTGAGACACTGTTGCTCTGGATGCTGTCTCTTCTGTATCCTTTCTAAGAGCTAGTTAAATGTTGTGGTGGTAAGTTTGTGCCTTGAAAGTTTGACTAACAGTCCAAACTAGGAACCCACTCTAGTAACAATGCACCTGGGGTCTGCCAAGCAGATCCACCTGCATGAGACTTGGAGGCAGAAGTGAGCACCAGGTGACCAGGTGATGAAGCCCACAGGAAAAGCCATCAGATCTTTTAGTGGGCATGACAAAAGTATTTGGTTTTTCTGGGGCAACTCCAGTGTCTATTGTCCAGTCTCTAGCATCATCAGTACAAGCAGCAAGCTATTGCAGCAGGGATTTTTTTCCGTTATAACCAACTCAGGTATGGTGGGATACTTTTCCCTACTCTTTGCTCCTGACTACTTAAATTCTGTGGGCCAATCAGTTCCTTTAAATATGCATCTTTTTATTGGGTAGAGGGGACTCTTTCTGCATTAAGAACCCTGGGTCAATAAAATTAGAACCTTTTGTCTATCGCATTGAAGGGATTGTTCTGAACATTTTACTTCAGTTTGGCTTTAATTCCTATGTAAAACCCAGGTCTGAATGAAAGGTATTCATCTACACACTGTAAGGTTCAAGACTTGTTTCTAAAGGCTTCTGCCTGAAATTCAAACTCCCCCAAAGCTTCCTACAACTTGTTTATGATTCTTTGATCATCTCCTGAGGTTTTCAGTCAGGCAGTCAGACAACCAATGGAAGAGGAAAGGAAATTGAGGCCCATGGTTAGCTCTTTCTTGGGACCCCATTGCTGTGAGATGTTTGGATAATTTGGGAGACCTCTCTGGCCTCATGAACATTAAAACAGTCAAAAACAAGGAAGCTTTGGGAGAAAGAAATGTTTCACAAGAGCCTGGCTTACACAGCAGAGGAGGGAAGAAAACCAGTACAATGGAGCAGTCCCTATGCATTTTGCCAAAGTAAAAATGCTTCACCCTGACTCTCACTGGCTACCACTTATCACATCAACATGGCTTAGGCTTTAATAGTCAATGGGATAATTGGCCAAAATATGTTTATGGACCATCTGATAGGTATTGAGATATTGTGAAAGCTACAAAAAGAAAGACAGACAAGAAGTTTGTGTATAAGAATTAGTCTCTTTTAATGTGTTTGGCAGTGTTAGAAAAATTCCGGGGAAGGAGACAGAGATCAGCATGGAGACAGATGGAGACAGAGAAAGCAGAATGGGTTGGCCCATGGTAAGGACCCTGAAGCTGCAGGTCTCTAAAAATGAAGAGGCATCAATGGAGAGGAGAGGAGGAAGGCAAGAAGGCTTTCTATACAGGAGGAAAATGGTTTGAACAAAGTACCAGAGGAAACAGAAACGGAGACAGAACTGAAACTCAGTGGACTTATTTGCTTACAGAGAGATGATTACATGGGTGAAGCAGGAAAATAAAGGACAGTGGCTAGAATAGGGTCCTAAGTCTTTCATTCTATTGCTCTGCCTGCCCTCAGATAGAGAAATGCAATACTGCAGCAAGTAGTAAGGCTCTTTTCAGTGTGCAGCTGCCTCCTTTATGTCTTATGAACTTAGGATTCAAATTGAGTGGCTACGAATGTGTAAGCAAAGCCTATAAGCTTTCAAATGAAATAAGGAACTACTGGCCATTTCTAATTCTGATGTGTGTAGGGAAATGTTTCCATCCATTTGCTCATTTGTTCAATAAGCATTAAGTACCCAATAATTAAGTATTAATTTCAACTGAGCACTTACCTGTGCCTGGCTCAATGCATTAATGTTGTAGCAGAGACAGACAATTGCTTCTCATTTAACAGAACCCAGGACTTAACCCTTTTTGTATTAGAAATGACAGTGAATTCATCTAAAAGACTGTATTCCTCAGCCTCCTTTGTGGATGTGGGTGTGTGGCTCAGATCGGGCCAGGAGCAGTTGGATACAGGGGTTCTGGGAAAACTCCTTAGAAGGGATGTAGACTCAGTCCTTGATCCACCCTCCTTTCTGTTGCCTGAAACATGGCTATGTTAATAGACCTTTTCCCGCTGAATCATGGTAGCATAAGGAAGCCACAGTCAGCCTAGGACTCTAATGACAACATGAAGCAGCCATACCAGGTCTTTACCGCCCACTTCTTTTTTTTCTTTCTTTCTTTTTTTTTTTTTTTTTGATACGGAGTCTCGCTGTGTCACCCAGGCTGGAGTGCAGTGGTGCAATCTCGGCTCACTGCAAACTCTGCCTCCCGGGTTCACACCATTCTCCTCCCTCAGCCTCCCAAGTAGCTGGGACTACAGGTGCCCACCACCACGCCTGGCTAACTTTTTTGTGTTTTTTTTTAGTAGAGATGGGGTTTCACCGTGTTAGCCAGGATGGTCTCGATCTCTTGACCTTGTGATCTGCCCGCCTCAGCGTCCCAAAGTGCTGGAATTACAGGTGTGAGCCACTGCGCCCAGCCCTCCTTTTCTTAATATACACGATAAAAATGAATGCCTACTTATCTTCTTTAAACTGACCACAATTCCTAACTGATGTTATCTCATTTAGTATTCATCACCTTATGCCCTTAACATATGTAAGAGCAGGAAGAATCCATTACAAACAAACAACAAAGCTTAGTATCTGAGAGTTAAGCTCACTCACAGAATCCAAGAAAGAAGAAAAAAGTTTCTGTTTGTCTCTTAGTCACCTGTTAGTCCATACTAAGTTCTTACACGAGCAAACATAAATCCACCTTTTTCTTTTCTTCATTCAAGTATTGTCAACTCATCTTTTAATCTCTTATCTCTTCCCCTAGCGTTACACTTCTTTTCTGACTCTGTTCCCCCAGAGCTGGTCATTCTGAGTTCTCTGCTTTGCCCTTTGGCCAAGCTGGAATGGGGTTAGAGTAGGGAGTAGAGGTTGGGGGTCAGGGACTGAGGGGGGAAATGGCATCAGGTGAAGGGCCCTCTAAGCAGGAAAAAATAGGATAAACAAAGTACAGAAAACAATAGGAATGGGGAGGGAACTGTGAGTGACCCCCCATTTGCTCAATGAGAGAGGATCAATATGGACAAAGGAGGGGGGATAATGAAAAAGGAAAAAAGCTTGAGCTGAATCCTGAGATTCTGAATGTAGGAAAATAAGACTCAGGAGGAAATCGGTCCTTTATGGGTCAGTTTGATGATAAAACATTTATAACAAACATTTTTAATTCTAAGATTGTCCCCTCTTAGTATAATCAATTGCATTTCCTGGCTAACAGAATGTGTACTCTTCTCTGTATTACCAAAAAGTCCCCTTTTATTATCCTAGTCTGGCATAGACCAGAGACCCAGGAGTATGGATGTACACTCCACTTTAGAAGTGGGATGTTTACTCCTTTGAGATAGTTACTATTATTTCCATTTACCATATGATAAAAAAGAGACCAATAATTTAAGTAATTTGCCAAAGATCACAACTGGTCAAAGGCAAAGGGAGAACTCAAATATGGATATGCCTCTACTACTCTACTACTTCCTTTGATGTCTGAAACCATGTGTGGCACAGGAGATATAAGACGGGGTAAAAAATGGTTCTTGCCTTAGGGGATTTCTCAGTCTATCTGGTAGCTTGATATACAGTAAACACAAATAAATAATACTAAGAGAGCATAGAGGAAGAAACAAACAAATAGGCAATGGTTTATAGAAAAGTCTCTTACAGGCCGCGCGTGGTGGCTCATGCCTGTAATCCCAGCACTTTGGGAGGCTGAGGTGGGCAGATCACAAGGTCAGGAGATCAAGACCACCCTGGCTAAAACGGTAAGACCCCATCTCTACTAAAAATACAAAAAATTAGCTGGGCGTGGTGGCGGGCGCCTGTAGTTCCAGCTACTCGGGAGGCTGAGGCAGGAGAATGGCATGAACCTGGGAGGCAGAGCTTTCAGTGAGCCAAGATCGCGCCACTGCACTCCAGTCTGGGCGACAGAGTGAGACTCCGTCTGAAAAAAAAAAAAAAAAAAAATCTCTTACAGCCCTTGAAGCAAAATCTCTTGAAATCACCTTTATTTTTTGACCCCATCCTTAGGGTTTAATTGAAAACTGGTGATTTTCTGGAAAGTCTTAACTTATTCACTTGCGGTATTTCAATGAATATTCATTGAATACCTTCTGTGTGCAAAGCACTGTGATTTATGTTTCTCTAAGGGGTTGACAAATGGATGAGGAATGGTCCTACCCTTCAAAAAGTTTAGAAGAAAAAGTATAAAAAATTAAAGGCATAAAAATCGTAGGCTAACAAATTCTGTAAGGGGAATCAAAGGTAAAAGGTAAGAATACCAATGTGCTTTCATCTGTGATCTTTGGTCTCCTTTAAAGGTTGATTCATTCATCTACTAACTCATTTGTTAAAATTTTTATTGAGTCTTTACTAGATAAGTACCATGCTAAGCTCTGGTAAGTCAGCAAAGAACAAGACACAACATATGCCTCAGGAGTGCTTATAGACCAGGCATTCCCAAGAAGGGGCATCGGAAAGGGGGAAAGTAATATCACCCACAGAGCGGATGAAAGTTGGCTCTTGGTGGAGGTGGAAGAAAATCTTTTTAAAAAACATATAAGACACAGACATGCAGTACAAAAATATATAGCATATACAGGTCATTACATTTTTAAGGAGGAAGGGAATGGTGATTAGGAACAAAATGTCTAAAAAGATTCTTTAGATGGGTGATGATAAAAAGGGCTGAGAAATGCTGATATAAACAATTTACCAAGCAATTTCTACATAATGTGCTAAATGCTGTGATAAGAATGAGTCAAGTGGGCTGTGGGAGTACAAAGAAGGGAGACCTAACCCAGATTTGGAAGACAGGAAAGACTGCTTAGTCGGCAATAGCTAAGGTCAAAAAGCACGCAAGGGCCAGAAAAGGGATAAAAATGTGTTCTAGATATATGGAGCAGTATATGCAAAGTGCTAGGGCTGAGAAAGAAAGCATGCGGCACTAATGGTACAAACTTCACCATAAAGTTCAAGTTTGAAAGGGGAAGGGATGATATGAGGCTTCTACTCTTATCCAATAACTGTTTTTAAAAAAATTCTAATAGGTCACTTGGCTGAGACAGCCATCGTGCTTTAGGTTTCTCTGTGAGCAGACCAAAGCCCAATGTAAACAGTAAAATGAAACAAGAGACTTTGCCAATCAGAAACTGCCAACTAACCTCTGAGATGGTTTCCATGTGAAACCAATCAATGTCTTTGGCTTCCCTCCACATAAACCTCACTGCCCACGCTGCTGTGGTGGTGCACTCTGAACCTCTCCTGAGTTCTGCCAGATTCATGAAATAATCTTTGGTCAAATCAACTCTATTACATTTCTGTTGTCTAAAATGTTTCTTTAAGGGTATTGCATAAGGGTGCCACCTTTTGAGTGTGGTCCAAAGCAATAAAGGGCTCTGTAGCAAGTCAAGACTGCAGCACAAGCTATTCTTCCACTTGGGACTTATGATTAGCAGATCCAATGAGACATAAAATGGCTGTAGCAAATAGAAATGATGTATGGAGTCTCTGACAGACAAAATAAGAAAAATCACAGCATAGGCTTCTAGGGTTGAAGCAAAGTCACACTCCCTTCAGCAGATAACTATCCTCATTTTGAGAAACAATCTTTTCTATGAGGCAGTGGTATAGACTAAATGCTAACTGTATCAAGTGAGCATGCAACCTGGCGTGTCTATAAAAAACTGGGTGTTACCTGATTTGCTGAGCCATAATTTGAATATATACAGCAGCCATCTATTTTCAAGTTCTATAACTAGATGGCTCAGATTTCTTTGACACTTCTGTTGCATTCCCTCTTTTTTTTTTTTAATCAATCCACACTTAAGGCCCCATGGGAGTTCCTATGACTAAGAAGGAAAAAAGTCAGTACTGGTTTGTAGATGTCTCTATACAGTATATTAGTACCCACCAGAAGTGAATGGCTGTAGCATTATAATCCCTCTTGAGAGGATTGGTAATGAAGGGCATTAGTAATAGAAATTTATCTCAATGGGCAAAACTTCAAGCAGTTCATTTGATTGATCACTTTGCATCAGAAGGTAGACAAAAGAATGTATCTATATTGATTTATGGGGATTTGTTAACACTTGGGCCTGATGATCAGGGACTTGGAAAGAACAAGATTAGAAGATTAGTGACAGCAAGGTCTGGAGAAGTATGAGGATAGATCTCTCAGAATGGGCATGGTGTGAAAATATTTGTATTTCAACTGATGGCTTATCAAAAAATATCCAAAGCATGTCAACCACAAAGCAAAAATCTGTATTAGATACACAAAACAAAAATATAAAGGATTTAAAGTGTGCCACTCTGAAAAACAATCACACTACAAAGTCAGCAAAAGAGGAAAAAAGAAAAAAGTCTATAAAACAACCAGAAAACAATTAACAAAATGGCAGTAATAAGTTCTTACCTATCAATAATTATCTTGAATGTAAATAGATAAAATTATCCAATAAAAAGTCATAATGACTGAATAGACAAACAGCAAGACCCAACTATATGCTGCATTCAAGGAATTGATATCAGTTTTAAGGACACATAAACTGAAAGTAAAGAGATGAAAAAAGATTTTGTACAAATAGAAACCACAAAAGAACATGGGTAGCTATACTTAGCAGACAAACTAGACTTCAAATAAAAAACCGTAAAAAGATAAAGACAACATTCTGCAAGGGGGTCAATTCATCAGGAAGATATAATAATTGTAAATGTATATGTACACAACATCAGAACACCTAAATATATAAACTATTAACAGATATGAAGTGTGTGAGAGAGATTATAGCACAATAATAGTATAGGACTTCAATAATGGACACATCCAGACAGAAAATAAGAAAACATCAGACTTGAAAAATGCTTTAGACCAAATAGACCTAACAGTGATAATACAGAACATCCCCTCCAACGGGAACAGAATACACATTGTTCTCAACTGCACATGGAACATTCTCCAGGATCATATGTTAAGCCAAAAGACAAGCCTTAACAAATTTAAGAAAGTTAAAAATATCAAGCACCTTTTCTGACCACAATGGTAAAAAACCAGAAATCAATAAGAAAAATGTAAACACAACATACTAAAACATGGGATGCGCAAAAGTAGTGCTAAGCAAAAAATTTATAGCAATAAACACATCGAAAAAGATATCAAATAAACAATGTTATGCCTCAAGGAAATAAAAAAAGAGAACTAAGCCCAATGTCAGCAGAAGGAAACAAAGAGATTAGAGCATAAATGAAAGAGACTGGAAGAACAATACAAAAGATCAGTGAAAATAAATTTTTTTTGAAAAGATAATTGACTAATAAAAGTGAGAACTCAAACTTGGAACTGAAAAAGACATTGCAACTAATAACACAAAAACAAAAAGGATCATGAGAGACTATTATGAAAAATTACATGCCAATAAATTGGATAACTCAGAAAACGAATAAATTTCTAGACACATATGCCACGACTGAACCAGGAAGAAATAGAAAATCTAAACAGATGAATAATGAGCAGCAGATTGAATCAGTAATTAAAAGTCTTCCATCATAGGAAATCCCAGGACCTGATGGCTTTACTGCAGAATCAACCAAACACTTAAAAAACTGATACCAACTCTTCACAAATCCTTGCAAAAAATGGAAAAGGCAGGAATACTTCCAAACTCTTTTTATGAGGCCAGCATTACCCTGATAACGAAACCAGAGAAAGACACTACAAGGAAAAAAACACATTCAAAAACACTGCAGGACAATGTCTTCAGTATATATCAATGTAAAAATCCTCAACAAAATATTAGCTAACTAATTTCAACAACATATTAAAAAATAATTTACCATGATCAAGGGGAATTTGCCCCAGGGATGCAACGATGTTTCAACATACACAAATCTATAAGTGTGATACATCATGTTAACAGAATAAAAGACAAAAACCATGTGGTCATCTCATTAGATGTAGAAAGAACATTTGACAAAATTCAGCATCTTTGAGGGCATTCCAAGACGGCCGAATAGGAACAGCTCTGGTCTGCAGCTCCCAGCGTGATTGATGCAGAAAACGGGTGATTTCTGCATTTCCAACTGAGGCACCTGGTTCATCTCATTGGGACTGGTTGGACAGTTGGTGCAGCCCACAGAGGGCGAGCCAAAGCAGGGCAGGGTGTTGCCTCACCTGGGAAGTGCAAGGGGTCAGGGGTTTTCACTTTCCTAGCCAAGGGAAGCCGTGACCCACTACCTGGAAAAACAGGACACTGCTGCCCAAATACTGTGCTTTTCTCAAGGTCTTAGCAACTGGCAGACAAGGTGATTCTCTCCTGTGCCTGGCTCGGTGTCTGCCACGCCCATGGAGCCTTGCTCACTGCTAGTGCAGCAGTCTGAGATGGATCTGTGAGACAGCAGCCTGGCTGGGGGAGGGGCGTCCATAATTGCTGAGACTTGAGTAGATAAAGCTTCCAGGAAGCTCGAACTGGGCGGAGGCCACCCCAGCTCAACAATGCCAACTGCCTCTAGACTCCACCTCTGTGGGCAGGGCATAGCTGAACAAAACACAGCAGACAACTTTTGCAGACTTAAACGTCCCTGTCTGACAGCTCTGAAGAGAGCAGTGGTTCTCCCAGCACAGCGTTTGAGCTCTGAGAATGGACAGACTGCCTCCTCAAGTGGGTCCCTGACCCCTGTGTAGCCTAACTGGGAGACACCTCCCAGTAGGGGCCAACAGACACCTCATATAGGTGGCTGCCCCTCTGGGACAAAGCTTCCAGAGGAAGGATCAGGCAGCAATATTTGCTGTTCTGCAATATTTGCTGTTCTGCATCCTCTGCTGGTGATACCCAGGCAAAGAGTGTCTGCAGCTCACTCCAACAGACCTGCAGCTGAGGGACCTGTTAGAAGGAAAACTAACAAACAGAAAGGAATAGCATCAACATCAACAAAAAGATCATCTACACCAAAATCCCATCTGTAGGTCACCAACATCAAAGACCAAAGGTAGATAAAACCACAAAGATGGGGAGAAACCAGAGCAGAAAAGCTGAAAATTCTAAAAATCAGGGTGTCTCTTCTCCAAAGGATCGCAGCTCCTCATCAGCAACAGAATAAAGCTAGATGGAGAATGACTTTCACAAGTTGACAGAAGTAGGCTTCAGAAGGTCGGTAATAACAAACTTCTCTGAGCTAAAGGAGGATGTTCGAACCCATCCCAAGGAAGCTAAAAACCTTGAAAAAAGATTAGACGAATGGCTAACTAGAATAAACAGTGTAGAGAAGACCTTAAATGACCTGATGGATGTGTCACGAGAGCTTCGTGACACATGCACAAGCTTCAATAGCCAATTCAATCAAGTGGAAGAAAGGGTATCAGTGATTGAAGATCAAATGAATGAAATGAAACAAGAACAGAAGTTTAGAGAAAAAAGAGTAAAAAGAAACAAACAAAGCCTCCAAGAAATATGGGAGTATGTGAAAAGACCAGATCTATGTTTGATTGGTGTACATGAAAGTGATGGGGAGAATGGAACCAAGTTGGAAAACGCTCTTCAGGATATTATCCACGAGAACCTACCCAACCTAGCAAGGCAGACCAACATTTAAATTCAGGAAATACAGAGAACATCACAAGGATACTCCTTGAGAAGAGCAACCCCAAGACACATAACTGTCAGATTCACCAAGGTTGAAATGAAGGAAGAAGTGTTAAGTGCAACCAGAGAGAAAGGTCAAGTTACCCACAAAGGGAAGCCCATCAGACTAACAGCGGATTTCTCAGCAGAAACCCAACAATCCAGAAGAGAGTGGGGGCCAATATTCAACATTTTTAAAGAAAAGAATTTTCACCCCAGAATTTCATATCCAACCAAACTAAGCTTCATAAGTGAAGGAGAAATAACATCCTTTACAGACAAGCAAATGCTGACAGATTTTGTCACCACCAGGCCTGCCTTACAAGAGCTCCTGAAGGAAGCACTAAACATGGAAAGAAACAACTGATACCAGCCACTGCAAAAACATGCAAAATTGTAAAGACCATCGACGTATGAAGAAACTGCATCAATTAATGGGCAAAATAACCAGTGAACATCATAATGACAGGATCAAATTCACACATAACAATATTAACCTTAAATGTAAATGGGTTAAATGCCCCAATTAAAAGACACAGACTGGCAAATGGGATAAAGAGTCAAGACCCATCAGTGTGCTGTATTCAGGAGACCCATGTCACATGCAAAGAGGCACATAGGCTCAAAATACAGGGATGGAGGAAGTTCTACCAAGCAAATGGAAAACAAAAAAAAGCAGGGGTTGCAATCCTAGTCTCTGATAAAACAGACTTTAAGCCAACAAAGATCAAAAGAGACAAAGAAGACCATTACATTACGGTAAAGGGATCAATTCAACAAGAAGAGCTAACTGTCCTAAATATATATGCACTCAATACAGGAGCACCCAGATTCATAAAGCAAATCCTTAGAGACTTACAAAGAGACTTAGACTCCCACAAAATAATAATGGGAGACTTTAACACCCCACTGTCAATATTAGACAGATCAATGAGACAGATGGTTAACAAGGATATCCAGGACCTGAACTCAGCTCTGCAACAGGCAGACCTAATAGACATCTACAGAACTCTCCACCCCAAATCAACAGAATATACATTCTTCTTAGCACGACATCACACTTATTCTAAAATTGACCACATAATTGGGAGTAAAGCACTCCTCAGCAAATGTAAAAGAACAGAAATCACAACAAATTGTCTCTCAGACCACAGTGCAATCAAATTAGAACTCAGGATTAAGAAACTCACTCTAAACCACACAACTACATGGAAACTGAACAACTTGTTCCTGAATGACTACTGGGTAAATAACAAAATGAAGGCAGAAATAAAGATGTTCTTTGAAACCAATGAGAACAAAAACACAACGTACCAGAATCTCTGGGACACATTTAAAGCAGTGGGTAGAGGGAAATTTATAGCAGTAAATGCCCATAAAGCAGGAAAGATCTAAAATTGACACCCTAACATCACAATTAAAAGAACTAGAGAACCAACGGCAAACGAGTTCAAAACCTAGCAGAAGGCAAGAAATAATTAAGATCAGAGCAGAACTGAAGGAGGTAGAGACACAAAAAACTCTTCAAAACAATCAATGAATATAGGAGCTGGTTTTTTTTAAAAGAACAACAAAATTGATAGACTGCTAGCAAGACTAATAAAGAAGAAAAGAGAGAAGAATCAAATCGCTGCAATAAAAAATGATAAAGGGGATATCACCACCGATCCCACAGATATAGAAACTACCATCAGAGAATACTATAAACACCTCTATGCAAATAAACTAGAAAATCTAGAAGAAACGGATAAATTCCTGGATACATACACCCTCCCAAGACTAAACCAGGAAGAAGTTGGATCTCTGAATAGACCAATAACGGGCTCTGAAATTAAGGCAATAATTAATAGCCTACCAACCAAAAAAAGTCCAGGACCAGACGGATTCACAGCCGAATTCCACCAGACGTACAAAGAGGAGCTGGTACCATTCCTTCTGAAACTATTCCAATCAACAGAAAAAGAGGAAATCCTCCCTAACTCATTTTATGAGGCCAACATCATCCTGATACCAAAGCCTGGCAGAGAACCAACAAAGAGAATTTTAGACCAATATCCCTGATGAACATTGATGGGAAAATCCTCAATACTGGCAAACTGAATCCAGCAGCACATCAAAAAGCTTATCTACCATGATCAAGTTGGCTTCATCCCTGGGATGCAAGGCTGGTTCAACATATGAAAATCAGTAAATGTAATCCATCACATAAACAGAACCAATGACAAAAACCACGATTATCTCAAT
Organism: Homo sapiens; assembly: GCF_000001405.40. NCBI lineage: Eukaryota > Metazoa > Chordata > Mammalia > Primates > Hominidae > Homo > Homo sapiens. The sequence goes on along the minus strand of NC_000007.14, from coordinate 97,212,298 downwards.
AGATGCAGAAAACACCTTTGACAAAATTCAACAGCCCTTCATGCTAAAAATTCTCAATAAACTAGGTATCAATGGAATGTATCTCAAAATAATAAGAACTACTTATAACAAACCCACAGCCGATATCATACTGAATGGGCAAAAACTGGAACCATTCCCTTTGAAAACCGACAGAAGACAGGGATGCCCTCTCTCACCACTCCTATTCAACATAGAGTTGGAAGTTCTGGCCAGGGCAATCAGGCAAGAGAAAGAAATAAAGGGTATTCAATTAGGAAATGAGGAAGTCAAATTGTCCCTGTTTGCAGATGACATGATTGTATATTTAGTAAACCCCATCGTTTCAGTCCAAAATCTCCTTAAGCAGATAAACAACATCAGCAAAGTCTCAGGATACAAAATCAATGTGCAAAAATCATAAGCATTCCTATACACCATTAACAGACAGAGAGTCAAATCATGAGTGAACTCCCATTCACATTTGCTACAAAGATAATAAAATACCTAGGAATCCAACTTACAAGGAAGTGAAGGACCTCTTCAAGGAGAACTACAAACCACTGCTCAACAAAATAAAAGAGGACACAAACAAATGGAAGAATATTCCATGCTCATGGATAGAAAGAATCAATATTGTGAAAATGGCCATACTGCCCAAAGTAATTTATAGATTCAATGCCATCCCCATCAAGCTACGAATGACTTTCTTCACAGAATTGGAAAAAGCCACTTTAAAGTTCATATGCAACCAAAAAAGAGCCTGCATTGCCAAGACAATCCTAAGCCAAAACAACAAAGCTGGAGGCATCACGCTACCTGACTTCAAACTATACTACAAGGCTACAGTAACCAAAATAGCATGGTACTGGTACCAAAACAGATATATAGAACAATGGAAAAGAACAGATGCCTCAGAAATAACACCACACATCTACAACCATCTGATCTTTGACAAACCTGACAAAAACAAGAAACGGGGAAAGCATTCCCTATTTAATAAATGGTGCTGGGAAAACTGGCTAGCCATATGTAGAAAGCTGAAACTGGATCCCTTCCTTACACCTTATACAAAAATTAATTCAAGATGGATTAAAGACTTAAATGTTAGACCTAAAACCATAAAAACCCTAGAAGAAAACCTAGGCAATACCATTCAGGACATAGGCATGGGCAAAGACTTCATGACTAAAACACCAAAAGCAATGGCAACAAAAGCCAAAATTGACAAATGGGACATAATTAAACTAAAGAGCTTCTGCACGGCAAAAGAAACTACCATCAGAGTGAACATGCAACCTACAGAATGGGAGAAAAGTTTTGCAATCTACCCATCTGACAAAGGGCTATATCCATAATCTACAAAGAACTCAAACAAATTTACAAGAAAAAAACAAACCCCATCAAAAAGTGGGCAAAGGATTTGAAGAGACACTTCTCAAAAGAAAACATCTATGCAGTCAACAGACACATCAAAAAATGCTCATCATCACTTGTCATCAGAGAAATGCAAATCAAAAACACAATGAGATACCATCTCATGCCAGTTAGAATGGCAATCATTAAAAAGTCAGGAAACAACAGATGCTGGAGAGGATGTGGAGAAATAGGAACGCTTTTACACTGTTGGTGGGAGTGTAAATTAGTTCAACCATTGTGGAAGACAGTGTGGTGATTCCTCAAGGATCTAGAACTAGAAATACCATTTGACCCAGCAATCCCATTACTGGGTATATACCCAAAGGATTATAAATCATGCTACTATAATGACACATGTACACATATGTTTATTGTGGCACCATTCACAATAGCAAAGACTTGGAACCAACCCAAATGTCCATCAATGATAGACTGGATTAAGAAAATGTGGCACATATATAACATAGAATACTATGCAGCCATAAAAAAGGATGAGTTCATGTTCTTTGCAGGGGCATGGATGAAGCTGGAAACCTCCATTCTCAGCAAACTATCAAAAGGACAGAAAACCAAACACCGCATGTTCTCACTCGTAGGTGGGAATTGAACAATGAGATCACTTGGACACAGGGCAGGGAACGTCACACACTGGGGCCTGTTGGAGGGGGTGGGGGGTGGGGGAGGGATAGTATTAGCAGAAATACCTAATGTAAATGATGAGTTGATGGGTGCAGCAAACCAACATGGCACTGGTATACCTACGTATCAAACCTGCACATTGTGCACATGTACCCTAAAACTTAAAGTATAATTTAAAAAAATAGAATCAATTAAATCAGTGGCTTTCAAAAAAATTCAACATCTTTTGTCATTAGACACTCTCAATACATTAGATATAGAAGGAATATACCTCAACACAATAAAGGTCATATATGATAAGCCCACAGTAAATATACTCAACAGTGAAAAACTGAAATCCTTTTCTCTAAGATCTCGAAAACACAAGAATGCCTACTCTGATTATTTCTATTCAATGTAGAGTGGGAAGTCCTTGCCAAAGCAATTAGACAAGAGAAAGAAATAAAAGGCATCTAAATAGGAAAGGAAGTAGTGATATTATTATTGTTTGATGACAAGAACTTACATATAGAAAAACTACAAAGATTTCACCAAAAACTGTTAAGAGCTAATTTAAGAATATAATAAAGTTGTAGAATACAAACTCAACATACAAAAATTGGAGGTCTTTATGTACACTAACGATGGACATTCCAAAAGAGAACAATCCTATTTACAGTAGCCATAAAAATAATTTAGAAATAAATTTAATCAAGGAGATAGAGACCTGCACACTAAAAACTATAAAATGTTAATAAAATAAATTGAAAAAGACACAAATAAATGGAAAGATATCCCATGTTTATGGATTGGAAGAATTGACATTGTTTAAATGTCCATAATACCCGAAGTGATATACAGATTCAATGCAATCCCTATCAAAATTTCAATGTCATTTTTCATGGAAAAGAAAAAAACAATCCTAAAATTCATATGGAACCACAAAAACCCCAAATAGCCACAGCAATCATAAGGGAAAAAAAAAAAACTGGAGGCATCACACCACCTGACTTTATATTATAAAGCAGCATGGTACTGGCATAAAAATAGACTCATTGACTAATGGGAAAAAATACAGAGCCTGGAAATGAACCCATGCACATATGGAGAACTGATTTTCAACAAAGGTGCCATGAATATAGGAAAAAGTCAGTCCTTAATGAATTCTGTTGAAAAAAATTGGATATCCAGATGCAGAAGAATGAAATTAGACCCTTATCTCACACCATATGTAAAAATCACCTCAAAGTGGATTAAAGACTTAAACATAAGACCTGACACTATAAAACTACTAGGGGAAAACATTCTGGAAAAACTACCAGACACTGGTCTGGGCAATGATTTTCTAGATTTGACCCCAAAAGCACATTCAATAAAAGCAAAAAGAGATAAACAGGATTACCTCAAAATAAAAATCCTCCACACAACAAAGGAAACAACAGAGTGAAGAGACAACCTAAAGATCAGGAGAAAATAGCTGCAAGCCATGCAGCTGATTAGGGGTCAATATGTAAAATATGAGAGTCAATTCTATACAAAGAAAACAAATCTGATTTAAAAATAGGTAAGGGAACTGAATAGACATTTATCCAAAGAAGATCTACAAATGGCCAACAGATACTAGAAATATTGAGCATTTTTTCATAATTAGAGAAATATAAATTAAAACCACAATGAGATATCCCCATACACGTATCAGAATGGCTATTCAAAAGATGAAAGATAATGAGTATTAATGAGAATGTATAGAAATGGGAACACTTGGACACTATTGGTGGAAATATCAATTAGTATGGCCATTATAGAAAAATGTATAGAGGTTTCTCAAAAAACTAAACATAGAATTACATATGATTCAGCAATCCCACTTTAGAATATTTACTCAAAATACTTGAAATCAGTATATTGAAGAGATGTCTGCATTCCCATGTTCACTGCAGCACTATTCACAGTGGGAAAGTTATGGAGTCAGCCTAAGTGTCCATCAACAGAGGAATAGATAAAGAAAATATTGTATCACACATAATGGAATACTATTTAGTTAAAAAAACTTGTCATTTGTGGCAATACGGATGGAAGTAAAAAACATTATGCTAAACTAAATAAACCAGACACAGATGAAGATTGCATGTTCTTATTATATGTAGAATATAAAACACTCAAATGCAAAGAAGCACAGAATAGAATGGTAGTTACCGGGGGTGAAGGTGGGGGGGTGGTACAGGAGGAATGAGGAAGATGATGGTCAAAGAAAACAAAGCCTCAATTAGAAGAAATATTTCTTTTTCCTTTAGATGTATTGCATTGCAGACTGAATATAGCAAAATAACCTATTGTACATTTCAAAATCACTGAGAGTTAATTTCAAATGTTCTCACCACAAAAAATAAGTATTAAAGATAATGAACATATTAATTAGCTTGATTTAATTATTCCATATTATATTCATAAATATCACTTTGGGCCAGGCATGGTGGCTCATGCCTATAATCCCAGCACTTTGGAAGGCTGAGGCAGGTGGATCACCAGGTCAGGAGTTCGAGACCCACCTGAGTAGCATGGTAAAACCCCGTCTCTACTAAAAATACAAAAAAATTAGCCAGGCATGGTGGCACATGCCTGTAATTCCAGCTACACAGGAGGCTGAGGCAGGAGAATTGCTTGAACCCAGGAGGCAGAGGTTGCAGTGATCCAAGATCGCACCACTGCACTCCAGCCTGGGCTACAGAGTGAGACTCCATCTCTCAAAAAAAAAAATCACTTTGAACCCCATAATTACATGCAATTATAACTTGTCAATTTACAATTAAAAGTTTTTTTATAGGCCTGGCACAGTGGCTCATGCCTATCTCAGTATTTTGGGGGCTGAGATAAGAGAATTGCTTGAGCTCAGGAGTTCAAGACCAGCCTGGGCAACAGTGAGACCTCTTCTGTACTAAAAAACAAACAAACAAAACAAACACACAAACAACCTAATAAAAACATCTACGGGCCGGGTGTGGTGCCTTATACCTGTAATCCCAGCACTTTGGGAGGCCAAGCCTGCTGGATCATGAGGTCAGGGAGATAGAGACCATCCTAGCTAACATGTTGAAATCCTGTATCTACTAAAAATACAAAAAATTAGCCGGGCATGGTGGCACCACCTGTAGTCCCAGCTACTTGGGAGGTTGAGGCAGGAGAATCCCTTGAACCCGGGAAGCAGAGGTTGCAGTGAGCCGAGATCACGCCACTGCACTCCAGCCTGGGTGACAGAACGAAACTCTGTCTCAAAAAAACAAACATCTATGGTAGAGGATATTCCCAGTAATCAGGTGAATAAATTGACGTAGTTTGTGAATATCTTTCAACTTCTTTCTCCAACCACCCTAGTGCTTAATGGGCCTATGTACAAAGTGGCCATGGCGGCAGGGATATGGTGGCAGGATGCTATGCATGGGCTGAATAACATGGACTTTCCCTCACCAAGGCTGACATGGATACCACTGTTGTTGAGGCTAATCTATCAACATCAGAGATCAATGCTGAGCCCTTTGATGTGCCAGTACCCGCTAGGAGACTAGATAGATATCTGGTAGCAAATTGATTCCGTCAGTCTCTTCTTTATGAGGAATAGGCAAGGATTTATCCTCATTGGAATAGGTATGTATTCTGGATATGAATTGGGCTTCCCTGTTGATAATACACTGCCAGCGTCACAATTTGTGAACCTATGGATTGCCTCACTCAGAATTATGTGATTATACAAATGTTGCTGGTAACCAGGGAACTCATTTCAGAGCTAAAGAAGTGCACAATGGGCTCATGCCCATGGTGTTGATTAATCTCCCAGCACCAATCACCTAGAAGCAGTTGATCTAGTAGAATGCTAGAATAACCTAGTGAAGACTCAGTTATGGTGCGTTTGGAGACAATGCCCTGAAAGTATGGGGTTCTATTTTACAGGATGAAGTTTATAGTTTGAATTAGTGACCAATATTTGCTGCTGTCTCTCCCAAAGTCAGGATAGAAGGACCCAGAAATCAACATGCAGAATTGCATGTAATTCCCCTCACTATTAGTAACGTACTTGCAGAATTTTTGCTTTGAACTTTGCCAATTTAGAAGACATGGTTCCAAGGGAAAAATGTTTCTACCAGGGGACACAATGATGGTTCTATTGAATTAGAAGTTAGGGCTACCACCTGGCCATTTGGGGTTCTTCATGCTACTGATCCAACAGGCAAAGATGGGGTTAATCAACTGGCTGGGATGATTGACTCTGTTTACTAAGAGGAAATGGGGTTGCTGCCTACACCGGAGCTGGGAGGACTATGTTTGGAACCCAGAAATGTTTCCGCCTCAAAAGGGCAGGTCCACTGAAGATTCAGGTCCTTCAGAATGAGAGTTTGAGACATCAAACATCACCAGGTTAAAAACAACAGTAAAGACAACTTTGATCTGGTGAAGTTACGGCTGAGAACAAAAGAGACAAGGGATTGGTAGTGAAAGAAGAAAGTTATAAACTATTACCTTGGGACTAGTTATAGAAGTAATGACTAATGTATATATTTTCTGTTTATTGTATAAGTGAGCGTTCATCTCTGTACATATAAATACAAATTTTTCTTTCATATGCTTCCCCTTATTAATTTTCACAAATTTTGTTGGCAGGTAAGTTTACTATTTCCTCTTTAGGTGACCAAATATTCAGATGGAACTGTGACTGAACTTTGGGAGTAGTTATCATAGCCCAGAGATAAATCATTTATGGATGTGGATGCTCTTATTGTTGTAACTTTAGGCTCCTCATTTTGAGAAAAGGATGAGAACGTCTTCATTTGTAAAAAGGATAGTTGCATTTCTAAGTGAAAACATAGAGTTGTTTTTGTTGTTTGTAAGACACATAGAAGGATGCGAGCGTGCTGAATAGCTAAAGGGATGGATTTTGCCAGTTTCTGAGTTATTGTCCTTTAGCTTCAAACCCACTCTTCTAACTTAGCTTTGTGATGCTGGTGTTAGGACTCTACAAACTACATTCCTGCTTTGCCAGATGGTTTCCTTAGGCTCTGCCAATAGGGGATACTAGAGGAAAACTACTGGATTGGAGAAGGAAAAGCCTTGTTACTTCCAGTTTGCCTCTTATTCTTATTCCTATCAGTGTCCTCCAGGCTCTTTTCACTCTAGAAGCTGCCGCCCATTCTAGTAGCAGCAGTTGAAGCAAATTTACAGTTTCTAACATTTGCAAAACTAGCTGCATCATACTCACTCCACCTAAGACACACCAGCTGTCCACTGCCCCTCTCCTCAGAGGCCTGAATTTCAGCTACTCGGGGCACACTTTTAAAGTTTAATAATTTTAACCTCTTCCCGTTATTCCCTCAGCCCTAGAATTGATAGCTTCTTCCTGCATTTGCTACCTCTATGACATCTTATTGTTCTCTTTTGCTTTATCAGTTCTTCATAACTAATAAACAACTTTTCATCTTCTGTCAATGAAAATGACTGGTGTAGTTTCTGTCTTTTGAGAGTAGTTTCGGTCTTCTGACTGGAGTCAAGTTCAGCCTAAAACTGCCTTCTCACGTATTTTAAGTTCAGCTTAAAGGTTTCTCCATACAGAGAAATACTGTAAACCAGAGGTGTAAACAGATTATAACCTAACCTTGTTTCAATCAAGAAGTTTTGGCCAATTGAAGGCAGCCAGCTGTTCAAACCATGTTCAAATAAAGCAAACACGAAGATGTAATCAATCCAGCTGTTTCTGTACCTCAACTTCCATTTTCTGTATGTCACTTTCCTTTTCCTGTCCATAAATCATCTTCTACCACAGAGCTGTGCTGAAGTCTCTCTGAACCTATTTTGGTTTTGGGAATGCCTGATTTGCAAGTCCTTCTTAGTTCAATCAAACTGTTTAATTTGTCTATGGTTGTTTCTTTTAGCAACTCTAAGTGATTCAAGAGGTAAACTCAAGCTAGATCGTAAAGCATCTAACGATATGCATTGAGGAGTTTGGACTTACCTTAAACAAGATAGCATTGAAGGGTTTTTAAAGCAAGGAAGTGACATAATCAGATTTGAATTTGAGAAAAATTACCCTCATGGCACTCTAGAGAACAGATTGGAGGGGTCAATACTAGAGGAAGTTAGGAAGATATTGGGGAAATCCAGATGAGATAATAGGTTGAACTAAAGTGAAAATGTGGATAGAAAAAACTGAGTGAATGTAAGAGTTATTAAATAGAATAAACAAGACTTGGTGATAGGTTGAATAAAGGTGGGGAGGGAACAATAGGAATATATTTCATGCAGAGGTAAGGAAGAGAAAGACATCAAAGATGACACCCAGTTTCTGGTAATGACAGCTAGGTGATTGTTCATAAAAAGAAGCCCAGACAGGGTGATCAGGTTTAGGGCAATTGAATGAGTGGAGTTTTGAACTATGGTCTTTGGGTTTTAGGATAGCTAGGGGTAGATATGTAAGGAATGCTTGGATTCAGAGGTATGGAGCTCATGAGAGAGATGTAGCCTGGGGAGAGATCTGGATATCATCAAATACATGGTTCAGAGAGCCAAAGGAGTTGATGGAGTACCCACAGGGGGAATGGAGTAAGAAAGATCTAAGACCAAAATCCTAAGAACAAAATGTGAGGATGTTTGGTGTGGTACTTTGAGTAAGCAGGTGTTTCTTTTTCTTGCTTTCTTTCTTTCTTTTTTTTTTTTTTTGCAGACAGAGTCTCACTTTGTTGCCCAGGCTGGAGTGCAGTGGTGCATCTCCGCTCACTGCAAGCTCCATCCCCCAGGCTCATGCCATTCTCCTGCCTCAGCCTCCCAAGTAGCTGGAACTACAGGCGCCCACCACCATGCCTGCCTAATGTTTTTGTATTTTTAGTAGAGACAGGGTTTCACAGTGTTCACCAGGTTGGTTTTGATCTCCTGACCTTGTGATCCGCCTGCCTCGGCCTCCCAAAGTGCTAGGATTACAGGCGTGAGCCACCGCGCCCAGCCACAGGTGTTTCTTTTCATTCCTGAATTTGAAAGGTACCATTAACTGTGTCCAGAGTTAGGGCCCATTTACATGATCTCAGGAAATTTGCCCTGCAGTCTCCTTTTGGAAGAGTTACTATCATCTAGTGTTGATTGCCATGCCTGCACTATCTCCCTACACAGGGGACTCTACTGGGACAACCCTATTGGCATCACTATTTGATGACCAGTATGGGGTGCTTGTCTATGAGGAACTGACGCAGAGGTACCTAAAGGAATGCTTGGCACCCTACGAGCAACATGAGAACCTTTGAGTGGGTAAGACCACTGAAAAGCAAGTGTCTAAAGTGTCACTTGATGAGGACACAACCAATAGGTGCTGAGCCAGTAGGTTACCTTTAGCAATTCAATAACATTTTCCTCTGGGAGGAAGTGTAATGGGATAATGGTTAAAGGCATAGGTGCTAGGAAAACTAAAAAGGTTGAAATCCCATTTCTTGCTCTTATCAGCTATTCGACACCTAGCAAGTTACTTCATTCCTCTAAGCTTCAGATTATTCATCTATAAAACAAATAGCAAATCATAGGGAAATTGAGGTTTAAATAATTTATGTAACATGATCTATATAATAGATGAATAGCTATATACTATATGTAATCTAATAATAACCAATATAAATCTCAGTATGTGGCATACATTCTATGTTAACTACATGTGCTTGATGTCAGTTTATTGCCTCTCTTCTCCAAAGTGATTCTGCCTTACCAGCTCTGTGATGATGGAGATTTAAATATTTTTCCTTTGTAGTGAGAAAATATCTAGCTTTATCAGTGGAGAGTGCTGGAGGATCATTGTAAAAGCAGGGATTTATCTAGTGTGCTGCCATTTTTGCTTCTCCTTTGTTCCTACTGCACAGATGCCAGCAGCATGTGTGCTGGGACACCAGCATACTCCGCCTACCTGCATGTCCATGATGTGTAGTCTCTTGCCAAGCTTGTAGCCTGGCCTGGACTGGTGATCACCTCACCTGGCACTCAGGACATTATCAATGAACATCTCATGCTATGGGGCACCCTGCTCACAAGTAAACTCCAGATGCCCTGACTCCCTCTTAGTGCCTACCTGGCTATCAGCCTCTGCCCATCCATACCTGAGTTGCTTATTGTGTAACTCTAGACACAAACACTGTGCACTCCAAGCCACACATTTCCTTAGGCCTCATACCCTCTGTGTGCCTGTTACTATCCTCAACCTGCTTGCATTGCAAAAGGTTGTTAAGACGCCCAGATATCCACACTACATATCCATCTGTACACTGCCTTACCAGTGAGCAGAATCTCCAAACTCCCAATTCCTCTGTAAGCCTGCCTGCCTGCCAGCACCATCACACCTGCCAGAGGGTAGTTTCCTGCTTGCTTAGCAACTATACACTAGCTCTAGCCTGGGCAACACAGCAAATGCCTCTGCTATCTACTAGGTTCTGAATCCCAACCTTGGGAAGGGCCTCTCTTTCCAAGTTTGTTCTTCTGTGGGTACTCTGCCTTATCCCTAGGGTATTCCTTTGAGTTCTCTTTACAGCTTTATAACAGTTTTACAGTTACTTCCCTACTTAATACTTTTTATATTAAACTTTCCGTATTCAAATTGATCGTTTGTTCCAGAATGAACACTGACTACTATACTATTTTTAGATATTATTTTATTCAACTAATATTTATGGAGTCCCTGCAATGTGGCTGGCACTTTATAAGTATTGGTCAAACATCAGAGAACAAAACAAACTTTCTGACTTATGGAACTTGCATTCTCTATAGAAAGACTGAGATTGGGCTCTCTCCTCCTGCCACCCAAGATGCCAAAAAGAAAGGCCAATGGGAAGAAGCAGGTGGCCAAGAAAGTGGTGAATCCCCTGTTTGAGAAAAGAATTAAGAATTTTGGCATTGGACAGGACATCCAGCCCAAAAGGGAGCTCACCTACTTTATGAAATGGCCCCATTGTATCAGGTTGCAGCACCAGAGAGCCATCCTCTGTAAGTGGCTGAAAGCGCCTCCGGCGATTAACCAGTTCACCCAGGCCTTGGACCGCCAAACAGCTACTCAGCTTCTTAAGCTGGCCACTGACCAGAGAAAAAGCAAGAGAAGAAGCAGAGGCTGTTGGCCTGGGCTAAGAAGAAAGCTGCTGGCAAAGGATATGTCTCTGTTAAGAGATCACCTGTCCTTCAAGCAGGAATTAACACCATCACCACCTTGGTGGGGAACAAGAAGGCTCAGCTGGTGGTGACTGCACAGGACATGGATCCCATCGAGCTGGTGTCTTCCTGCCTGCCCTGTGTCATAACATGAGGGCCCCTTACTGCATTATCAAGGGAAAGGCAAGACTGGGGCATCTAGTCCACAGGAAGACCTGCACCATTGTAGCCTTCACACACAACAAAGGAGCTCTGGCTAAACTGTTGGAAGCTATCAGGATCAATTATAACGACAGATATGATGAGATTCCCCATCACTGGGGAGGCAACGTCCTGGGTCCCAAGTCTGGCTCACATTGCCAAGCTGGAGAAGCCAAAGGCTAAAGAACTTGCCACCAAATGGTTAAATGTACACTGTTGAGTTTTCTGTACATAAAAATAATTAAAATAATACAAATTCTCCTTTAAAAGAAGACTGAGATTGGGGCAACAGAGTTAAACAATGTGAGATGTGTCTTTGGGTCTAGAAGACATAAAGGTACCCTCACATGTTTCATAAAGCTAAGCTTTGAGAACAACTGCAATATTTTGAAGATATTCACTATACTATTTTACTGAAGTATTACAATGTTGCCTTTCTCCCTACTTTAGATTAGTCGGTTTAAAATATTATCTAATCCAAATCCCATTCATTCAAATGTTTTTACCATAATCTTTTTGTTTAGTCATATTTTAAAATCAAATTGCTATTGAGTGAGCTTATCTTACAAGTTCATTATGATATACATTTTAAATGTAAAATTTTACTATTCTTGTAGCCTGGTGCTTTGTTCTCCTTTCAGTCATCTAATGTGAGTGGCAGCATTTGTTAGATATGCCATTACTATGCAGATAGTTATTCTTTTAATGTTGCTTAGCAACAATTATTCAACATTCAGCTCCTTTCAGCTTTCGCACGGCTATATTTTGAAATCCTGAAAAGGGTGTACTATTTCAGGTATCTAGCATTGAACTCTATTATTTCTTTGCTAAAACATTATAAGCTAATCTTACAATTTGTACAAAAATAATACATTTCCTAAAGCCCATAACTGCCAACGGACCCCAGCACTTCTGCATGTTTCTGTAAGTCAGACTTAAAGATGTCTAAAATACTCAACTAGTTGGAATAAGTGAATTTATATTTCAAATTCATTAATCTCGAGAGTCAAAATGCATTCCTTGATCAAATAAGTTCTGAAAATAAAAGGGCAAAAAATGTAGTTAAACTAGATACATTTAACAGCCTCTTGAAATTCCATAATTTTATAGGAATCAAGTTGATATAACAAAGGTCCTGTAGTCTTTCCTCTATCAGGTCTCTTAACAAAAGGAAAATGCAAACAACCCTCAAGTGTTGTTCATTGTAAAACCAATTTTTTGAAACACATCAACATAAAATGCCAAGAGCTGGAAAATAAGGAGCTTTATAAAAAATGAAAGCAACAAATACAATCACAAAAGTAACCATTAGGTCAATTTTCCCTCTTAAGCAGATATATTCCTACATGACATATTAACCAAATTCTTGAAGTGTTATGAATAATTCAAAATTGGGGGGAGTTGGATTACATTGAAAGGGAGCTAATCACTATAAATGAAAGAACCTGTGGTTGATCCTTAATTGAAATAATTATTTTCCTATTTTTTTAGTTTTACTCACTCAAGGTATGTTGTTGGTTTAGTTTGTTTTTAATATAGCAGTGAAAGTCAAGCCCAGAAACCCATCAGAATTTCCTAGACAGCTTTTTTTAAAACTACAAATGCGGTGGCTCACGCCTGTAATCCCAGCACTTTGGGAGGCTGAGGCGGGCGGATCACGAGGTCAGGAGATCGAGACCATCCTGGCTAACACAGTGAAACCCCGTCTTTACTAAAAATACAAAAAATTAGCCAAGCGTGGTGGTGGGTGCCTGTAGTCCCAGCTACTCAGGAGGCTGAGGCAGGAGAATGGCATGAACCTAGGAGGTGGAGGTTGCAGTGAGCCGAGATCGCACCACTGCACTCCAGCCTGGGCGACAGAGCGAGACTCCGTCTCAAAAACAAAAAACAAAAAAAACTACCAATGCCTAGGCTCTATCCTACACCATTTCTTCAGGGTGGGCACCCAGCAATTTGTATTTTTTAAAAATCCACCATTGTACTCAATGGTAAAACACTGTCATTTATAAGGCTCAATATGCATTGGGAGAAGGAGGAGGGGTTCCATATCGTGTCCACTCTTTCTTTCCTTGATCTTGAGCAAATGTCTCCAAATGCCTTTGGACTGTCCATTTAGAGATTACACTTTATCTCTCTTTCCCATGCCCACACTTTGAACAATTATCTTTTCCACTCCAGAAGTTTTTAGTAGCTTAAAAATGGAAGTCAACGACATATACATACAATTTGAAGAATAATTATAAACACTCATATAAACATAACACAGCTTAGAATATGAAACATTGCCCCCCAGGATCCGAGAAGACCCCATGTCCCCATTTCCAGTCACAACCTTGTTAGTGGAGTTAACCACTATTTAATTTTTGTGATAGTAATTTGCTTGCTTTCTTTAACGTTTTACCATGAATACCTGCATTCCTCACGATATTGTTGTTTTGCCTGTTTTTCAGTTTTGTACTAATGCATTCACACCATATTTATTTGACTTCTTTCTTCAGTGTATATGAAAATAATAGTTCATTCAGGTTTGCTGCTATATGACTATATCATAACTTTTTTTCCATTCTACTATTGAGGGACATTAGCATTGTTTCTGGTTTGACAAAAACAAGCAATGGGGAAAGGATTCCCTAGCTAATAAATGGTGTTAGGGAAACTGGCTAGCCATATGCAGAAAACTGAAACTGGACCCCTTCCTTATACCTTACACAAAAATTAACTCAAGATTGATTAAAGACTTAAACATAAGACCTAAAACCATAAAAACCCTAGAAAACTGAAGCTGCTAAAATAATTCTTATATGAACATTCTTGTATAGTACCCTAATTCACACATGCACAAAATTGTCTAGAACTGGTTTTGTGGGTTGCAAAGTAATAGTAACAGCAATAACAATAATAAATGCTTTGTAGTGTTTATTACATTCCAGGTACTGTTCTGAACATTTCACACAGACTAGCTCATTTAATGCTCACAACACTATGAAAGCAAAAATTGGTTTTGGGGTGGGGAGACAAACTTTACTTTTATGAATCAAGTCACATGTTCAAGGTGAAAAAGCTAGGAAAATGGAATTCAAATCAATGCAGTTGGCAGAAGTGTCTGTACTCAACCATCATACTACAGTGTAATACCATGAATGCAGTAACATGAAAAATGCAATAGTATTATGCATAATAATCTTCAAATTTACTAGAGAATATCAAAATGTATTCCAAAGACATTATACTAATCTACACTCCCACCAGCAGGATAAGAGTTTTTATTATTTCCTTATCTTTGTCAACACTTGTTATTGTCAGACTTTATTTTATTAAACCTGGAAGTTGTGTAATGTAATCTGATTGTAATTTCTATTTAAGTTTCCCTATTACAAATGAGGCCAAGGATTTTCTTCTGTTAACTGACCATGTAAATTTCCTTATTTGTGAACTTACTGTTCAATATCTTTGCCCATTTTCTATTGGAATTTACCCCTTTTTCATTGATTTATAGGAGTTCTTCAGATGTTGTTGGCCATTAATATGTGTAGCAACGATCTTTTTATACTCTGAGGCTTGTGTCTGCATTCTTTACTACTTTTAATAATAAGCTTTATGTTAATCAGACTTATTCATTTTGTTCTTTAGAACTTGTTGTCTTATTTTAAAAGTTCTCTCCTACTCCAATATTTTGAAGATACTCTGTATTATTTTCTTGCAGTGTTGTAATACTGCCTTTCATATTTTGATCTTTAAGAAACCTATAACCAATTTGAGATACCAAAGTTTATTTTTTCCTAGAAAAATACCACTTTCCAGAACAGTTTATTGAAAATTAGTCATTTCTCCACTATACTGCAGTACATCATTGCCATAAGTCAAGGCACCCTATAATAAAAGGCTATAATATCTTAATAATTAAAGCTATATTTTGACATCTGGTAGGGTAAGTTTGATTATATTGTCTTTAAGGGTGACTTGGTTATCCTTGGCCCTTTACAATTCCATATAAATTTTAAAATAAGCTTGTCAATTAAAAATAAAAACATTTAGAAATTAGATGAAGACTGTGTTGAAACTACAGACTATTTGGAAACAAGGTATTTACAATATTAAATATTCTAATCCTTGACTGTGGAGTGCCACTTCCTTTAAGACTTCTTTAGTGTCTTTAAGTAAAAAGTTTACAATTTCCTCCAGAAATTTTTTTTTAGTATAGTTAATTCCAATTATTATTTTTAATTTTTTAAAATTAAGTTCTGAGGTACATGTGCAGAACATGCAGGTTAGTTACATAGGTATACACGTGCCATGGTGGTTTGCTGCACCCATCAACCTGTGATCTATAATAGGTATTTCTCCTAATCCTATGCCTCCCATAGCCCCCCACCATCTGACACACCCCCAGTGTGTGATGTTCCCCTCCCTATGTCCATGTGTTCTCATTCTTCAACTCCCACTTATGAGTGAGAACATGCAGTGTTTGGTTTTCTGTTCTTGTGTTAGTTTGGTGAGAATGATGGTTTCCAGCTTCATCCATGTCCCTGCAAAGGACATTAACTCATCCTTTTTTACGGCTACATAGTATTCCATGGTATATATGTGCCACATTTTGTTTATCCAGTGTATCATTGATGGGCATTTGGGTTGTTTCCAAGTCTTTGCTATTGTGAACAGTGTCGCAGTAAACATGTGTGCATGTGTCTTTATAGTAGAATGATTTATAATCCTTTGGGTATATACCTAGTAATGGGATTGCTGGGTCAAATGGTATTTCTGGTTCTAAATCTTTGAGCAATAGCCACTGTATTCCACAGTGGTTGAACTAGTTTATACTCCCCCCAACAGTGTAAAAGTGTTCCTATTTCTCCACATCCTCTCCAGCATCTGTTGTTTCCTGACTTTTTAATGATCGCCATTCTAACAGGAGTGAGATGGTATCTCATTGTGGTTTTTGATTTGCATTTCCCTAATGACCAGTGATGATGAGCTTTTTTTCATACGTTGGCCACATAAATGTCATCTTTTGAGAAGTGTGTGTTCGTATCCTTTGCCCATTTTTTTGATGGGGTTGTTTTTTTCTTATAAATTTGTTTAAGTTCTTTGTAGATTCTGGATATTAGCCCTTTTCAGATGGATAGATTACAAAATTTTTTCCCCATTCTGTAGGTTGTCTGTTCACATTGATGATGAGCTTCTGCACAGCAAAAGAAATTTTTAGTTTAATTAAATCCCAATTGTCAATTTTGGCTTTTGTTGCCATTGCTTTTGGTGTTTTAGTCATGAAGACTTTGCCCGTGCCTATGTCCTGAATGGTATTGCCTAAGTTTTCTTCTAGGCTTTTTATGCTTTTAGGTCTTACATTTAAGTCTTTCATCCATCTTGAGTTAATTTTTGTATAAGGTGTAAGGAAGGAGTCCAGTTTCAGTTTTCTGAATATGGCTAGCCAGTTTTCCCAGAACCATTTATTAAATAGGGAATCCTTTTCCCATTGGTTGTTTTTGTCAGGTTTGTCAAAGATCAGATGGTTGTAGATGTGTGGTGTTATTTCTGAGGCCTCTGTTCTGTTCCATTGGTCTATATATCTGTGCTGGTACCAGTACCATGCTGTTTTGGTTACTGTAGCCTTGTAGTATAGTTTGAAGTCAGGTAGCGTGATGCCTCCAGCTGTGTTCTTTTTGCTTAGGATTCTCTTTCTTCCGCTGATCAGTTCGGCTATTGATAGTTGTGTATGCTTCACAAAGTTCTCGTGCTGTTTTTCAGCTCCATCAGGTCATTTATGTTCTTCTCTAAACTGGTTACTCTAGTTACCAGTTCACCTAACCTTTTTTCAAAGTTCTTACCTTCCTTGCATTGGGTTAGAACATGTTCCTTTAGCTCGGAGGAGTTTGTTATTACCCACCTTCTGAAGCCTACTTCTGTCAATTTGTCAAACTCATTCTCCATCAGGTTATGTTCCCCTGCTGGTGAGGAGTTGTGATCCTTTGGAGGAGAAGCAGCATTCTGGTTTTTGGAATTTTCACCCTTTTTGCGCTGGTTTCTCCCCATCTTCCTGGATTTATCTGCCTTTGTTCTTTGATGCTGGTGGCCTTCAGATGGGGTTTTTGTGTGGACCTCCTTTTTGTTGATGTTGATGCTCTCATCCTTTCTGTTAGTTTTCCTTCTGTGAGTCAGGCCCCTCTGCTGCAGGTCTGTTGGAGTTTCCTGGAGGCCCACTCCAGGCTCTGTTTGCCTGGGTATCACCAGCAGAGGCTGCAGAACAGCACAGATTGCTGCCTGTTCTTTCCTCTGTAAGCTTCGTCTCAGAGGGGCACCTGCCAGATGCCAGGCGGAGCTCTCCTGTCTGTCGACCACTGCTGGGAAATGTCTCCCCGTCAGGAGGCATGGGGGTCAGGGACCCACTTGAGAAGCAGTTCTGTCCCTTAGCAGAGCTCAAGCGCTGTGCTCAAAGAACTGCTGCTCTCTTCAGAGCCAGCAGGCAGGAATGCTTAAGTCTGCTGAATCTGTACTCACAGCCGCCCCTTCCCCTAGGTGCTCTGTCCCAGGGAGAATAGGGGTTTTCCCTCCAGAGAATTTTTAACATCTTTTTCTAAATTGGTTTCTAAGTATTTAATATTTGTTGATAAAATACTTACAAATTTTCATGCTGCTTTTTGCTGCTACACAGAAATTCAATTGATAGCAATTATTGCATCCAGCAAACTTCTCTTATTCATCTGAATTTGTGGAAATTTGTGGATTCTTCTAGATTTTCTACATATACAATTACATTTTCAGAGACCATCAGTTTTGAATTCAGAAGAAGAAATGACAGATATCTTTGTCTTTTTCTCAATCTTAAAGACAAAGCTTTCAACGATTCATCATGTTTGCTGCTGATGTTCAGTAGAAACCCTTTCATTGATAAAGTGGCCTTTATACCTGGTTTGCTAAAAGCATTTTTATCATGAATGGATACTGAATGTTAGCAAATGCTTTTTCTCCATCTAATGAGATGGTCATAATTAAATCTCTTTTAATTTATGTGATCATAGTAATTGATTTTTTTATGTAAAAACAACTTTGGATTCCTGGCATAAACCCAACTAGTTCCTGATGAATCATCCTTTGCTGAATTTGTCTTGCTAATACTTAGTTTAGAATTTTGAATCTATGTTCCTAAGTGAAATTGGCCAGTAATTTTCCTTTTTCATACTTCATTTGGTTTCAGGTATTTGCTGGGCCCATATAGTTAAGGAGTACCCCTCTTTTCTGAAAAGGCTTAAGTTTGGAATTACTTTTTGAATACTTGTTAGTACTCACCAAATAAGTTGTTTAGGCATGGAATTTTCTTTCTGGGAATATTGTAAATTATTGATTCAGTTATTTTGACGGCTATTGAACTATTGTATATTTCGGTAAGCTATGTTTTTATTAAAATTCATCAGTTTCTTCTACATGTTACAAACTTATTGGTTTTAAGTTATTCATAATAATATATTTAACATCATAATAGGAATATTTATGTCCTCTTCTTCATTCTAGACACAGGATATGTGTGCCTGCTTTTTTCCTTAACTTTGTCAGAGGTTTATCAGTGTTAGAAATCTTTTTCAAAGATAAAACCTTAAAATAAAATTCTGCTCGTCTTTATTGCCTTCTAGTTTCTTTCAGCTTATTTTGTGTTGTTTTTCTATAACTTAAGATATATGCTTCTTTCATTTAGTCTTTCCTTCTGCTAGACACGTTTAAATCTATCAATTTCTTCCAAGTGCTGTTTTAGCTGCAACACATACATTTTAAGTATTTTCACCACTGTCCAGTTCCACTTATATTTTAGGTTAGATGAGCATTTCTTTGACACATGGGTTACCTTGAATTGCGTTAACATCCTCAAATATGAGGCTGCTTAATCATTTACTTACCAGGTAATGCCAAACTTTTTTTTTTTTTTTTTTTTGAGACAAGAATCTTGCTCTGTCACCCAGGCTGGAGTGCAGTGGCATGATCTCAGCTCATTGCAACCTCTGCCTCCTGGGTTCAAGCAACTCTCCTGCTTCAGTCAGCCTCCCAAGTAGCTGGGATTACAGGCATGCACCACCACACCCAACTAATTTTTGTATTTTTAGCAGACACTGGGTTTCACCGTGTTGGTCAGACTTGTCTCAAACTCCTGACCTCAAGCGATCCACCCACCTTGGCCTCCCAAAGTGCTGGGATTACAGGCGTGAGCCACTGCACCTGGTCAGTAACGTCAATTTTGAATTACCTTCCTAGTGGACTGAAATTTTCATTATATGACTCTTTCCCTAGCAATTTCTTTTTTCCAATACTAATATATCTACATCAGCTTCCTTTTGGTTTGTATAATTTTACCCATCACCTTACTTTCCAAATGTTTGTATTTTATGGTTTAGGTGTTGTCTTTTATAACAGTATATAATTGGTTTCATTTTTTAATCAGTTAACAATCTGCCTTTAACTGGATAACTCAGTCCATTTACATTTAATGTAATTACTCACATTTTGGTTATGTCTACTAATACTGTCTCATTTTTTTCTACTTATTCTGTTCCTTCTATTTCTCTTATAATTTTTTTCTATTTCATTTTTCCACTCTACTAGTTTTGAAGTTATATATTCATTTCTATGTAACAATCATTTGTAGTGGTTCCACTAGAAATTACATCTATACTTACATCTGTTAATATCTTTTTTCTACTTATTCTGTTCCTTCTATGGTTTTTTCTATTTCTTATTTTATAATTATTTTTCCTGTTTCATTTTTCCATTGTACTAGCTTGAAAGTTAAATATTCATTTCTATATAGCAGTCATTTGTAGTAGTTACACTAGAAATCACATCTATATTTACAATTAATCAGTACATTTTATTCACTTCTCACACCATCTAAACTTAAAGCACTTCCTTCAATCATTACCATACCAATTGATGTATTATTCCTGTATATTTTTAAATCTCTCATTTTTAACCCCATGAAACATCAATATTCAATATAATAAAAGCTCCTTCAGAGTCATCCATTTTTACAATCTAATTGGTATTTTATTTCTTCTCATTACACAAATAAAGCACATCCTTTTTTATTAAAAAAAAACTTTTTAAGTTCAGAGGTATATGTGCAGGTTACCTAGGTAAACTTGTGTCATAGAGGTTTGTCGTGTAGATTACTTTGTCAGGTATTAAGCCTAGTACCCATTAGTTGTTTTTCCTGATCCTCTCCCTCCTGCCACTCCCCACCCTCCAACAGGCCCCAGTGTCTGTTGTTCCCCTCCATGTGTCCATGTGTTCTCATCACTTAGCTTCCACTTATAAATAAGAATATGTGGCATATGGTTTTCTGTTTCTGCATTATTTTGCCAAGGATAGTGGCTTCCAGCTCCATCAACATTCCTGCAAAAGACATGATCTCATTCTCTTTTATGGCTGAATAGTATTCCACAGTGTATATGTACCAGATTTTCTTTTTACACTTCCACCAACAGTGTATAAGCATTCCTTTTTCTCCATAACCTCACCAGCATGTTATTTTTTGACTTCTTAACAGTAGCCCTTCTGACTGGTGTGAGATAGTTTCTCATTGTGGTTTTGATTTGCATTTATCTAATGATCCATGATGTTAAGCTTTTCTTATATGCTTGCTGGCCACAGGTACATCGTCTTTGGAAGAGTGTCTGCTCATGTCTTTTGTCCACATCTTAATGGGGTTGTATTTTTCTTGTAGATTTAAGTTCCTTCCAGATAGTGGATATTAGAACTTTGTCAAATACATAGTTTGCAAATACTTTCTCCCATTCTGTAGGCTCCCTGTTTGTGCAGCTCTTTAGTTGGAATTAAATCCCATTTGTAAATTTTTGCTTTTGTTGCATTTGTTTTTGGCATCTTCATCATGAAATCCTTATCCGTGCCTATGTCCTGAATAATATTGCCTAGGTTGTTTTCTAGGGCTTTTATAGTTTTGGGCTTTCCATTTAAGTCTTTAATCCATCTTGAGTTGATTTTTGTATATGGTATAAGGAGTCCAGTTTCAATCTTCTGCGTATGGCTAGCCAGTTATCCCAGCACCATTTACTTATGGGGAGTCCTTTCTCCATTGCTTGCTTCTGTCATGTTTGTGGGAGATCAGATGGTTGTAGCTGTTTAGCTTAATTTCCAGGCTCTCTATTCTGTTCCACTGGTCTATATGTCTGTTTTTGTATTAGTATCATGCGTTTTGGCTACCGTAGTCATGTAGTGTAGTTTGAAGTCGGGTAGTGTAATGCCTCCAGCTTTGTTCTTTTTGCACAGGAGTGCCTTGGCTATTTGGGCTCCTTTTTGGTTCTGCATGAATTTTAAAATAGTTTTTCCTAGTTCTGTGAGGATGTTATTGGTAGTGTAATAGGAATAGCATTGAATGTACAAACTGCTTTGGGCTGCTATAAGGTCATTTTAATAAAATTGATTCTTCTTATCCATGAGCATGGAATTTTTTTCCATTTGTTTGTATCATCTCTGATTTCTCTGAGCACTGTTTTGCAGTTCTCCATGTAGAGATCTTTCACCTCCTGGTTCACTGTATTCCTAGGTATTTTATTCTTTTTGTGGCAACTGTGAATAGGATTGCATTCCTGATTTCACTCTTGGCTTGACTGTAGTTGGTGTATAGGAATGCTACTGATTTTTGTATGTTATGTATCCTGAGATTTTGCTGAAGTTGCTTCAGCTTCAGAAGCTTTTGGGCTGAGATTATGGTGTTTTCTAGATACAAAATCATGTCATCTACAAACAGAAATAGACTTCCTCCTTCCTATTTAGATGCCCTTTCTCTTGCCTGGTTGCTCTGGCCAGGACTCTAATACTATGTTGCATAGGAGTAGTGAGAGAGAGAGAGTATGCTTTTGCCCATTCAGTATGATGTTGGCTGTAGGCTTGTCATAGATGGCTCTTATAATTTTGAGGTATGTTCCTTCAATACCTACTTTATTGAGAGTTTTTAACATGAAGAGTTGTTGAATTTTATCGAAAGCCTTTTCAAACCACATCCTTTATAATTTCCTTTAGTGAGAATCCGCAGGTGGCAACCTTGCTCATATTTTGTTGTCTGACACTATCTTTTTTCTACCTTCATTCCTGAAATACACTTGCTAGGTATATAATTTTAAAATGGAATTTATTTCTCTCAACACATTAGGGATAGTCATTCAACTGGTTTCTGATTTCCATTATTGTTCTTGAGAAGTCAGCTTAAGATTAGTTGTGAGGAAGATTCACTGTGCACTGCTTACCACTTTAGCCCACTGCATCTTGCACTGCAGTCTCTACTACTTCCAAGAGTCTGGTGAGACAGGACATTCACACACATGTTTCATGAAGTCGTCTTATTAATTGTAGGTAGGCAGTAAGGAAAAACAGTAGCCCAGGATTCATGACAAGCAAGTCTCCAAAGGCTGAGGAAAGCTGCCTAGGGCAGATTGGGACTCATCTGTGCATACTCTACTTGCACTGTCACGGAGAGCCCCTGGATTTTGAAAGCCGTACCCCCTAGGAGGTGACATGGGCCGCTGGGTTAAAGTGGTGAAGGACACCCTGTTCCAGGAGGGACAGGAACAGAGCCTGGGCTGTTCTGGACAATTCTTTATTAGGATGTTGTATTCCTGGCACATTTCTACAAGAACTACAAGTGAGAAAGTGGAGAATAGCTGGGTCACCAAAGCCATCCAGGGACTTGTCCTGTACTAGCTGAGGTTCCCTTGTGACTTTTGTTTCGGCTGCTTTTACAAGTTATTGGCATTCTGCTGCTTCAATACGGTATGTCTAAGAATGAGGATTTTATATCTATCCTGCTTAGGATAAATCCATAGACTATGTGTTTCATTGATTTGAAAAAGTCTCAGGAAATATAGCTTCAAATATTGGTTCTGCCTCGGTATCTATCTGAAACTATTAGATATACATGACACTCTTGTGTTTTAACCACCTCTCATATTCTCAAGTTTGTTTTTCATGCGGAATTCTGGATACTTTCTTTTGGTTCTGTATTGCAGTCACTAATTCTCATTATTTCAAGTCCATCTTGTCTTTTGAACTTATCCATTAGGGTTAATTTTTTAATTTTAGTTATTCTATTTTCTACTTCTATAAGAAGTTCCATTTGGTTCTTTTTCAAATATGCCAGCCTACTTTTTATAATGCCTTGTTTCTTGCAGATATTTCCAAATAACTTTTAAGTTTAAACATGTGAACACGTTTTATATTATACATGTGTTAATTCCAATATCTGAGTTTTCTGGTGGTCTGTCTCTGCTGCCTCTTAGTCATGGTGCTAGCTTTCCATGTGGAGTCTGCTTGTTTACTGAAACTTGAGGATTCACTTTTCTGGAAATTATCTGTGACCCGAGTATCCTCAAAAGCTTGTTTACATTTGTCAGGTACTCATTCTGGGGCCATATATTAAATTTATAGCTTAAGTTTTGTTTTAGTACACAGATGACTTGAATCCAGGATAGCCTGCAATTCTGTACAAGTACTGGAGCAAGTTTTCTTCTGGCTCACTCTAACCCTGAGGGTATATATAGTCTTTAGGGTCCTGTCTTTCTGGAAAAACCGTTTATGACTCTCCAACTTACGTGGGTTCTGTGCTTTGTCTTCTGCCCACTGTGTCCCAAAGGACCATCAAAACCAAAGTAGAAATTCATCTTAGGGTAAAAGAGGCTTTGCCAGTTTCACTTAGCAATATTGGCCTTATAATTAATCTCTTAGGGTATTGCCAGCTCCTAGAAGCTTCTAAAAAATACTTTTTCTACTCTACCTAAAAGTTTTCATTTTCAGCAGAACTGCTCAGATTAGCATTGTTTGCCACATTACTGAAAAGAAAATCTAAAATTTTATTTAAAATCCCATATATTTCATAGCATCATTTTCTCACCTATCAATGTCAGGAAATGTTCCATGTCATTAAAAATTCTTCATAAACCTACATTTAAACTACTTCGTTATACATGTCATCACAACTCACTTAACCTTTTAAGTATTTGGGGGAGTTCTGCTGTTCCAAATTCACTCAAATATCATTTTTAATAACATGATTATGTGAAAAACTGCACATTCCTGAATATCTTTTCTTTAGGATAGAATCTTAGAAATAAAATTTACGGGTTCAAAAAGTACCAATGTTCTTAAAGTTCTTAATATATATTTCCAATTTATTTTCAATAAGCTGTATCAGATTCCTCTCAACCACCAAGTACAATGGTAAGAAGCCAATTGTGCCATGTATCACTACCATTAAGTACAATCCAAACACCCTCCTCCACTCCAAATGTTAAGCAGGGAAATAGGATTTGCATATCACTAAGGTGACTGGCTGCAAGTAACATACTAAAAAAACAGGCTGGAGACAAGAAAGCCATATATAGATTGCTACAGAAAAAAATTGTAAGTCTAAAGTATCAGACTAATAGTCAGAAAAGGGGGAATGAGTGATTTTGAGACAGTAAGGCAGTACAGTGTATCAGCCCTAACTATATAATAAGCTGCCCCAGAATGTACTGATTTAAAAGAACTGCCATTAATTTAGCTTGTAATTGGCAATTTGGACTGGGATTAGCTGTCATGGCTAAGCTCACTCATATAAATGTGGTTGGCTGAGAGCTGGCTGGTCTAGGATGACTCACCTTTGCTCCACATGATCTGATCCTCTGGTAGGCCAGCCCTAGTTTGCTCACATGGCAGTTGGACAGATGTCCAATAGTGCCGGCAGAAGTATGCAAGGCTCTGAGGGCCCAGAACCTAAGTTTGCATAATATTACTCCCTCATTCTTTTGAGCAAATCAAGTCACAAGGCCTGCAGATTTGAATAACTGAAAAACAGATTAATAGGCACTGCAAAGTTACCTTGCAAAGGGCATGGGTACAAGGAGTGGTAGAGAACTATGAGCATTTTGTGATCCACCATGTAGTGTT
This sequence comes from Homo sapiens, assembly GCF_000001405.40. NCBI lineage: Eukaryota > Metazoa > Chordata > Mammalia > Primates > Hominidae > Homo > Homo sapiens. Next base: position 97,186,987 of record NC_000007.14, on the reverse strand, counting down.
GTCAGAATTGCTGAATAATGAGGAAGAGGCCTGTAGGGAAATGGTGAAATCGAAGCAAAATTGCAAAAATCTGAACTGGTAAACTGTGTACATGTTATTTTTTTTATTTTTATTTTTTATTATACTTTAAGTTCTAGGGTACATGTGCACAATGTGTAGGTTTGTTACATATGTATACATGTGCCATGTTGGTGTGCTGCACCCATTAACTCGTCATTGCGCATATGTTGTTATTCACTGAAAAGGGAAGAGAAGTATATTTGATTTTAAACATGAGTTGGAAATGTCAGTCTCAAACACAGATCTGAAGTTCACAAATGAGATTAAGAAGCTCCATCAAAAACTACAAGAACTGATAAAAATCAGTAAAACTGCAAGATACAAAATCAACATATAAAAATTAGTAACATCTCTATATGCCAAAAGTGAACAATCTGAAAATTTTTTTTAATCCCATTTACAATAGTTACAAATAAAATTAAATACCTAGGAATTAACCCTTTAACCAAGAAGTAAATGATCTCTACAATGAAAACTATAAAACAATGAAAAAAATTGAAGAGGACACAAACTATGGAAAGATATTCCATGTTCATGGATTGGAAGACTCAATATCATTAAAATGTCCATATTAACAGATTCAATGCAATCCCTATCAATGCCATTCTTCACAGAAACAGGAAAAATTCTAAAAATTATGTGGAACCACAAAAGACCCAGAATAGCAAAAGTTATCATGAGCATAAAGAAGAAAACTGGAGAAATCACATTACCTGACTTCACATTCTACTACAGAACTATAGAAACCAAAACAGCATGGTACTGGAATAAAAACAGACACATAGAACAATGGAAAGAAATAGAGAATCCAGTAATAAATCCACACATCTCCATACATCTACTGGCCAGGCAAAATGGCTCATGCCTATAATCCCAGCATTTTGGGAGGCTGAGGCGGGCGGATCACTTGAGGCCAGGAGTTCGGGACCAGCCTGATCAACATGGTGGAACCCCATCTCTACCAAAAATGTAAACACTAGCCAGGCATGGTGGCACATGCCTGTAGTCCCAGCTACTCAGGAGGCTGAAGCACAAGAATCACTTGAACCTGGGAGGTGGAGGTTGCAGTGAGCCAAGATCATGCCACTGCATTCCAGCCTGGGTGACAGTGACACTCTGTTTAAAAAAAAGAAAGAAAAAAACAAAAAACCCCCACACATCTATAGTGAACTTATTGTTGACAAAGGTGCCAGGAACATACATGGGAGAAAAGACAGTCTTTTCAATAAATGGTAGCGGGGAAAACTGGATATCCATATGCAGAAGAATGAAACTTGACCCCTATTTCTCACCATATACAAAAATCAAATCAAAATGGATTAAAGACTTAAATCCAACACCTCAAATTGTGGAACTACCATAAGAAAACACTGAAGAAAATATCCAGGGCATTGGTCTGGACAGAAACGTGAGTAATACCCCACAAGCACAGGCAACCAAAGCAAAAATGGACAAATGGGATTATAGTACATTAAAAAGCTTCTGCACAGCAAAGGAAATAATAAAGTGAAGAGAACCCAGGGAATGGGAGAAAATATTTCCAAACTATCCATCTGACAAGGGAGTCATAACCAGAATATATAAGGAGTTCAAACAACTCTATAAGAAAAAAATCTAATAATCAGATTTAAAAATGGGCAAAAGATCTGGTAGACATTTCTCAAAAGAAGACATTTAAATGGCAAACAGGCATATAAACAGGTGTTCAAAATCACTGATCATCAGTGAACTGCAAATCAAAACTACAATGAGATAGCATGTCACCCCAGTTAAAATGGCTTTTATCCAAAAGACGGGCAATAACAAATGCTGATGAGAATGTGGAGAAAAGGGAACCCTTGTGCAGCTTAGGTGGGAATGTAAATTAGTACAACCACTATGGAGAACAGTTTGGAGGTTCTTAAAAAAACTAAAAATAGAGCTAGCATATGATCCAGCAATCCCATTGATGGATACAGATGACAAATAAGAAAAGTCAGTATACTAAAGAGATATCTGCACTCTCAAATTGCAGCATTCTTCACAATAGCCAAGTTATGGAATCAGCGTAAGTGTCCATCAACAGATGAATGGATAAAGAAAATGTGGTATACAATAGAGTACTATTCAGTTATAAAAAAGAATGAGATCCTGTCATTTGCAACAACATGGATGGAACTGGAGGTCAGTATGTTAAGTGAAATAAGGAATGAATAATACCTAGTATTTCACAGCACAAGGTGACTATAGTCAATAATTGTACATTTAAAAATAAGTATAACTGGATTGTTTATAACACAAAAGATAAATGTTTGAGGGGATGAATAGCCCATTTTCCATGTGATTATTACACATTGCATGCCTGTATTAAAATTATCTCATGTACCCCATAAATACATACATCTATGTATCCACAAAAATTAAAAATTTTAAAATGAGATTTAGGTTGGTGTTAGTGATTTAAGAGTAGAGCTAATATTTGAAGCAACAAATGTGTAATGTGAGAGTCCTGAGGATGAAATCCCACAGAACATCATATTTTTAAAAGTGGGGGTAGGGAGGAGAAAATTTATAATCTAAAGGAGAAGTAGGCAGTATAAAAAGCAGAAGTGGTTTAAAAGCAGAAGACAGTAATACTATCAAATCTTCAACTTATCAACCTTACAGTGATTAATATCCCATTGATTTTGGCAAGTGAGTGGTTACCCTGGCTAGAGCAGCAGGTGAAGTAAAAGAAAAAGACATGGGGCCGGGCGCGGTGGCTCACGCCTGTAATCCCAGCACTTTGGGAGGCCGAGGCGGGCGGATCACGAGGTCACGAGATCGAGACCATCCCGGCTAAAACGGTGAAACCCCGTCTCTACTAAAAATACAAAAAATGAGCCGGGCGTGGTGGCGGGCGCCTGTAGTCCCAGCTACTTGGGAGGCTGAGGCAGGAGAATGGCGTGAACCCGGGAGGCGGAGCTTGCAGTGAGCCGAGATCCCGCCACTGCACTCCAGCCTGGGCGACAGAGCGAGACTCTGTCTCAAAAAAAAAAAAAAAAAAAGACATGGAAGGTACTGCTCAGTGGCTGGCTGAAGTGAAGGATCACAGAAACTAGGGAGTCTGTAATGGAAATAAAAGCACTAGTAGAATGACATTGAAGGCACCAAGTAGTCAAAGGACTGATAAGTTTATGTATCAGTTTACTGTTAAAGACCACTCCCTATTACCCAAACTTTTAGTTCACGAACTTGGTGTCCCAGTATTTGCACAGTACATCTAGGCAAAACAGCAAACAAAACTTAGTTTTGTTTATTAAGTAGTCCAAACAACTTATTTGTGCCAAAACAATTTAGCACCTGTTGGACACTATGCAGCTTACACTGTAATCATATTGACCAACACTACCTACATTTTCTGTTACTCACTCATCTTCTGTGATATTTGCATTTTTATCACAGCAACCACTAAAAGCCCAGCTTCACAAAGATCTGTCATTAAAAAGAATGTGGCAATATAACTGTAAAACTGAAAATCCTTGCACTAGTAATGTGTGTGGTGTCCAGCAAACACAAATGTGACTGTGATTTCCTCAAAGTTAAAATATCCTGCAGCACCCCTGAGTTCTCTGAGGTGCCCAGGGAATCTCAGTTTATAATTTTGGAACCATAGCCCTATTCCCTATCCTTGCTTTTATTTTCCTCAATAGTACTTATCACCCTACATATTTTATTTCTCTCCTTTAGAATGTGAGTTCCATGGGGGTAGCAGACTTTTTGTCTTTGTTAAAAGTGCTATATCGCTAATACCTAGAATGACATCTGGCAAATGCAGGTTTTTAGTAAGTATCTGTTGAATGAATTGTGCAGTGGGAGTAAGAAACTGATTATATTGTTAAGAGATAGTGGCAAAAGCACAGGATATTGAAATTCATAATTTCAGATGCAAAACAGTTCTGAACAGAGTGAAGGTTTAAGTGTAGCCATGGCATGAGTGAGTGGTTGAATGAAAGTGAATAATGCCAGATAACTCTGTCTGCTGGTTAAGTAAACGACATAAATACTAAGTCACCAAAATAATGGCAAGATTTGAGGTTAAGTCAAGTGCCAACGAACAGAAGGGAAGTATACCCTAAAAGAAAAAAAGCCACAAAGGAACGAGTTCTTAAGCGAGGGTGGCATAGTGATGGGTTGAAAGGGACAATAGGATGGGTCTCTTGTAAAGTGGGAGTTGTGGCCCACTTTACAAGACTACAGCGAAGCAGCGTCTTCAGAAGTATTAGGTTTATATTAGGCATGATGAAAAGGATAATGCTGTAAAGAGTTTGCAGATGTATTTGTTCATGCTGAACGAGGGCTCCTGAATGCACGACTAGATTTTAAACTTCTTGAGGGCAGGAGCTTCGTCTTATCCATTGTTGTATCCCTGAAGCCTGTTATAACACAGACGGAATAATTATTGATTATCATCTTTCTCAACGAGAAAGACCAACAACAGATCAGACTGACTCAAAAAAAAAAAAAAAAAGGATGGAAGAACGGACTAAGGTGGCCCTAGCAGGTATATACAAAGAGAGAACACATGAGACACCAACCCAGAGAAAACATGTATCAGTTTCTAAAGAGATGACATAAATTGCAAGTACATCTAAAAAAATGATCGTTTCAGAATCTTGGAGTAAGCCTTCCTAACTAACTAACTGTCTTAGTCTCTTTGGGCTGCTATAACAAATTACCCTAAACTGGGTGGCTTATAAATAGAAATCTGTTTCTCACGTTTTGGAGACTGCAAAGTACAAGACCAGGGCACCAGCAGATTCAGTGTCTCATGAGGGGCCACTTTCTGCTTTAACATCTTCTCACTGTATCCTCATATGGTAGAAGGGGCAAGAGATCTCCCTGGAGCTTTTTTTTTATACGGGCACTAATCCCATTCATGAGGGCTCTACCACCTAATAGTATCACACTGGGAATCAGGTTTCAATAACTAAAGATACAAGTCATTTAGCATAATATTTTTTAAAATCCACATTTTATGTTGTAAATGGGGTTACCGTTTTTTAAATTTGAGATCTTAGGAAAGTTTCTTATACTTAAGTTGATTTGTAATGTCCTCAACTATTAGTTGATAAATGAGAGTCTCAATGTAGCTACACATTATTTCAGGGGTTGTTATTAACAAACAAACACTGGAGGAAACGTATTATACTTTGTATAGTTTATTATACAAATGATTGATAGTAAAATAGTGAATTTTAAAGCTTCTTCCTAACCTTTCATTGTGAATGAACAGTGATGCAGGGAGAAGAGACATTCAGAAGAAAAATCATGTATGTATTATTAAACTAGAAGTGATAAAATGTTCAGAATGACAATGTATTTAAAAAATAATAACCTTGTTGGAATTGTACATCTATCATTATCACAACATGCTTATTTGATGAAGCTAAAGAAAAGCCAGAAGACTAATATGGCTGGATGAGAATAGCATTTTAAAACATTTTCAGCAAAATTCTAGAAATTTGCTGTTTAGTTCCAAAACTGAATTTCATACAAGTGCTATTATTCCAATAGTTTTTTTCAATTGTCACTAGTGATCTTGATCCATATACTGCAATCATAATATCCAAAATAAAAGAGTATTTCATTAATAACAGGTGTTTTCAAAGCTTAAATATATTTCAAAAACCAATGACAGTTAAAGTAGGGGTTCTAAATTTTTGCATGTCTTATTAAGCTTTGTTGTATAGACTAAAATTTTGGTTTCATAGACTCAGAAATACTAAATTGCCTATTGGGTTTTGTGGCTTCTTGCATCAGCTCCTGCAACTGTCCAATTTGTTCATCACGAAAGTCATTAAGTTTTTCTTCTGGGAGGAAGGTGCCAAAACATGCTTTTCCAGTTGAATTTTGTCTGTTTTCGTTAGCCTGTTGCAATAACGCTGTTGCATACACCTAAAAAGATAAAGAATGAAGGTTATAGATGTAAAGTTTAAATAATATTTAACATTAGAGGACTTGAATTCTAATTCTGAGTCACCTATTTTTCCTCATCAGTAAATGCAGAAGCATTTGGTTAAGGAGATATAAATATAGTTGTGAAGATACAATTCATTGATCATTTCATGTATATCTATTTTTAGCACTTTAAGTGTTTTAACCAACTTTTAGCAAAATTTTTAACCTGGATATAAGTAAAGAGTGGTGAGTCCCTGGATGGGCTTCAGAAGCATGCATAAACCACCTCAAACCATATGCAAAATTGTATTTACACAAGTACGGACATCATTTCTGGGGCCATAGCTTTCAACGGATTCTCAAACAGGAACCATGGGTCTTTTTTCCCCCAACTTTTATTTTAAACCTGCACATATATCCCCTAGATACAAGGGGTACATGTGCAGGTTTGTTAGATGGGAATAACTGCATGATGCTCAAGTTTGGGTACAGGTCCTGTCACCCAGGGAGTAAGCACAATACCCAACATGTAGCTTTTCAACCCATACCACCCTCCAGTAGTCCATGCTGTCAGCTGTTCCCAGTTTACATCCATGTGTGCTCAATGTTTAGCTCCCACTTAAAATTTTATTTTTCTGTTCCTGTGTTAATTTGCCTAGGATCATGGCATCTATGTTGCTGCAAAGGACATGCTTTCATCCTATTTATGGCAGCACAGTATTCCACGGTGACATGTAACACATCTTCAAGTGAGTCTAAATTCATTCCTATGTCTTCAATTACAATTTTAATTTAAAATATACTAGAGAAAAACTTCTTAAACCTTTAAGTCTTCAATGTTTAACAACCATCTGTGTCAAGAAAAACTTTTTCATGTTCTAATTTTGCTCTTATTAAGTACATTCAGCCTAATATTCCAACTATCCCCATCTGCACAAGTGCCACTGTTTTGAAACAGACTCACTCTAAAATTAATCTTTTAAGCAGACAAAGTGCCAAAGTATTTTAGTTCATGAAGTTAAAGTGAATGAACTGGCTAACTCTGGATAATGCTGCTACCTGATCTGGCTTGAGATATATAAATTGCTTGTAATTGCTGGAATGGCAGCATTGCCAGAGCAACTTTAATTCCAAACATTCCAAACCTATGGAGAAAATATTTTTTCCATGATTTACAGAAATCCACTTATTAAGATGAAAACATTTCAAGTTTTATCAATTCCACTTCTATATGCTTCAGGGCAGGCAGGGTTTTTCAACCTTGGCACTATTTTGTGTGTGTAGGGGGGGTAGGGGTGGGGAGGGGTCAGTGAGAGTCTGCATTGCAGGATGTTTAGCAGCATCTCTTGTCTCTGACCACCAGATGGCAGTAACACCCCTCTCCCCGTCTTGATAATCTAAAATGTCTCGAAACACTGCCAAAGGTTTCCTGGCAAGGCAAAAATCACCCTACCATCCTAAAGAAACTTTAAAACATGTGAACAAGTATCATGCAGAAGAATGTTGATTGTTAAAGCAAAAAAAAAAAAAAAAATGGAAATAATTGTACTTCAATAGAAAAGTCAAATACACTGAAATTTACTCAGATGATAATAAAGATGTCACAACAAATAAGCTACAAGTCTATGTATCAACACGGATGAAACTCCAAAAAATAAAATCTAAAAAGCAGGCTTTAAGAAATTATTCATTTACAAAAATGGACAACTAAGGAGCTCTAAATAGCAAAAACAGAGGACTCACAACTCCCAATTTCAAAACTTAACTAGAAAGCCACATTAAACAAAAGTGTGGCACTGGCATTAGAATAGATATATAACACCAATAGAATGAGGAGTCCAGAAGTAAATCCTTACATATATAGCCAATTGATTTTTGATAAAGATGTCAAATCCATTCAGTGGAGGAAAGAATAATCTAGGCAACAACTGGTGCTGGGAAAACTGAATTTCCACATGCAAAAGAGTGAAGTTAGACACCCCATCTTCTACCATATACAAAAATTAACTCAAAGTGAATCAAAGACCTAAATATAAGAGCTAAAATCATGAGAATCCTAGAAGAAAATATATAGGTAAATCTTTATGACCTTTGATTTGGCAATAGGTTCTTAGATATGACACCAAAAGCCCAAGCAACAACAACAAAAATAAACTGGACAGTATCAAAATTAAATACTTCTGTGCATCAAAGGACACCTAATAGTAAAAAGACAAACTACAAAATGAGAAAAAATTTGCAAATCGTATCTGAAAAGGGTTTATTATCCAGAATATATAAAGAACCACAACTAAAAGACAAATAGCCCAATTTAAAAATGGGTAAAGCACATGAATAGACATTTCTCCAAAGATATACAGATGGCCAAGTACATGAAAAGATGGTCAAAATCATTTGCCATTAGAAAAATGTAAATCAAAACCACAATGAGATGCCACTTCACCCTAAGATGTCTACTATAATAATTTTTTAAACCCCAGAAAAATAACAGTTGGAATAAACTAGAATCCTCATACATTGATAATGAGAATATAAAATGGTATAGCCACTGCAGAAAAGACTGGCAGTTCCTCAGAAAGTTAAACACAGAATTACCATATGATCCAGCAAATGCACTCATAGGTATATTACCAAAATAACTGAGAACAGGAACTCAAACACATACTTGTATACACAATAGACGACATTTGGAAAATAACCTAGATGTCCACCAGCAAGCAGATAAACAAAATGTGGTATACACATACAATGGAATATTTATCACCCTTAAAAGGGAATGAAGTTCTGATCCATACTACAACATGGATAAACCTTAAAAAGATTATGCTAAGAAGCCAAACATAAAAAGACATATTGTATGATTCCACTTACATGAAATATCTAGAATAGGAAAATTCATAGACAGAAAGAATAGATAATACTAAGGGCTGGGAGGAGGTAGGAGAGGGTGTTACTGTTTAATGGCCACCGAGTTTCCGTTTGGGTGAGGAAAAATCTAGAATAATGTCTCTACAATGTATCATTTACAGTGTCCAGGAAAAAAATTAAAAATTATTACAAACACAGTTAAGAGAAGAGGCAATCAATGGAGACCAGTGCCTGAGATTATTCAGACATTAGAATAAGCAGAGATAGATTTTAAAGCAGGTACTATAAATGTTAAGTATGTAAAAGAAAATACGGTCATCATAAATGGGGCAGATAAATCTCAGCAGAGAATGAGGAATTATAAGAACCAAATAAATTCTAGAACTCAAAAATGCACTATCTGGAATTTTTTAAATGTCACTTAATAGTAGACTGGAGATGAAGATTCATGAACTTGAAAATACAGCAATAGAAATTATCCAGTTTTAAACAGAACAAAACTATTTAAAAAATGAGTAAAAGATCAGTGATCTGTGAAACAATGCCAAAAGATCTACCGTAAGTTTAAGTGGAATCCAAGAAAAGAGGTTACTGCCTTAGCAGAAAAATAAATTTTAATGGGTATCTTATTTTTTTTTTGAGACGGAGTCTCGCTCTGTTGCCCAAGCTGGAGTGCAGTGGCGCGATCTCGGCTCACTACAAGCTGTGCCTCCCGGGTTCACACAATTCTCCTGCCTCAGCCTCCCCAGCAGATGGGACTACAGATGCCCACCATCACGCCCAGGTAAATTTTTTGTATTTTTAGTAGAGATGGGTTTCACTGCGTTAGCTAGGATGGTCTCAATCTCCTGACCTCATGATCCACCCGCCTCAGCCTCCCAAAGTGCTGGGATTACAGGCCTGAGCTACTGTGCCTGGCCGGATATCTTATTTTTATAAAGTTTTATGAATTTTAATGAATATTTTAAGGAAAAATAAATTCAAGAAGCTTAGCAAGTTCCAAGCAGAATACAAAATACTATACCTAAGCATATGATAGTTAAATTGTTGAAAAATAAAGCAAAAATCTTTTTTAAAAGTTTAAAAATATATATATCATTTACAAATATATGCAAATGTACAAAACATAAAAACAAGCATGGAAACAACCAACATCAGGATCCTGATTACCTCTGAGGAGTAAGAAAGGGGAATGGAATTTTAGCTGTACCTTTTAATATTTATTTACTTTAAAAAAGTGAACTAAATATTTCAAAATATTAATATTTGTTAAATCTGAGTGGTGAATACATAACTTTCCCATTTTTGAAAATTTTCATAACTTTGTGCATAATTTCAGAGAATATTTCACTTAGGGTATAATTTATAATAATTATGGGAATAATGTTTCTTATGGAAAGTAGAAATACATTTCATGTGTGAGAAATGATCAATGAATGAACATCTTGGGTAGAAAGACTCACGAAAAGGAAACAAAAAAACCCAACCTTTCGCCCGTACACCACCCATTACCGACTAGTCTTTGACTCCATGTACTTGCAACAGCATTCCTTTCCTGGCAAGAGAGAAAAATGGCCAAAATAAAAATAACTTCAGGACCACAATTTGGAGGTTTCCAGATATAGGAAGAAGCAGCAGTAAAATGTGAATTTATGACTAAGTCACCCCGCCAAGCATATCTACCTGGAGGGAAGAGACTCAGAACAGAAAAATACTACACTACACATTAACTAACAGCATCCTTTGGTTTCAAACTGTTATGCTGGCTTCTAAGAATAATGCTATCCCGAAAGTTAGAAGATTCCCTATGATTGCTCTCTTGAACCAAAGAGAATGTGCAGTGCTTCCTCAGGGTAAGTTAAGCAGCTGCTTCAAGTAGCAGAAAGCTGTCGAAGAGAGACACTTTTGAGTATGGTGAGAGCAGGTGCAGTGGGCTGAATGGTGTCCCCAAAATATGTCAAGTCCTAATCTCTGAAACTGTGTTACCTTATATGTATATTATAGGTTTTGCAAGTGTGATTGAGGATTCTGAGATGAGATTATCCTGATGGTCCTGAAAATACGGTCACAAGTATTCTTAGAGGGGATGAGATAAATTAGGCATACAGAGGAGAATGTGATATGAAGAAAAAATAAGTTTGGAGCGATATGGCCATAATTCAAGGGAATCCTGGATCCACCAGAAGCTGAAAGATGTGGATTTCTTCCCTAGAGCCTCTCACTCTTTAATTAGGCCTCTCCAGAATACACTACCATTGTTTTAAGTCAGGCTGTGGTAATTTATTACAGCAGACACAGGAAATTAATACAGCAGTGAACTACAGAAACACAGTCTTAAAGTCTCCTAGTAGAAAAAAACTAACGTTCATGCTATACTGTTTCCCACTAGAGTTTTTGAAAAGGCAGAGAAGCTGTAGTACCAGTTTGTCAGTGATAGAACAATTAAATATTATAAGGCCAGCTATGCCTTCACTGTACTCTCTAATTCTCTACCTGTATATTAAACTTGCTTATAGTCTGAATCAAATTGATACTATTAAATTACTGGTATGGTCGAGCACACTGGCTCACACCTGTAATCCCAGAGCTTTGGGAGGCCAAGGCAAGAGGACTGCTTAGTTTTTAGTAAACCAAACATCACACATTCTCACTTGTAAGTGGGAGCTAAATGATGAGAACTCACGAACACAAAGAGGGGAACAACAGACACCTACATAAGGGTGGAAGAAGGAACAGAAAAGATAACTATTGGATATTGGGCTTAATGACTAGGTGATGAACTAATCTGTACAACAAACCCCCATGACACAAGTTTACCTATGCAACAAACCTTCACATGTACCCTCAAACCTAAAATTAAAATCTAAAAAAGTGTCAGTTTAATAACATTAAGAAAACAATCAAATTATAAATTATCTTAAATTACTTCAATTTTAGAACTCATTTATCTATTATACAGATGTTTTTAAAGAATAGAAATGAACTATATTAGATTTCTTCTTACCAGCATTTAGAATCAAACTAAATAAACCATTTCAAGGAATAACATAGAGAAACAACCAGATATTACATGTCTTCTGATATTAGTACATATTACCAAAACAACAACAACAAGAAAACCAAAAACAAACAAAAAAATACACCTAGTAAGCCTCTACATCTAATTATCAATTTACAGGAAACACAAGAGACCTAAGTGTTAAACATCACCATGGGAATGCAATCAGCATGATTCAGACTATGAAAAACTACATAACAACGCCAGTCTCAGAAGTAATAAAGGAAAAATAGCAACTTTACAGTGAAGAAAGCTGAAAGATACCACCTCAATGAAATGATCAAGGTAAACATGACCAGTAGTAAGTCACACTGCCCTCATGTACCTCCCGATAATTAGGCACTGAGAGGATGTATCACCTCGGTGGTATTCTTCCCAATAATGCACAACCTCAATCTAATCATAAGAAAACATCAGATAAAGTTCAATTAAGGGACACTCTATTAAATAACTGATCAGTACCCTTCAAAAGTTTTAAGGCCATCAATGACAAGGAAAAAGGAAGGAAGGAACTATTACAGATTAGAGGAAGCTAAGGAGCTCTGATGACTAAATGTGAGGCAGGATCTTGCATCAGGCCCTGGAACAGAAAGAAACAATTCCTCTAAAAGCTGGTGAAACTGAATATACTCTGTAGTTTAATTAACAATATAATATTGCATCAATGTTAGCTTCTTAGTTTCTATAACAGTACTGTAGTTATGTAGGCTATCACAGGGGAAGTAGCTGCAGAAAGGTATAGGGAATCTGTACTATCTTTGCAACTCTCTTCTGTAACTCTAAAATTAACTCAAAGAGCTTAACAAAAGAATTTTAGATTTAACAGGTGTATTGACTAATTATAATACTTTCTTATTTGAACAAAAATGCTCACAGTGGCTCATGCCTGTAATCCCAGCATTTTGGGAAGCTGAGCTGAGTGGATCCCTTGAGGTCAGGAGTTCGAGACCAGCCTGGCCAACATGGTGAAACCCTGTCTCTAATAAAAATACAAAACTTAGCCAGTGTGGTGGCATATGCCTGTAATCCCAGCTACTCAGAAGGCTGAGGCAGGAGAATTGCTTAAAACCAGGAGTCGGAGGTTGCAGTGAGCCGAGATTGTGCCACTGCACTCCAGCCTGGTGACACAGCAAGACTCTGTCTTTAAAAAAAAAAAGAAAAAAAAGCTGCTAACAAAAACAATCAGGAAACTTTAAAAACTGACTGGATGTTTGGTATTAAGAATTATTTTGGCCAGGTGTGGTGGCTCACGCCTGTAATCCCAGCACTTTGGGAGGCAGAGGTGGGCAGATCATGAGGTCAGGAGATTGAGATCATCCTGGCTAACACAGTGAAACCTCGTCTCTACTAAAAATACAAAAAATTAGCCGGGCGTGGTGGTGGGCGCCTGTAGTCCCAGCTATTCGGGAGGCTGAGGCAGGAGACTGGCATCAACCTGGGAGGCGGAGCTTGCAGTAAGCCGAGATCGCGCCACTGCACTCCAGCCTGGGTGAGAGAGAGAGAGTGAGACTCTCATCTCAAAAAAAAAAAAAAAAATTCTAATTTTGGAGGTGACATAATAGTATGGTCATGACTTTAAAGAGTCTACGTTAAAATACCTAAGAAAAATTTTATGTTTGTGATTTAAAAATCTGGGAGAAAGAGAAATAAGTGGGGGTACAGATGAAACCTGATTGGCCATGAGTTGACAACTGTTGAAGTCGAGTGATAGGTACACAGTGGTTCATTATATTTTCTCTACATTTTATATGGTTGAGATTTCTCTAAATTAAAAAAATGCATATATACACATGCATATACATATTCATATGTAACTTAAAATTAGAAACATTCAACTAAAACTATTTCAATAACTTCTCACTTTCAACTACAGGTTTGAAATTTCTTCTCAACAAAGCTTCCCAGGTAGTGGTGCAGTCCACAGCCTGCTAGGAAGCAGGCAAGCATTGCCACCTGAGCTCTACCTCCTGTCAGGTCAGCAGTGGCATTAGATTCTTACAGGAGCATGAACCCTATTGTGAACTGCCTATGCAAAGTATCTAGGTTATGTGCACCTCATGAGAATATAATGCTTGATGATTTGAGCTTGATGATCTGAGGTGGAGCCATTTCATCCCAAAACCATCCCCTACAACCTGCAGAAAAACTGTCTTCCACAAAACCAATCCCCAAAAGGGGACCGCTTACAGTTCTTTGATAAAGCCTTGATTTACCAGTTTTTCTTCTGTTTCTAGAAATATTTCTTAAACATCTTATTATAATAATTTTTTACAATATACATTTTTAAAATCCAAGTAAGACATACCAAAATCATTTTTAAATAGGTTTCACAGTAATTTCCTCATCAAAACAGTGGGATTTCAGAACTGTCACTTTAGCACATAGCTGGTGAACCTTTATTTAATAATTCACTTTGTGTACCATTAATATTTTTATTTATAATGTAAATCATTGAAATTCCCCACAGGCTAGAACCAAAGTGGCATAAAATTCCTTATATAACTGACATACAAAAATTGAGATTGAGACTGACTGGTTCAATAAACAAATATGGGCCACAATTTAAGATTCCAATAATGAACAGTGTTGGAAGAGAATTGGATTTGAATATGGAAAGGTGATAAGAGTCACAGAAAGACAAGAACCAAGAAAACAATGGATTTTGGAGAGTTGAGGACTCTGAGTAACAGGACTATGAAGGCAGAAAAGCTACTGGACCCATTCATCCCTTAAAAAATACATGCATATAGAAAGAGGTATAACGATTGGTCACATTAACTATAGTTCATCTAGACTACAAAAGAGCATGCAATAGTTAAAAAGAACAAGGTCAAACATGTACTGACATGAAAAGCTTCCCAAGTAAAATAATCAACTTGCAAAATATCATGGATATATGCTATTTGAATATGCTACAAAACATGTACAAATTTAAACAGAGGCTGAAAGGATGGCCAGAAACTTTTGAAGAATAGTTTTTCATATTTTGTTCTGAACACCTCAACCCTGTACTGTTTTGATATTTTATAATAAATATTATTTAAGTAACTAAATGAAAGGGAAAGAAAGGAAGGAATAGCTATAGGAAAAATTTGGGGATAAGGAAATTACAGCTCCAGTATTTCATTTGTCCTTAACAGCAGAGATCAAAGCAATTTTGCAGATTGTAATTAATATAATTTGAACACAAGCTTTAAAAAAGAAAATCTAAGTTCTCATTATTTTGTTTAATCACATATCTAGTATTTGCTCATCTGTGTTTTCTAAAACAAAATTACAACTAAATGGCCCCAAAGTAATAATGATATATGAAAATCCAAACTGTCAAGCTCTGTAAATAAAGATAATTAGTTGCCTCACAAAAGGCTATTCTTATTTAGAAAAGCATGTAGCCTAGGCCTCCTTTAATACTAAAACCAAATGGTTTAAAACATTTTATGAAAATAGCATTATTAAGGTACTCATCAACTGTATAGAGTTCAAGAAAATACCAAACTATATGACATGTCCCATTAAAAACTTGACTTTTTAAATATTTTATATACAAATAATTTCCTCAATAGCATAAAAAAAGATTTTAGGTTAAATCATAAAAATGCTGTCACAATCAGAATTAGTCTGATGCCTTTCTTCTGAATTACAAAAATTATAAATTCCCTTTAAAATAGGCATAAATTGTGCTACTATTCTCACAACTTCCTGGATAGCTAAAATGACAGTAATTTTTTATAGTTTTGAAAAATTATTTGTATTCTTTAATGTAAACAACCAAAGGAAAGCCAATTATTATCTAGGAAAGAAAAAGGTAACTTTCCCCCAAAATTTATTCAATTATTATAAGATTCTCTTTAGCAACACTGAACCAACAAACCTAAGTTGGGAGCATTTGGTCAAGCTTTCCCTAGAGAACTTATTAAAAATATCATGCCTCCTAGAGGAGCAAAAACAAAAAACACTCCTCTCCACAAGAAACCTGAAAGTTACCTGAATTACAATAACTAAATTCAAAGACACTTTGGGGATTTGAAGCACATCTGCCCAAGTCATTAATACAGAATATATTATAGAAAAAGAAAAAAGAACCTATGTTGGCAATGATAATAAATTTGGTTTCTTGGGCTCATTCTGACGAGGTTTTATGATTTTCAAGTCAAAGATGATTGATAGCTTATACATGCTATTTCTTAGCCCACAAACACTTGTAATATATAACTCTTTGATATACAGAGTGCAAAGAATAGAAAGTAACACTAGTGTCACTAATAAGTCAATTTCTCAGGTGGCCATGAAGCTTAGCCTCTGTGAAGTCAAATTCCCCAGGTTCCTCTGTAAACCAAACTCAAGATTCACCTGTGACTCCCAGAGATGAGCAAAAAAAGGTGTTAGTTGTGACACAGCACAGCAAAGATAAAAAGAAAAAAAAGCAAGAACGTAGAAAGTTCTTGGCTAAGGAAGTAGTAAGGAAATGTTATAGAAAACCTAGTTCACAAATATTCTTTATATTTGTCTACTATAAACTCTATGTCCATGATATTGGACACTTACAAATCAAATGTCATAATGTCAGAAATGAGAAGTCAGCACAGAAAATAAGCACATTCTTGTTTATGAAATTCATCCCAAAGTTCCCAGAAACAATAATAGCATTGTACTTAAGGTAATATTACATAACTTATTTTACTTAATCTAAAAATGTATTCATAAAACTAATTTTAAAAATACATTTTCCTGATCATTTAGGTGAATGGACTACTTGTACATTTTATGTTTTATATATAACCTTTAATTTATTCTTTAGTAATATTAGAATACAGTGAGGCACAAGGAAACTTTCTGGAGTAATAGATTTTTGTTATCTTGAATGTGGTGACAGTTTCATGGGTGTATACATATTTCAAAACTCACCCAAGTATACACATTAATATGTGTGGTTCACTATGCATCAATGACACCACAGTAAAGCTGTTACGTTAAAAAAAAAAAACGAACTAGCCAACTCCTTACCTTACTCACTTATACCTCAATGGAGGTGAGGATGGGTTCTAGCAAAGTAGCAAGAAAATAAGTTTAACTGTAATACCTAAGGATGACAATGATCCAATTAGATAAGAATGTATATACACTACTGATTTAAAAATTGATGGGGAACAAAAAACAGCTTATAAAGCTAATATACAAAACTCAAAAAAGGCTTTTGAAAAAATTCTTCCAATTATTTTACTATCAATATTAGTCATCAAAAACAACTAAATTGTAATAGTTAAGAAAATAGAACAAAAAATTTCACTCGCAGACATTAAAAACATAAAGAGTTCAAAACTATAATTTTTTCTTTTTTTACATTTTTTATAATCAGGCTTTTTCTTTTCACTCTACAGAAAAACTGCATTTAGCAATAGATTTTTAACTACCTGTTCATCTGTAATGCAGGTTAATTCTATATTTAAAAAAATTATATAAACTAAAGGACATGATGCATTCAAATTCTATTTTGATGTAATCTGTTTAGAAAATCACCAATTTATTGAGAAAATAAAATTAGTATGTTTTATAACAAATTATTTACATTATAGCTGTCACCAAAAAAATGTATAGCAATCTGCATAATTCTTACTCTCCAAAGGAATCTATTATAACATCAAGTGAGTTACATCAAATCAAGTATTTTAAAAATTATATTTGATATATATTGAAATTGACAGTACTTTCACACAGTTCAATTTGGGGTAATACTGATCCAAAGCAGACGATCATGATATTAATACTTTTTTTTTGAGACAGTTTCGCTCTTGTTGCCCAGGCTGGAGTGCAGCGCCGCGATCTTAGCTCACTACATTCAAGTGATCCTCCTGCCTCAGCCTCCCAAGTACCTGGGATTACAGGCGCCCACCACCATGCCCAGCTAACTTTTGTATTTTTAGTAGAGGCAGGGTTTCAACACGCTGGCCAGGCTGGTCTTGAACTCCTGACCTCAAGTGATCCGTCGGCCTCCCAAAGTGCTGGGATTACAGGCATGAGCCACCGCACCCAGCCCTGAAAGGCAAATTTTAACAGAAAATTTAAATATATTCTAATGTCTTACAAGTTATCTTCTGCATTTGTTATTCTAATTAACCAAATGAAAGAGTGTAGCATTATCACAATCACATTTCACGTTACCCAGAGTCTACATATCTGTAATCAAACTAAAATATCAAACAAATAAGATAGCTTACTCACTAAAGGAGAATATAAGAATAAGTATGTAAGAAATGAACAGGATATTTATTTATAGGCTAAAAGAAAAGGGAACAAAAATTAGTTAAGTAACATAATAAAAAATGTAAAAGGCATGAAGAAAACACAAAAGCCAAGTGTATGAAACCTCTCACCTTGGAGTCAACACCTATCCCAATTACACCCCCGGTTAGCAGGAAGAAGTTAGAGCAGGTGTCACACTTTTTCCATCTTCATTAGCCCACACCTTAAGATTAAGGTGTTATAAAACCCAAAGGAAGGGATTGAAACCATCATTGCAAAATTATAACTGAGACAGTGAAAGAGATCTGACCTAACCAACTCCATCTTGCTTCTCATGTCCAAGGTATCCTTATTCATTCCTGGGCACAGGTTGAATTAACTTTGGGAGAATTTAGTTTACAGTTTTAAACAAATATAACACAATCTTTCCCAAAACAAACCCCCTTCTTGCCTGGGAACTAGACTGCTGTTGTAGGACTAACAAATTAGCCAAAAGATTATGATTTCAGACTCATGCAGCTGGAGGCTACAAGATTCTGACCCTCCCCCAAATTGCTCCTGGGGATAATATCACTGTTGTGAAACTTAAGATTGATGCAGGATTTTTTGCTCTAAGCTTAGTTCAGCTAAATCCAAGTTCTTGTCTCATGACCAGGAAAAATTAGGCACGTGAACACGTTGAAGGGTGATGAGGGCAGAATTCATTAGGCAAAAAGAGGGGGTCCCGCCAGCAAGCTCCCACCTCACAGACTGAATACCAGGGCTCCCACACATAAGCTGAAGAGACCAGGCTCCTCCCCTGCACAAAGCATGAATTCCTGGTGGCTCTACCCCATTCCCCCCAGTGCACGTGGGCCTCTAGTTCACTGTGGGCATGCCCAGGCAAGACCCTGTGCAGGTATTCCCTTATCTGCACAAAAACATCCAGTGTAAACACTTGTGGATGGATCAGAGATTCACTAGGGACCCTTCCCTATCTACCTAGGCATTTGTCTGCCTCCTGCCTCTGTCAAGATCAGTGCTTGTTTTGCAGCCCCTGCACTTGGATCAGCTAGCACCACCCAGATCGATAAACTGGCTCATCTGATCTGTGGGCCCCCCACCCAGTGCAAGAGGATAGCTTCAACTCTGTATGATTTTATCTCTGACCCCACCAATCGGCACTCTAGACTCACTGTCCCCCACCCACCAAATTTTCCTTAAAAACCCTGATCCCAAATGCTTGGAGAGATTGATTTGAATAATAATAAACTAATCTCCTGTACAGCCGACTATGTGTGAATTACTCTTTCTCTATGGCAATTCCCGTTTTG
Organism: Homo sapiens; assembly: GCF_000001405.40. Classification (NCBI taxonomy): domain Eukaryota; kingdom Metazoa; phylum Chordata; class Mammalia; order Primates; family Hominidae; genus Homo; species Homo sapiens. The sequence continues at coordinate 97,167,529 of NC_000007.14, read as the reverse complement.
ATAAATTGGCTCTGTCTAGGCAGCAGGCCTGGTGAACACATTGAGTAGTGTATTAGTCTGTTCTCACACTTCTCTATTAAAAAAACTACCTGAGACTGGGTAATTTTTGAAGAAAAGAGGTTTCTTTGACTCACAGTTTGGTAGCCTTAACAGGAAACATGACTGGGAGGCCTCAGGAAATGTACAATCATAGCAGAAGATGAACAAAAAGCGAGCACCTTTTTCACATAGCAGCAGGAGAGAGAGCCAAGGGGGGAAGTGCTACACACTTTTAAACCATCAGATCTTGTGAGAACTCACTATCGTGAGAACAGCAAGGGGGAAATCTGCCCCATAATCCAGTCACCTCCCACCAGGCCCCTCCTCCAATTTGACATGAGATTTGGGTGGGGACACACATCCAAACCATATCAGGTGGTTACACGTAAATCCACCCTAACACACTCCTCTTTAACTGCCTTGGCATGAAAAGAAAAAAAAAAAAATCACTGAAAGTTGTAAAATTTTATCAAGCATTGTCAAGAAAGAAAGTGCCTAGATCAGTCAAATTAGTATTTTGATGCCCTGAGTGAGACACTATAGTGGAAAAAGTACATAAAATCCATTTTAAGTTTAGTCATAAAATCCATTATGCATTGTTCTATGCTGAATTAATAACTTTTAGACAGCAATTATTATTTCTACTATTCTATAAGGTCCTTCATCTGGCTCCTTATTTCACCAGCATCATTACAAACTACCTATAATTCCTGTAAACCTAAAATAAAATTCTAAGCCCCCCCCGCCAACTAACTGGCCCCTTCTCTTGGCCAAGGGCATTCTAAAGTAAACCTGAAATATTAGTTCAGGCCATGATGGGAAAGGGTGGTCAGACATGCCTGATCATACCTTCTTCCTTTTGGAATTCAGGCACAGCTGACCAGCATTAACATTAAAACAGAAACCTTAAAACTAACAGAACAGACTCAGTAAGTCTTACAATCTGTTCTCTCCAAAAGCTACTATCAGGAGACTTCATCTGCATAACAAGAACCTTCCTCTCCACAACCCCTTATCTTAACCCGGACACTCCCTTTTATTGATTTCAGGTCTTTAAACTCTTTCAACCAATTGCCCATCAGAAAATCTTTGAATTCCCCCTATGACCTGGAACTCCCACCCTCCCCAATTTGAGTTCTTCCCGCTTTCCAGACTGAACCAATGTACATCTTACATGTATTTACTGATGTCTTATGTCCCCTAAAATGTATAAAGCAAGCTGTTGCCCAACCACCTAGGGCATATGATGTCAGGACCTCCTGAGGCTGTGTCACGAGCATGTCCTTAACTTTGACAAAAAACTACTAAGTTAATTGGTTTAGACTTGTCTCAGATAGTTTCTGGTTTACATTCCCAAATATTCTATACCCATCCATGCATCAGCAGCCATATATTCTATTTGGAATGTCCTTATTTACTTCATGGAACAAGATGTCAAGACTCAGTTCAAATGTCATATTGTTGAGGACACCTGTACCCCTGCCCCAGGTTTGCCTCTATGCTCTCTTGGCAATTTGTACAAAGTTTTTTTATAGCAGACTTCTTACTGTTGATGTTGACAGCAAAGTCCTCAAGACACAGGATCATGCCAAGACACCCACATCCCTTCACTGTCTAGCAATACCAGGCATTGATACACATTTATTAAAGAAAAAAGGAAAAGAATAAAATGTGTAAACTGTACTGACCAGCTAAAACCTGTATTCACAATTCACCTGACAAATTCTGTTTTACAAGGCAAACTGCCAACTTAGCCTTGCACTCTGCATATTAACCTCTTCAGTTTCACAAAAACACATAGAACTTGAACAAATTTGAATGGATGAGCTTGCAAATCTAAATATCAGAATTCAGACCGAGGTTTATCCCAAGAAAATGAGGATACTCAGTGAGGATTAGTATAAACATGATTATTTGGAGGTGTTTCTCCTTTACACCATTTTACAAAATCTCACCTAGTCATTTAAATTCTTCAATCACAAAAAAAGTATTATTAAAAAGGCAGCAAAGTCCATTTAATTCCACATTTGAAAGTCAAATGTTGATTTTCAAATAAATACCCATAAAAAACATGCTAATGGAATGCTAACTGGTAACCAAAATAAAAACAAGCAAAAAAAAAAAAAAAAAAAAGGTAGGAAAATCCTTTGAGATACCTTAATTGATGTGAAGTCAAGAAATTTATTTTATTTTATATTTTCTTTGAGACGGAGTCTTGCTCTGTTGCCCAGACTGGAGTGCAGTGGCACGATCTCGGCTCACTGCAAGCTCCGCCTCCTGGGTTCACGCCATTCTCCTGCCTCAGCCTCCCGAGTAGCTGGGACTACAGGTGCCCGCCACCACACCTGGCTAATTTTTTTGTATTTTTTTAGTAGAGATGGGGTTTCACCAAGTTAGCCAGGATGGTCTTGATCTCCTGACCTCGTGATCTGCCCACCTCAGCCTCCCAAAGTGCTAGGGATTTAATCTTTTAAAGAGTGAGTTATATTCAAAGAACTCCAAGCTATTGTTTTCCATTACAATTTCATCACAGCCATGACACATTATTTCAAACTATATTCCCTAATAGGTTTATCTTGCCATCTTTCCTATAGTTTCAGTTCACTATGTAATTTTGTTTATATAATAATATGTTGCTTCAGTATGATGCAAATTATGGAAATTATGTTAGTCTATCATCCCTCCATCCCCACATTGGTAGATCAGTTTCACTTCAAATCTCCACCACTAGTTATTCACTGTGTGTGTGATGAATTCACGCAACTCAAGATGACTTAGGGCATAAATGTCATAGCTATATAAAAGAACTATGAACCGGAAAGGCACGCTGGCTCACACCTGTAATCCCAGCACTTTGGGAGGCCGAGAGGGGTGGATCACCTAGGGTCAGGAGTTCAAGACCAGCCTGATCAACATGGAGAAACCCATCTCTACTAAAAATACAAAATTGGCCGGGTGTTGTGGCGCACACCTATAATCTCAGCTACTCAGGAGGTAGAGGCAGGAGAATCGCTTTAATCCGGGAGGTTGTGGTGAGCCGAGATTGCGCCATTGCACTCCAGCCTGGGCAACAAGAGTGAAACTCTGTCTGAAAAAAAAAAAAAAAAAGAACTATGAACCAATACACCTTTAGTTTAGAGATAATAATTACCTTGCCACCATACAATCTGTTGAATAAGCAGGAGGCCATAAGCCTGATTTTGTCACCGCACTCCAGCCTGGGTGACAGAGTGAGACTCCGTCTCCAAAAAAAAAAAGAGGCCAGGCGCGGTGGCTTGTGCCTGTGATCCCAGCACTTTGGGAGGCTGAGGAGGGAGAGGAGATCGAGACCGTCTTGGCCAACATGGTGAAACCTCGTCTCTACTAAAATATAAAAAAAACAGCCAGGCATGGTGGCACGTGCCTATAATCCCAGCTACTTGGGAGGCTGAGGGGGAATCGCTTGAACCTGGGAGGCAGAGGTTGCAGTGACCTGCGATCGCGCCACTGCATTCCAGCCTGGCAACAGAGCAAGACTGTGTCTCAAAAAAAAAAAAAAAGAATTTTCAACCCAAAATTTCATATACAGCCAAACTAAACTTCGTAAGTGGAGGAGAAATAAAATCCTTACAGACAACCAAATGCTGAGAGATTTTGTCACCACCAGGCCTGCTTTACAAGAGCTCTCGAAGGAAGCACTAAACATGGAAAGGAAACAATTGGTACCAGTCACTGCAAAAACATACCAAATTGTAAAGAACATCAACACTATGAAGAAACTGCATCAATTAACAGGCAAAATAACCAGCTAGCATAATAATGACAGGATCAAATTCACACATAAATATATTAACCTCAAATGTTAATGGGCTAAATGGCCCAGTTAAAAGACACAGACTGGCAAACTGGATAAAGAGTCAAGGCTCATCAATGTGCTGTATTCAGGAAATCCATCTCACGTGCAAGGACACACATAAGCTCAAAATAAAGGGATGGAAGAATATTTACCAAGGAAATGGAAAGCAAAAAAAAGCAGGAGTTGCAATCTTTATCTCTTATAAAACAGACTATAGGCCAGGCGCAGTGGCTCACGCCTCTTATCCTAGCACTTTGGGAGGCCAAGGCAGGCAGATCACAAGATCAGGAGTTCAAGACCAGCCTGGCCAATAGGGTGAAACCCTGTCTCTACTAAAAACACAAAAATTAGCTGGGCATGGTGGCGGGTGCCTGTAATCCCAGCTACTTGGGAGGCTGAGGCAGGAGAATCACTTGAAACCGGAAGGCTGAGGTTGCAGTGAGCCGAGATTTCACTGCACTAAAAATTAAAAAAAAAAAAAAAAAAAGGACTTTAAACCAACAAAGGTCAAAAGAGACAAAGAAGGGCATTACATAATGGTAAAGGGATCAATGCAGCAAGAAGAGCTATCTTAAATATATATGCACCCAAATTCATAAAACAAGTTCTCAAGAGACCTACAAAGAGACTTAGACTCCCACACAATGATAGTGGGAGACTTTAACACCCCACTGTCAATACTGGACAGATAAATGAAACAGAAAATAAACAAGGATATTCAGGAGTTGAACTCAGCTCTGCACCAAGAGGATCTAATAAATATCTACAGAACTCTCCACCCCAAATCAACAGAATATACATTCTTCACAGCACCTCATCGCAATTATTCTAAAATTGACCACATAATTGGAAGTAAAACACTCCTCAGTAAATGCAAAAGAATGGAAATCATAACAAACAGTCTCTCAGACCACAGTGCAATCAAATTAGAACTGAGGATTAAGAAACTCACCCAAAATCGCACAACTACATGGAAACTGAACAACTTGCTCCTGAATGACTACTGGGTAAATAACAAAATGAAGCCAGAAATAAATATGTTCTTCGAAACCAATGAGAACAAAGACACAATGTACCAGAATCTCTGGGACACATTTAAAGCAGTGTGTAGAGGGAAATTTATGGCACTAAATGCCCACAAGAGAAAGCAGGAAAGATCTAAAATTGACACCCTATTATCAAAATTAAAAGAATTAGAGAACTAGAGAAGCAAGAGGAAACAAATTCAAAATCTAGCAGAAGATAAGAAATAACTAAGATCAGAGCAGAACTGAAGGAGATAGAGACACAAAAACCCTTCAAAAAAAATCAATGAAGCCAGGAGCTGGCTAATATCCAGAATCTACAAAGAACTTAAACAAATTTATAAGAAAAAAACAACCCCATCAAAAAAATGGGCAAAGGATATGAACACACACTTCTCAAAAGATGACATTTATGCGGCCAACATATGAAAAAAAGCTCATCATCACTGGTCATTAGGGAAATGCAAATCAAAACCACAATGAGATACCATCTCACTCCAGTTAGAATGGCGATGATTAAAAAGTCAGGAAACAACAGATGCTGAAGAGGATGTGGAGAAATAGGAACACTTTTACACTGTTGGTGAGAGTGTAAATTAGTTCAACCATTGTGGAAGACAGTGTGGCAATTCCTCAAGGATCTAGAACTAGAAATACCATTTGACTCACCAATCCCATTACTGGATATATACCCAAAGGATTATAAATCATTCTACTATAAAGACACATGCACATGTATGTTTACTGCATCACTATTCACAATAGCAAGACTTGGAACCAACCCAAATGTCCATTGATGATACACTGGATAAAGAAAATGTGGCACATACCACCATGGAATACTATGCATCCATAAAAAAGGATGAGTTTATGTCCTTCGCAGGGGCATGGATGAAGCTGGAAACCATCATTCTCAGCAAACTATCACAAGAACAGAAAACCAAACACCACATGTTCTCACTCATAAGTGGGAGATGAACAAGGAGAATATATGTACACAGGGAGGGGAACAGCACACACCAGGGCCTGTCAGAGGGTGAGGGGGGCTAGGGGAGGGATAGCATTAGGAGAAATACCTAATGTAGGTGACGGGTTGATGGGTGCAGCAAAGCACCATGGCACGTGTATACCTATGTAACAAAACTGCACATTCTGCACATGTACCCCAGAACTTAAAGTATAATAAAATGAATAATAAGAAACCAGCAGAGAAACTTACTGTTGTAATCATTCTTTGTGTAATCCCAACCAAACAGCAGCTAATTGTGAAGTCGAGTCCCATAGACTATATAGATGCTTGCTGACTTATGATGGGGTAGTGTCCTGACAAACCCACTGTAAGGTAAAAATACTAATAGAGGAAAATAATTTAACACACTTAACCTACCCAAGATCATAGCTTAGCCTATCCTACCTTAAACATGCTCAGAACACTCACATTAGCCTACAGACAGGCAAAATAAACACTGGCAACACAGTACACTGTAGAGTACTGTGACTGAGTGGCTGATTGGGACCCAGCCACTGCCCAGCATCACAAAAGGCTATTGCACTGTATGTCGCTAGCCTAGAAAAAGATCACAATGCAAAGCACAGTTTCTACTAAATGTGTTTCACTTTTGCATCCCTGTAAAAGTAAAAATATTTTAAGTCCAACCATCGTTAAGTGGGGGACCATCTGTACTTTTTTTTTTTAAGAGATGACAAAGAAACTGAAACAAGTAGAAATTAATGTTTGTTTATATTAAATTCCAAAAAATAATTTTCCTACTTAAAAAAGAAAAAGAAAAGTCTTATTGTGCCTACACTGACTGTTCTCCAAAGCTCAGGCTTCAGCAGCCATTTGTCATTCCTTCCACCAATACACCTCTATGTTCCAGAGCTTCAGCATTGCCAAATTCAAAACCTAATCTCAAGTCTGACCACCTCTGCCTTTCACCACAGTCACATATTTACAACCGCTTACAGCGCATCTCCATTTGGACACTTTTCCATTGGCCTATTCTTTTTTTTCTTTTGGGGGTCGGGGGGTAAGGTTGTAGATTAACAGCATCCCAAGGCAGAAGAATTTTTCTTAGTACAGAACAAAATGGAGTCTCCTATGTCTACTTCTTTCTACATAGACACAGTAACAATCTGATCTCTCTTTCTTTTCCCCACATTTCCCCCTTTTCTTTTTGACAAAACCGCCATCGTCGTCATGGCCCGTTCTCGATGGTCGCTGTCTCTTCAGAGCTATTGGGTACACCTCCCAGATGGGGCGGCCGGGCAGAGGCGCTCCTCACTTCCCAGATGGGGCGGCTGGGCAGAGGCGCTCCTCACTTCCCAGATGGGGTGGCCGGGCAGAGGCGCTCCTCACTTCCCAGACAGGGCGGCCGGGCAGGGGCGCTCCTCACTTCCCAGACGATGGGCGGCCGGGCAGGGGCGCTCCTCACTTCCCAGACGATGGGTGGCCGGGCAGGGGCGCTACTCACCTCCCAGACGGGGCGGCCGGGCAGAGACACTCCTCACCTCCCAGATGGGACGGCCGGGCAGAGGCGCTCCTCACTTCCCAGATAGGGCAGCCGGGCAGAGGCGCTCCTCACCTCCCAGACGAAGGGTGGCCATTGGCCTATTGTTAACAAATCCTTGTCATTATCTTTCCTTTCCTAATGTCATCAGGATAGCACCATCCTCAGACAAAAATCATAGAATCAGATGGCAGCAAATATGGCGGAGTAGAGAACACCAATGGTCTAACCCTCCAAAAAGCAACAAATACACTGGCAAATACTGTCAGAACCAACCTTCTCGAAACTCCCGAAACTAATGGAAAGCTTACAGCAATCAGGTAAATGTTTAGTCAAGAAAAAAAGAACTAAATCTCAGTAGGACAGTTTCGTGGCTTTTTAACTCACTCTTATCTACTTCCATGTTCCCCAGATGACCAGTGGCCTTGAAGACATCAGCCCACACTCCTGGTAGACATACTCAGTACCAGAGGGAACTGAATAGGCCTTATTCTTTAATAAAAAGAAAAAAAAAATTGGGGTTGTTTGTTATGACTTATTTGGTGATTTCCTGGAGGACAAGCTCAAAGGGACTGCCTTTCTCTTGCTTGACTTAGAACTCTCCCTGTGCTGAGGGGGCTATTTGGGAAACTTCAACAAAAATATGTAAAGCAAATGTTAGTCAGTGCTGCCTGGGGCAAGGGATATTGGGGGAAAACAACAGACTAACCAAAAAACTTGGGAGGAAAGTCTGGTGAATGTGATGCTCTGGTGAATAAAGCTTTGAAAAGCACCCACATATTTCTGGAAATCTAAAAGGTCATACACATGGCTACAAGTCTAAAATGTTAAGGAAGTTTAGATTCTAGCATCACTGCTTAGAGGAGATTACCCCCAGGAGAGCTGCCTCAACAGGAACATCTACAAACTATGTTTTAAGAACAAGACATACATTTTTATCATATTAAGCCACTAAGACTTTGGAATTATTTGTTATAGAGGCTGGCACTAATTATGTGAATAATACAGACTTGAAGGAATCTAAAAGACGTGTATGCCATTTTGCTGGAAAATAATAGAGAACTTATTTAAATAAAAATGTGTAACTTTATACTATGTTCTGTTCAATTAGAATCTCAGCAAGTATACTTTCCTTATACCATTGAATTGCTAACAGTAAACAGAAAAAAGAAAAAAACAGGTTGTTTACACGTGTATACATTTTTCAATAATTTACATTGAGCCTTACACTGTAACAATTTTAAAGCTTCATGAATCAAATTTTTATAAGTTGAAGTATTTTTAAATTAACTACAGAATGAAATAGTTTGTTCCTAAAAAGTTAGCTAAAGTTAAAAATCTCCTGTTAGTCCTATTTTATCACAGTTTAAGGTCATAGTCCATACACTGGGTTTCTTATAGTGATCCTGGTCTATATTATTTTTTAATTATTTTTTCCAATGACACTGGTCATGCATCTTTCCATTTCAAAGAATTACTCATAAACATGGGGAAACTCGCTGGGTGCAGTGGCTCACATCTGTAATCCCAGCACTTTGAGAGGCTGAGGCGGGTAGATCACCTGAGGTGAGTTTGAGACCAGCCTGGCCAACATGGTGAAACCCCGTCTCTATTAAAAATACAAAAATTAGCTAGCGTGGTGGCAGGCACCTGTAATCCTAGCTACTCAGGAGGCTGGGGCATGAGAATCGCTTGAACCCGGGAGACAGAGGTTGCAATGAGCCGAGATTGTGCCACTGCACTCCAGCCTGGGCAACAGAGTGAGACTTTGTCTCAAACAAACAAACAAAAACACGGGGAAACTAAGATGTTTATAGGATCAGAAGAAATGGAAACATTAAACAACAAAAAAAGGTTCATGGGTAAAAGCTTTCATATTCTATATTCGTGGAAATGTAACTGTTAGCCTGCTAAAAGTGTTCTCTCAATTAACCTAGCCCCCAAAAGGAAATTTTAAGACAAGTAACCTAGCAATGATTGTATTTTTTTTTTTATACTTTAAGTTAACCTGTGCACAACGTGCAGGTTAGTTACATATGTATACATGTGCCATGTTGGTGTGCTCATGGCACACCATGATTAACTCATCATGATTAACTCATCATTTAACATTAGGTATATCTCCTAATCCTATCCCTTCCCCCACCCCCCACCCCACAACAGGCCCCAGTGTGTGATGTTCCCCTTCCTGTGTCCATGTGTTCTCATTGTTCAATTCCCACCTATGAGTGAGAACATGCGGTGTTTGGTTTTTTGTCCTTGGGATAGTTTGCTGAGAATGATGGTTTCCAGCTTCATCCATGTCCCTACAAAGGACATGAAATCATTTTTTATGGCTGCATAGCATTTCATGGTATGCATGTGCCACATTTTCTTAATCCAGTCTATCATTGTTGGACATTTGGGTTGGTTCCAAGTCTTTGCTATTGTGAATAGTGCCACAATAAACATACGTATGCATGTGTCTTTATAGCAGCATGATTTATAATCCTTTGGGTATATACCCAGTAATGGGACTGCTGGGTCAAATGGTATTTCTAGTTCTAGATCCTTGAGGAATCACCACACTGACTTCCACAATGGCTGAACTAGTTTACAGTCCCACCAACAGTGTAAAAGTGTTCCTATTTCTCCACATCCTCTCCAGCACCTGTTGTTTCCTGACTTTTTAATGATCGCCATTCTAACTGGTGTGAGATGGTATCTCACTGTGGTTTTGATTTGCATTTCTGTAAGGATTCCCAGGGTTCTAACTAACTACAAGGTTGGAATTCCAATATACAACCCACCTTGTTTGTCAGGAAATAGAAGGGAACTGTCACAGCAAGGATACCAGGTACAGAAGTCTAACTTGAAAAAGTCTAGAGAATGTAAAAAAGAATCAACTCAGGAAGCCAGTAAAATGACAACTTTTGAAATTCTTTTAGTACTCTACTAGACAATTAGTATCCAGAGTCAAATGTCAGTACCCCAGGGATACAGAGATTATACACAGCAAGGCAATCCACTAGGGTAAGGGGAAAAATAACAGAATTCGTATTTAAAATTTCTGGTTAGAAAACCAAACACCACATGTTCTCACTTAAAAGTGGGAGGTGAACAATGAGAATACATGGACACAGGGAGGGGCCTGTCAGGGGCTGGGGGACTGGGGGAGGGATAGCATTAAGAGAAATACCTAATGTAAATGACGAGTTGATGGGTGCAGCAAACCAACATGGCACATGTATACCTGTGTAACAAACCTGCACGTTGTGCGCATGTACCCCAGAACTTAAAAGTATAATTAAAAACATAATTCACTCTAAAAAAATATATATGTAAAACATTAAAAAAGAAATTTTTTTTATTAATATTTATAGATTATCCTTAGCATCCTCATGACTGTGTAACATACAGTCTAGGACATGTAGAATACAGGCAATAAATAATATGAGGGAAGAACAGAAGTTCTCCTGTTCCCCTGCACTGAAGAAACCTCCACCTATACCCCTGTATTTACTTTTGATGTATGCTATTTATATGTGCTACAGTTTGATATGTCAGTTAAATGGATTTAAATTTATATTATCTAGTTTAATTAAACTAACCCCTAAAATGGACAGATAACTTCAAAAGATGCCCATAAAGAATGTTCTGAAGACAACATTAACAATGCAAGCACAAGCAAAAGATAACAGTGGAGAATACTTTTCCAACTATTAGTGCAAGCTCATCAGCCACATTAATGAGGTAAAAACAATGGCAATAATGTACACCTGATATGGTGGGAATGGCACTTTACCTCTATGGCTTTCATCCCACCAACTCAAAACCCCAGTTTTTTCATGAGAAAGACATTAGAGAAATCCCAGCTGGGGGACATTCTACAAAAGACTATGTGTACCTTCAAAACTGTCAAGGTCATCAAAAACAGGGAAAGGCTGAGAAACTCTCACAGCCTAGAGCGCTAAGGTGACATGACAACTAAATATAATGTGATCTCCTGGGTGGAATCCTGGAACAGAAAAAGGTCATTAGGCTAATGACCTAAGTTAATGTGAATAAAGACTAGGCTAAATGTGAATAAGAATGGACTTTAGTTAGCAATACTGTGTCAATATTAGTTCATTAGTTATGACACACGTACCATACTTTTTAAAAAAATGGCAATATAATTAAGTCTAAAAACAACCTAAAACTTTCAAAAATATCAAGAAGACTACTTGGAATGCAAATTGATATCTACTTTATTAATGAACACTCCCCACTAGGTAATGTATCATGCTTCGGATATTAGCTAATTGTAAGACAGTTCAGAATTTATAATATATATAAATATATATGCTCCAAAAGTTTAGAGACTACAATTCTAGAAAATAAGTAGTCACCATGTAAATAACTAGATGTGATACTACTGTCCATATATCCCCAGTTACTTATTGTATATACACCAAATATCAAATGCTAAGGATATAAAGATGATCTCACAATTTCTGATTTAAAGCAGCTTATAATTTAGTGGGAAAGCAAACAAGTAATAAGGTAGTTAATCACCACACAATATAATGAAGAGCAGCAAGTGCATAATAATTGCCATAAATAGAAATGAACAAAGTTCAGTGGGAGCACTTGGGCTGAGAAATGAGGCATGGGGCAGAAAAGGTTTCCAGGAAAATGTGCCATCTAAGCTAAGTCTAAAAGGATAAGAAGTTGGCCAAGCTAAATCAAAGGAAGGTGTTCAAGAAACAAGGACCAGTATGCACAGGAGTCCAGAGCTACACTGTCCAATAGAGAAGCCACAAACCAAGATGACTACTGAGCACTTGAAACATTATTACTGAGACTGAATGAGGAACTCAATTCTTGATTTGATTTCATTTTAATTTAAATTTAAATTTTAAAATTGAAGCAATGCAGCACAGAAAAGATATTAATGCTCCCCAAATTGACCTCGTTTAATGCAATTCCAATCAAAATCCCAGATATGTTTTTTGTACATAAAGACAAGCTTATTATAAAATGTACAGTGGAAAATAAGGTTCTATTATAGCCAAAGCAATTTTGAAATAGATGAATTAAGTGAAAGGAGTAACTCTTTCTGATGTTAAGGATTAATGTATTGCCACAGGTAACAAGGCAGTGTGACAGCTAACAGACATGGAATAGAAAGAAAACACTAGACTGACAAATATGCCTAATTGATTTTTTACTAAGGTACCCGAGTAATTAAATGCAGGAGAAATAGTCTTTTAACAAATTACGCTGAAGCAACTGGATATCCCTAAGCAAAAAATAAATAAACCTTGACCTAAAACTTCAAATCATATGGAAAAGTTAATTCAAAATAGATCATGGGCTTAAATGTAAAACATAAAGTTATCAAAAATAAAAATAAAAACAAAAAACAAAACAGGAGCAAATCTTCAGGACCTAGAAGTAGGTAAAGAGTTCTTATACTTGACACCAAAAGAATAACCCCAAAAAGGAAAAAATGATAAACTGGGTTTCATCAAAATTTAAAACTTCTGCTCTGAAAAAGACTGTGTTAAAAGGATAAAAAAACAAACTACAGCCTAGGAGAAAATATTTGCAAACCACATAACTGACAAAGGACTAGCATTTAGAATGTATCAAAAACTCTCAAAATTGGAAAAAAAAAATCCAATTGGAAAATGGGCAAAATAAATGAGCAACATTTCACCAAAGACAATATAAAGGTGAAAAATAAGCACAAGATGTTCATCATCACTAGTCATTAGTGTCAGGCCTCTTAACCCAAGCTAAGCCATTGTGACCTGCACATATACATCCAGATGGCCTGAAGCAAATGAAGATCCACAAAAGAAGTGAAAATAGCCTTAACTGATGACATTCCACCATTGTGATTTGTTTCTGCCCCACTCTAACTCATCAATGTACTTTGTAATCTCCCCCACCCTTAAGAAGGTTCTTTGTAATCTCCCCCACCCTTAAGAAGGTTCTTTGTAATTCTCCCCACCCTTGAGAATGTACTTTATGAGATCCACCCCCTGCCTGCAAAACATTGCTCCTAACTCCACCGCCTATCCCAAAACCTATAAGAACTAATGATAATCCCACCACCCTTTGCTGACTCTCTTTTTGGACTCAGCCTGCCTGCACTCAGGTGAAATAAACAGCCTTGTTGCTCACACAAAGCCTGTTTGGTGGTCTCTTCACACGGATGCATGTGACAATTAGGAAAACATGAATTAAAACACGAGATATCACTATACACCTTAATTAAAACAGCCAACATCCAAAACACTGAGACCACCAAAATGCTGGCAAGGATACACTACAGAAACTCTCATTCACTGCTGGTGGAAATGTAAAACGGTCACTAAAACGCTGGCAAGGATATGCTACAGAAACTCTCATTCACTGCTGGTGGAAATATAAAATGGTCACCAAAACGCTGGCAAGGATATGCTACAGAAACTCTCATTCACCGCTGGTGGAAATGTAAAATGGTACAGCCACTTTGGAAGACACTTTACAATTTCTAACAAAACTAAACATACTCTTACCATATGATCCAGCAATTGCATTCCTTGGTATTTATCCAAAGAAGTTGAAAAATTATGTACACTCAAAACCCTGCAAACGGATGTTTACTGCAGCTTCATTCATAATTGACAAAACTTGGAAGCAACCAGGATATCCTTCAGTAGGTAAATGAACAAACTGCAGTACACCCAGACAATGAAATATTTATCAGAGCTAAAAAGAAATGATCAAGCCATGAAAAGACACATAGGAAACTTAAACGCATATTACCAAATAAAAGCAGCCAAGAAGCCAATTTGAAAAGGCTACATTCTGTATGATTCCAACATGTAACACGCCAGAAAAGGCAAAACTAGGGTGAGAGTACACAGATCAGTGGAGAAACCACCTTTGCAAAAATTACAAGTGAGAAAATTATGACAGCAAAAGAGATATGACCTAATCAACTGCATCGTGACTTTAACCTCCCAACTGCCCTTGTTCATTCCTAGGTGTAGGTCTAGCTAACTTTGTGAGGAATTTACACTTTAATTTTGAAACAAAGACAGTGACAGGCCCTCCCCAAAACAAACATCCTCCTTGCTTGGAGACTAGATCACCTTTGTAAAACTAACAAATTTGCCACAAAATAAGAAATAATGGCTCAGGGCCAGATGCAGTGGTTCATGCCTGTAATCCCAGCACTTTGGGAGGCCATGGCGGGCATGGCGGGAGACCATTGCTTGAGGTCAGGAGTTCAAGACTGGCCAAGATGGCAAAACCCTGTCTCTACTAAACCACCACGCCTACAAAAATTTGCTGGGCATGGTGGCACACATCTGTAGTCCCAGCTACTCAGGAGGCTGAGGCACAAGGATCGCTTGAACCTGGGAGGCAGGGGTTGCAGTGACCTGAGATTGCGCCATTGCAATCCAGCCTGGGCGAAAGAGCGAGACTCCATCTCAAAATAAATAAATAAATAAATAAATAAACAAAATAATGGCTCAGAAGTCACGCAGTCAGAGGCCATAAACTTCCTAACCTCCTCAATTGCTCCTATGGATAACATTACTACTGTAAAACCTAAGACTGATGTTTGACATATTTTTCAGACCCTGCATTCTAATGGATCCACTGGTGTTACCCAGACCCATAAACTGGGATATCTGGTCTTGTGACCTCCCACCCAGGAACTGACTCCATGCAAGAGGACAGATTCAACTCCCTATTATTTCATCCCTAACTTAACCAATCAGCATTTCCCATTCCCTAGTCCATGCCTGCCAAACTATCTTTCAAAAACCCTAGCTTCCAAATTTTCAGGGAGGCTGATATGAGTAATACCAAAACTCCAGTCTCCAATTTAGTTGGCTCTATGTGTATGAAACAGTTTCTCTATTGCAATTCCCATCTTGATAAATTGGCTTCATCTGGCAGAAGGCAAGTAGAACCCATTGGGGGTTACAGTTGTGGGTTATCAGAGGTTGGTGAGGGGGATGAACCGGCAGGGCAGAGAGAATTTTTAGGGCAGTGAAAATATACTATATACTACTATAAAGATGGATACATGTCGTTATACATTTGTCTAAACTCACAGAAAGTAAGAAAACAAGAGTAAACCCTACATGTAAATGATGAACTCTGGGTGATCTTAATGTGTCAATGTAGTATTGGGGCTCAGAAAATGATACCCCAAAGTAAGGCTCTTTGGTATCATGACTGGGGAACAGCAGGGAACCAGTGGATGCAAGCTGAAGTTTTCTCTGAGGACCCCTAATCTGCCTAAAGATGGATCTGGAAAGACCGTACCACAGGAAAAAGAGACTAAAGGTTGGCCGAGCGTGGTGGCTCATGCCTGTAATCCCAGCACTTTGGGAGGCCGAGGCAGGCAGATCACGAGGTCAGAAGATTGGGACCATCCTGGTGAACACTGTGAAACCCCGTCTCTACTAAAAATACAAAAAAATTAGCCAGGCATGGTGGCAAGCGCCTGTAGTCCCAGCTACTCGGGAGGCTGAGGCAGGAGAATGGCAGGAACCCGGGGGGCAGAGCTTGCAGTGAGCGGAGATTGTGCCACTGCACTCCAGCCTGGGGGACAGAGGGAGACTCCAACTCAAAAAAAAAAAAAGGACTAAAGGTTAGCAACCTCACCCAGAGCAGCTTTACCCATTCTTTGGAGGGCTGCTCCCCGAGATATTTTAATCTATGTAGCAAGACAACCTTTGTTCCCTAGATTTCTTCCCCTCACCCTCCCAAAGCCTGTCTGTCCTCACCTCCACTCCCTAGAAGCCCCAAGCCCCTATTTCTTTCTGCAGCTACAGATATTATAAAAATTCCAATCATCTGGCCTTTCTGAGTCTTTTATTTTGTGAGACTCTCGTGTATATGCACATAATAAATCCGTATGCCTTTCTCCTATTAATCTGTCTGCTTTCAGTTTATCACAGATTCAACTACAGAAACTTCGGAGTGTGCAGTAAAAGTTCCCGTCACCCCTACAGTTTGTTCATCTATTGTAACAAATGTACTACTCCAGTGGGGGATGCTGATAATGGGAGAGGTTATGCATATGTTGGGGCAGAAGGTATATGGAAAATCTCTGTGCTTTCCTCTTAATTTTGCCAAGAACCTAAAACTAATCTTAATATATTAAGTCTTAAAACACACTAACAAACAACTGACAGCCAGGCGCAGTGGTGCAGGCCTGTAGTCCCAGCTACTGAGTATTTTAACCCCGCTATTCAGACTACTGATCAGAAAAAGATTCCTAGGCCGGGTGCGGTGGCTCACACCTGTAATCCCAGCACTTTGGGAGGCCATGGCGGAAGGATCACAAGGTCAGGAGATCGAGACTATCCTGGCTAACAAGTGAAATCCCGTCTCTACTAAAAATACAAAAAATTATCCGGGTGTGGTGGTGGGCGCCTGTAGTCCCAGCTACTCGGGAGGCTGAGGCAGGAGAATGGCGTGAACCCGGGTGGCAGAGCTTACAGTGAGCTGAGATCAGGCCACTGCACTCCAGCCTGGGGGACAGAGCGAGACCCCATCTCAAAAAAAAAAAAAAAAAAAGGAAAAAAAGATTCCTTTCAAAATATTACTGCTCACTGACAATGCACCTGGTCACCCAAAAGCTCTGATGGAGCTATACAAGGAGATTAATAATGTTTTCATGCCTACTAATACAACAACCATTATGTAGCCCCACGGATCAAGTAATTTTGACTTTCAAGTCTTATTTTAAAAATACATTTTGAAAGACTATAGCTGACATAGATAGTGATTCCTCTGATGGATCTGGACAAAGTAAATTGAAAAACTCCTGGAAAGGATTCACCATTCTAGATGCGATTAACAGCATTTGTGATTCATGGGAGCAGATCAAACTATCAACATTAACAGGAGTTTGGAAGAAGCTGATTCCAACCCTCATGGATGACTTTGAAAAGTTTGAGAATTCAGTGGAGTAAGTAACTGCAGATGTGGTGGAAACAATAAGAGAACTCTACTTCAGAAGTGGAGCCTGAAGATGTAACTGACTTGCTGTAATCTGATTATAAAAGTTGAATGGCTGAGTTCTCTCTTATGGATGAGCAAAGAAAGTGATTTCTTCAAATGGAATCTACTCCTGGCAAGGATGCGTGAACAGTGCTGAAATGACAACAAAGGATTTAGAATATTACATAAACTTAATTGATAAAGCAGCAAGAGGACTTTGAGGGGATAGACTTCAACTTTGAAAAAAATGACTACTGTGCATAAAATGCCATCAAACAGCATTGCATGCTACAGATCAATCTTTCCTGAAAGTGTCAATTAATGCAGCACACTTTATTGTGGTCTTATTTTAAGAAATTGCCACAGCTACCCTAAACTTCAGCAACTACCCCCCTCATCATTCAGCAGCCGTCAACATTGAGGCAAGATTCTTGATCAGTAAAAATATTATGACTTGCTGACAGACAATCATTAGCATTTTCAGCAATATTTTTAAATTAAGGCATGTATATTCTATTTTAAGACAATGCTACGACACACTTAGTAGATAATAGTGTAAACATAACTTTTATATGCATTGGGAAACCAAAAAACCCACATGGCTCATTTTATTGCAATATTTGCTTTTTATCACAATATCTCCAAGGTATACATGTGCAGTTTGCTCCTACTACAGTGGTTTTGCCATTTAGTATATAGTACAAATCTGCAACTATGTATTGTTTGGCAATGCTTTTTATTTTGCAACTAACCCTTCTGGCACCAGTAAGCTTTAAAAAAAAAAGTGTATCTTGAGTGAAAAACTGAAATTTTTATTTCTAAAAACCAGTTGATAATAAACATGCAACATGGAGACTACTCCAATCTCACAGACTAAATGTATATCAAAAGACACAAATCAGCCAGGCACGGTGGCTCACACCTGTAATCCCAGCACTTTGGGAAGACAAAGCGGAAGAATCGCTTGAGCCCAGGAGTTCAAGACCAAAACCTGGGTAACATAGTGAGACCCATGTCTCTACAAAAAAAATAGAAAAAAAATAGCCAGGTGTGATGGTGCACGCCTGTAGTCCCAGCTACTCAGGAGGCGCAGGTGGGAGGATCACTTTGGCCTGGGAAGTTGAGGCTGCAGTGAGCCAAAATCATGCCACTGCACTCCAGCCTGTGAGACAGAGTGAGATCCTGTTTCAGAAAAAAAAAAAAAAAGACACAAATCTACTGATTGTGCATCAGAATCTACTTTTTAAATTACTGTACATGGAGACAATAGGTATAGCTACAGATAATATATATTTACATATTACACTGAGAAGCACAATTTTTTCATTTAGATCAAATCACTAATCATCTAAGTTAATTTCACTCATTTTTATTCTAGGTTATCTTACGCACATATAAAAAGTAAAGCAATAGTTGTTAGACTGTTAACAAAAGAACTACTTTGAAAAAAGTTGAATGCTGTTAGCTTTATATCAGTGATAGTAGATGCTTCAAATGGAAAAACCAGTTAAATTAAATCTAGGAACAGGGTGAATTGTTTATCAAATTCATGGAGTCAAAGTAAAACTACTGGTGACTATTTGTTTATTTTTATTTTTAAGAGACAGGGTCTTGCTTTTTCGCCCAGGCTGGAGTACAGTAGGGCAATCATAGCTGGCTTCAGCCTCAAACTTCTGGGCTCAAGCAATCCTCCAGCCTCGGCATCCTGGGCAGCTGGGCCTACAGGCATGAGCTGTCATGCCTGGCTAATTTTTAAAACATTGTTGTAGAGACAAGGTCTCACTTTGTTGCCCAGACTGGTCTCCATCTCCTGGCTTCAAGTGGCCCTCCCGCTTCAGCCTCCCAAAGTGCTAGGATTATAGTTGCAAGCCACTGTGCCCGGCTGGAAATTCATTCTTAAAGGTGAAACATCTGATGTTATCGTGTTATTGTAAATTCAGTTTTTAAAAAGTTCAGCAGTGGCTCACATCTGTAATCCTAGCACTTTGGGAGGCTGAGGTGGATCACTTGGGGTCTGGAGTTCGGGACCAGCTTGACGACATGGTGAAACCCCGTCTCTACAAAAATTATCTGAGCATGGTAGCATGTGCCTGTAATCCCAGCTACTTGGGAGGCTGAGGTATGAGAATTGCTTGAACCTGGGAGTGAGAGAGGTTGCCGTGAGCCTGCACTGCAGCCTGGGAGACACGGCAAGACTCTGTCTCAAAAAACATAAAAATAAAAATAAATAAATAAATAAAAAGTTCACCACTGAAGATAAAATTATTTTTTACAGTGATAACACATTTTGGTGGAGCAGAGTACCAAAGTAAGAAACAATGTTCTTATTAGAGTCTTTGAGAGGAATGTACATGCAATTGGTGGTGCGTACACAATTTATAACCATGCCCAAACTGTGACATTCTAATAATCAAAACAGAATCTGCTGTCAAATTGACACTTGGCTAAAAATCTGTATTTATACAGTAAGAGTAATATATAAAATTTTTGTAACAAGACTGCTATTGAGCACAAGCACTCCCCCATGGCAGCATGAGCTTTCCTTTTGGGCTGCCTATCATATAGATTTTAGAAACCCTGGAGCCTTTTCAGAACTAATTTGCAAATCAACCTAAGTACCCTACAATGATGCTGAAATTTCTTATAAACTAGTTCCCTAGATTTTGGTTGCATTTTGTTCAAATCAGTAGGAATTATTTAATCAAAGTACTGGACAAATAAACAAAAAGCTTAAGCTTTTAATGAAGTGTTTTTGAAAACAAAGCTTATAACTAGAAGACAAATTTACTGAAAGAAGAAACAATGAATTATGAGAGCACAAATAATGCACAAGATCTAATTTTGAAATTCTATAATTGTGTATCTATCTCAACTTCTGAAAACAATCTTTTGAAGGAACTCCTAGTTATAACTGCGTATACTTATATTCATACCCAAATAGAAGAAAATTGAAAAGGCCTATGATTTTGAAGCATGTGAATTTGGCAAAACGTTTAAAATAATCCTAAATACAGATAATTTATCTGACAAGTTTTATCCTACAGAAATATCTGTCAGAGAAAACTAATCTAAATGGAGACAATAAGAGTACCTATTGGCCGGGCGCAGTGGCTCACGCCTGTAATCCCAGCACTTTGGAAGGCTGAGGTGGGTGGATCACGAGGTCAGGAGATCAAGACTATCCTGGCTAACACGGTGAAACCCCGTCTCTACTAAAAATACAAAAAATTAGCCAGGCGTGAGAATGGCATCAACCCGGGAGGTGGAGTTTGCAGTGAGCCCAGATTGCGCCACTGCACTCTGGCCTGGGCGACAGAGTGAGACTCCATCTCAAAAAAAAAAAAAAAAGGTACCTATTAAAATCTTTGGGCTTAACTATTTATAATTTAAATGCAAAAAAATATTGATTTGAGAATCTCCTCCATTGGGCAAAATTTGCTGAGTTTCTTTGGTATCCCAATATCTATAGCAGAATAGTTTTCTCTATTAATCATAAAATGTAACTTCAAAAAAGATATCAGGCAATTAAAAAAATTAAAACCAAATTGCAAAATCTGTATTCTTCAGAGAAAAAAAGTGACACTGTATTACAGACAGGAACAGATAGAAAGTACATAAATATGTCTCAAGAACAATTATTTTATGTTCTTTTTGTAACATTTATACGATCACAATAAAAAGTGTTTTGCCTTCAAATATACAAATGTTTTATATTTTGGAAAATTTTTGAGAAGTTATAAAGAACTGTTTCATAGTTCTAACAACATAATAAACACAATTTATATGTCAATAAATACACATTTCAAAAATGTGTGTATGATGTGATTTTAGTGCTTCTTTTACTCCCACAAATGTCACAGTTTTGACAACAAATTATACAACCAAACTAATAATAGACAGGACAAAACATCAGCACATTTAAAAAGGCCAGAATATTACTGGCCAAAAATAAAAAATGTCATGTTATCTCTTTGCTTTTTAAACTAAATTATCTGTCATCTAGCGTTCAAAAGTGGGGGGGGGAAAGCCTATTTAAGTTTTCACAAAATTTCCAAATCTCTATTTTTATCTTTTCCAGGTCATCAATGATATAACTCATAATTTCACAATTAATCTGCTAACTATAAAGCTGCATCTTCCTTAAAATTTTTATTATAAATATATTTTATTGTAGTAAGAACTACAAAAATTTACTCAAAAACAATCATGTGTTTGATGGCTATCTGCCTTCCAAGACTGGGAAATCCCGAAAACGAAGATTCTCTCTCTGTTGGGGTTTTGAATTACTATGAATCATCAGGCTATAGAGCAGGATCTGAAACATGGAAGGCATTTAATAAATGTTTATTGAATGAAATAATTTCTTCAATTAAGACAAAGAAAATTTAAGAGAACACTTGACAGCGACAGGGAAAGGAAGCAAGATTCAAAATGGTAATGAGACCATGAAGTGGTCATTCAAAATTCTAGGTAACACAAAAGAATGTATGTTGAACCAATTCCTTAATTTCTAAAATAAAGTCAAATAAAATTTCACATATTGGGTTTCATATATTCATCTAGAACTGGTAAATAAATGCCTTCAGTATCCCTTAAACTTACTAAGAAAAATGACTTTTACCAAACCAATTATTTAAACACTATTCAGTGATTACTCATGAAGCCTTCAAAAATGGATTAACATTGTATATAGTAGAAAAAATATTTACTCCCTTTTAAAATTAGTTAAAACATATATATAAAATAGTTAAAGTGGCAACAAATCTGTAACAGACAATTCAAATATGAAATGTACTAGTCAGAATGTAAAAAGACAAATACTACTTCAGATAAAATTTAGTTTTCATTTAGTTACATCTTCCCAGACATAAGTATCTTCTGCCATCATGTGGAAATTTCTGAAATTACATGTACACACAAAATTAATGTTATCAAGCTCCTAGAACTGATAAAGGAATTCAGCAAAGTTTCCAGATACTAGATTAATGTACACAAATCAGTAGCTCTTCAATACACCAATAGCGACCAAGTGGAGAATCAAATCAAGAACTCAACTCCTTTTACAATAGCTGCAAAAAAAAAAAAACAAAAAATACTTAGGAATATACCTAACCAAGGAGTTGAAAGACCTCTACAAAGAAAACTACAAAACACTGCTGAGAGAAATCACAGATCACACAAAGGGAAACACACCCCATGCACATGGATGGGTAACATCAATATTGTGAAAATGACCATACTGCCAAAAGCAATCTACAAATTCCGTGCAATCCCCATCAAAATATCACCATCATTCTTCACAGAATTACAAAAAACAATTCTAAAATCCATATGAAACCAAAGAAGAGCCCACATAGCCAAAGTAAACTAAGCAAAAAGAACAAATCTGCAGGCATCACACTATGATTTCAAACTGTGAGACCACAGTCACCAAAACAGCATGATACTGGTATAAAAACAGGCACATAGACCAATGGGACAGAATAGGGAACCCAGAAATAAACCCAAATATTACAGCCAACTGATCTTCGACAAAGCAAACAAAAAAGTAAAGCAGGGAAAGGACAACTTTTTCAACAAATGGTGCTAGAATAATTGGCTAGCCACATGTAAGAGAATGAAACTGGATCCTCATCTCTTGCCTAATACAAAAATCAACTCAAGATGGATCAAGGACTTAAACCTAAGACCTGAAACTATAAAAATCCTAGAAGATAACACTGGAAAAACCTTTCTAGACATTGGCTTAGGATTTCATGACCAAGAACCCAAAAGCAAATGCAATAAAAACAAAGATAAATAGCTGGGACCTAATTAAACTGAAGAGAAAAGGACAGTCAGCAAACAGACAACACACAAGAGTGGGAGAAAATCTTCACAATCTATACATCTGACAAAGGTCTAATAACCAGAATCAACAATGAACTCAAACAAATCAGTAAGAAAAAAACAAACAATCCCATCAAAAAGAGTAAAGAATGTAAGTAGACAATTCTCAAAAGAAGATATACAAAAGGCCGATGACCATATGAAAAAACGCTCAGCATCACTAATGATCAGGGAAATGCAAATCAAAACCACAATGTGATACCATCTTGCTCCTGCAGGAATGGCCATAATAAAAAAAATAAAAAAATAATAGATGTTGGCGTGGATGCGGTGATCAGCGGACACTTCTACACTGCTGGTGGGAATGTAAACCAGTACAGCCACTATGGAAAACACTGTGGAGATTCCTTAAAGAATTAAAAGTAGAACTACCATTTCATCCAGCAATCCCACTACTGGGTATCTACCCAGAGGAAAAGATAATCTTTTTCATTATTTGAAAAAGATACTTGCACATGCATGTTTATAGCAGCACAATTCACAATTGCAAAATAGTGGAACCAACCCAAATGCCCATCAATCAATGAGTGGATAAAGAAACTGGTATACACACACACACACACACACACACACACACACACAGTGGAACACTACTCAGCCCTAAAAAGGAATGAATTAACAACATTTGCAGTGACCTGGATGAGACTGGAGACTATCATTCCAAGTGACGTAACTCACGAATGGAAAAACAAATATTGTATGTTCTCACTGATATGTGGGAGCTAAGCTGTGAGGATGCAAAGGCTATAAGAATGATACAATGGACTTTGGGGACTTGGGGGAAAGAGTGGGAGGGGTGTGAGGGATAAAAGACTACAAATATGGTGCAGTGTATACTGCTCGGGTGATGGGTGGACCAAAATCTGACAAATCACCGCTAAAGAACTTACGCATGTAACCAAATACCACCAGTACATCAATAACTTATGGAAAAAGAAAAAAAAATTAATGTATCAGACTAGGGTATTAGCTTACCCTAGCAGTCTCTAATATTTGAAAAGATTAATCCAGTTTTTAAACAAAGTAAATATTCTTAGAAGAATTTAAGAAGGGGCTGGGAGTGGTGGCTGACTCCTGTAATCCCAGCACTTTGGGAGGTGGAGGTGGGTGGATCACTTGAGGCCAGGAGTTCGAGACCAGCCTGGCCAACATGGTGAAACTTCCTACTAAAAATACAAAAATTCGCCAGATGTGGTGGCGTCTGCCTGTAATCCCAGCTACTCGGGAGGTTGAGGCGGGAGAATCGCTTGAACCCAGGAGACAGAGGTTGCAGCAGTGAGCCAAGATCACACCACTGCACTCCAGCCTGGGCAACAGAGTGAGACTCTGTCTAAAAAAAAAAAAAAAAAAAAAAAAAGAATTTAAGAAGAAAATAATCCTGTAAAGTTGCTCCTTCTTCCTGAGAGAAGATAGTGGTGTTCATTTGTACCTTAAGGAAACTGCATGCAGACACTCTGTTTCATTTTCTTTCCAAGACTCAGCAGTTATGGCTCTTCTAGGCCTTTTCCACTTCAAGATCTTAAATTCCTTAAATACTGTCTCCTTTTCTCTCCCTGACTTTAGGCACTTAAAACCCTATAATAAATCGGAAAAGAAACAGGAGTATTAAGCTACTTTAACTTGTTCTGAATAATTAGAAACTAGAGATGCTTGATACTAGTTCTATAAAGACAAAAGCTTATTAATAGCCAAATAGCAAAAAAACAAAATTAAAAACTGAACCAGCTATGCATACAATCATATGCCTAATGGGTTGACAGTATTATCTACATAAAGACATGAATTAAAGTGCTTGGAATAAGCCTAATGCCCTAAATTCTCACATATTTATAAAATACAATTTCAGAATTTAAGACTTTGTTTACATTATTAATCTTTATAAACACTACAATTCAGGCCAGGCGCGGTGGCTCACGCCTGTAATCCTAGCACTTTGGGAGGCCGAGGTGGGCAGATCACGAGGTCAGGAGTTTGAGACCAGCCTGGCCAATATAGTGAAATGCCGTCTCTACTAAAAATACAAAAAATTAGCTAGGCGTGGTGGTATGCGCCTGCAATCCCAGCTACTCGGGAGGCTGAGGCAGGAGAATTGCTTGAACTCGGGAGGCAGAGGTTGGAGTGAGCCACGATCACACCACTGCACTCCAGCCCAGGCAACAGGGCGAGACACTGTCTCAAAAAAAAAAAAAAAAAAAAAAAAAAAAAGACAACAATTCACACATTTCATTGCTCAACTTTTTATCCAGCTGTGGTAATTAGCATATTTGGTCTTTGTCAAAAAATAATCACTCATTTTTCTTTTGGGGGAGAAAAAGACTTACTGAACATCTATTAAAACATACTACTGTCCCATTAATTTTACAAAGATAAGTAGAACATTGTTTTTGTTCTCAATGAACTTACCATCAACTAGTGGCAAAAAGGTGTACATAAGTAACTATAATACAATGTAGATAACATTAAGTACCAAAAGAGACTGTAATCCCAGCACTTTGGGAGGCCAAGGCAGGAGGATCACGAGGTCAGGAGATAGAGACCATCCTGGCTAACACAGTGAAACCCCATCTCTACTTAAAAATACAAAAAAATTGCCAGGTGTGATGGCAGGCGCTAGTCAGTAGAGCATGAGACTCTTAATCTCAGGGTCGTGGGTTCGAGCCCCACATCGGGCGCCAGATATCGGGGGAAATTCACCCCCGATATTTCATGTAGGTTCTTTTCTATTTTCCCTAAGTGTTGGCCAGTCTGAGAAATAAAGGGAAAGAGTACAAAAGAGAGAAATTTTAAAGCTGGGTGTCCGGGGAAGACATCACATGTTGGCAGGTTCCGTGATGCCCCCTGAGCTGTAAAACCAGCAAGTTTTTATTAGTGATTTTCAAAAGGGGAGGGAGTGTACGAATAGGGTGTGGGTCACAGAGATCACATGCTTCACAAGGTAATAAGATATCACAAGATAAATGGAGGCAGGGCGAGATCACAGGACCACAGAACTGGGGTGAAATTAAAATTGCTAATGAAGTTTCCGGCACGCATTGTCATTGATAACATCTTATCAGGAGACAGTGTTTGAGAGCAGACAACCGGTCTGACCAAAATTTATTAGGTGGGAATTTCCTCGTCCTAATAAGCCTGGGAGTGCTATGGGAGACCGGGGCTTATTTCATCCCTCAGCTATGACCGTAAAAGACAGCCATCCCCAAAGCAGCCATTTCAGAGGCCTCCCCTCAGGGATGCATTCTCTTTCTCAGGGATGTTCCTTGCTGAGAAAAAGAATTCAGCGGTATTTCTCCCATTTGCTTTTGAAAGAAGAGAAATATGGCTCTGTTCCGCCCGGCTCACTGGCAGTCAGAGTTTAAGGTTATCTCCCTTGTTCCCTGAACATTGCTGTTATCCTGTTCTTTTTTCAAGGTGCCCAGATTTCATATTGTTCAAACACACATGCTCTACAAACAATTTGTGCAGTTAACGCAATCATCACAGGGTCCTGAGGCGACATACATCCTCCTCAGCTTGCGAAGATGACGGGATTAAGAAATTAAAGACAGGCATTGGAAATCACAGGGTATCGATTGGGGAAGTGATAAGTGTCCATGAAATCTTCACAATTTATGTTCAGAGATTGCAGTAAAGACAGGCGTAAGAAATTATAAAAGTATTAATTTGGGGAACTAATAAGTGTCCATGAAATCTTCACGATTTATGTTCTTCTGATATGGCTTCAGCTGGTCCCTCCATTCGGGGTCCCTGACTTCCTGCAACATGTAGTCCCAGCTACTCAGGAGGCTGAGGCAGGAGAATGGTGTGAACCCGGGAGGCGGAGCTTGCAGTGAGCCAAGATCACGCCACTGCCCTCTAGCCTGGGTGACAGAGCGAGACTCCATCTCAAAAAAAAAAAAAAAAAAAATACTACCAAAAGAGAAAAATACAACTTGAGGGAAATTTAAGACATAGAGATTTCTTACCATTTGAAGAATTAATCAATTAAGAATTGACAGCACCATATGAAGGTTGTTTTGAAAGACACTTTAGGGTTTGGCCATGCAGACAAAGACAGTAAAACATTAAGCCAAATGAACAGTCAGAGTCAAAACAACTTGAGGCCACTTTCAGAGAGCAATGCTCAGTTAAGTGACTAGAACATAGAATTCATGACAAAGAACATTGAGATAAAGGTAGGAAAAATATATTCGGGCCAGATTTTGCACAGTTTTTAATGTCACGTTAAAGAGAGGTCAATGGGAAAACACTGATGGGTTTTGACAAGGGTAATAAAATGATCAAAGTTGTATTTTATAAGGTGACAGTTAAAAGAGACTAAAGGCAAGATTATTCATGAAATAACTACAAACATCCAGAGGTACTGACAATTGGAATGGAGAGAATAGGTCAGAGTTCTGATACCGTAAAAGAAAACAGTCAACAGGATTTGGCAACTAACAGCATACAGAGGATAAGAAAGAAGAAAGACTTAATTAAGAATAACAAAATTACAAAATTTGTTTTCAGAGCACTCTTACCTGGAATTCTTGTCTCCTTCCTGTCAACCTACTTCCTACCCCACACTGATAGCAGCAGGAGGCAGACAAATGCCTAGGCAGATAGGGGCAGGTCCACAGTGAAACCTCAATTTCAAACCAAAGGCAGTTTAAAGCCTAAAAGTCAAGCTATGAGTCTCAGATACATCTACAGGCCAGATTGAGAACCTCTCTTCCTGTCTGGTGCTCTTTCCTCTGATTGATCCTCACCCTTCACCTATTTTACATATATACACCCTTCCCTAATTGGCTTTTTTACACTGTCATGCCTACTTTTGAGTGGTGCCTTTGTTTTAGCCTTTTTTGCATACTCACAAACCAATCGGCATACACTCCCCCATTCTGAGCCCATAAAAGCCCCAGACTCAGCCGTATTTTGGAACTGCCCATCTCCGGGTGTGGGGGACTACCCACCTTCAGGTGGGGGACCACTCACTTTGAGTCCCCTCTCCACTGAGAACTGTTCTGTTGTTCAATAAAACTCTTCTCTGCCCTTCTCACCCTTCGGTTGTCAGTGTAACCTCATTCTTCTTGGACACAGGACAAGAACTCAGGAACCACCGAACACAGGTAGGAAAAAGGCTGTAACACTGTGGCCTTCTGCCGGCACCGGGCAGCGCCCCCATGCAGTGAGATGCAGCGGCAGGGCCAGGCCAGCCCTCGAGGCACTGCTGGGAGCAGGGCAGTGGGACTGAATGAGCTGTAGCACAGGCAGGCTGGGGAACACCTGGCCCAGACACAGGCTGAGTGTGGATCCTGTGACAAGCACAGGATCTGGGCCAGAGTGCAAGCCAGGCATGGTCCAATGGACCTAGTGGGTAGGCGCCTCCTGCAGTGAGCCTGGGCACAAGCAGGGACCAGATGGGGGTGTCACTGCCCACAGAGGTCCCCAGCTGGCAAAGCAGCACCAAAAAAATACTGTGTCAACATTAAAGCTAAAATATCTAACATTTGTGGAACACTTACTACGTGTAAGGCACTGGACAACTATTATGCATATACTATCTTATTTAATCCTTAACCTTAGAGGTAAGTACTGTTGCTATGCCCATTTTACTGATGAGGAAACCAAGGCTTAGAATGGTTAATCAAATTACCCAAGGTCACAGAGTAAGTGGCTAGATGTTAATCAACGTCAGATAATCATTAAAAGTGTTACTCATATTAAATTTAAAATGTAATCTCTCATATGGGTATACATATTTTTTAAATAAACTCAAAGATAAAATGATCTTCAAAAGCCAATGAGGGCTGGGCAGTGGTGGCTCATGCCTGTAATCCTAGAACTTTGGGAGGCCAAGGCAGGTGGATCACCTGAGGTGAGGAGTTCGAAACCAGCCTGGCCAACGTGGTGAAACCCTGTCTCTACTAAAAACGCACAAAAAATTAGCCAGGTGTGGTGGCAGGCACCTGTAATCCCAGCTACTCAGGAGGCTGAGGCAAGAGAATTGCTTATACGTGGGAGGCGGACGTTGCAGTGAGCTGAGATTGTGCCACTGCACTCCAGCCTGGGAAACAAAGACTCTGTCAAGAAAAAAAAAAAAATGCCAGTGGGGCTTGGCACACTGGCTCACCCCTGTGATCCAGCACATTGGGAGGCCAAGGCGGGTGGATCACTTGAGGTCAGGAGTTCGAGACTAGCCAACGCGGTGAAACCTACTAAAAATACAAAATTAGCTGGGTGTGGTGCCACGTGCCTGTAATCCCAGCTACTCAAGAGGCTGAGGCAGGAGAATTGCTCAGACCCAGGAGATGGAGGTTGTGGTGAGCCAAGATGGTGCCACTGCACTCCAGCCTGGGCGACAAAACAAAACTCCATCTAAAAAAAAAAAAAAAAAAAAAAAGCGAATGGAATGAGGGCATATGAAGGAATGGCAAGTGACATGGTAGATATATTGGTAGATAATCATAAATTCAACAGCTAAGAAAGAGAGACGCTTTCCCTCTTGTACTCATACTACTCATACTCCAAATCACTGTCACGCTGCCAAAAGACCAGCATTCACAACTATTATTCTTTAAGACACAATGGGTCTCACCCTATCACATATTGATTTGTGGCAGGCTTATAAAGTCCTTAAAGATACTATGTACTAATATCCATAACCCCTAAAAAATAGTAGACATTGAATAACTGAGTAAACAACTGAACTCAGTTGGGCTGCTTCTGTCTAGTTCTCTCCAACATAGTGTGAACACCCTCACATAGTTCAAGGCCTACATTTTGAACAATTTCTCCATATCCTTGACTTGAACTTGATCTTGAAACCTCCGCTCCTGATCTCGTCTCCTTTCTAGTTTTGAACTTAATAATGTCCTGTGCATTATCCTTGACTCTCAACTTGTTAAGGTCATGGACAAATATAGCTGGCCTGATTTATATTACAAGTGTTTCTCCTAGTTTCCAGGAAATTTCCAAGAGTTCCCTAACCCACAGACTCCCTCCTCAGTTATCAAGGAAAGGATTTAATTTCCATGGGCTCTAACAGAACGTATGTTAGATCATGAAAGGGTTCTCCTTTGACTGACAATGTAAATCTAGTAGGCTATGCAGAGGATGTGAGAGATGTGGACAAGTTCCCAATGTTCTCAGCTTTAGTTCGTATATACTTTCCCAAAGAAAGAATATAATAAATACTAGTGAGGCTCCCAGACAGCCCTGAAAAACAAACAACCAAAAACAAAACAAAACAAAATACAAAACCCTATATTTAAAGAAAATGGTGCAGTTAAATATTACACAATAGGAATCACATTTTATTTTATTTTATATTTTCAGTATAAATCTACCATTTTATATTATATTAAGGACTAGGTAACTGCTTATGGCTATTTCAAGCATTCAAACTAAGAAGATGAATTATCATTACTATCTTCCAAGTATTACACAGAGCAATAAATTGCTGGATATTAATCAAACAATAGTAAGTAGTAAGTGAACAAACATTATATTTAAATGCACCATATACATCTACTTTTTTAACTACAGACTAAGCTAAAGCAAAATAATTTCAGATTCCAGTTATGCTTTTAAAAGAGAAAAAAACTTCTGAATAACTTCTTAAACTTTGCAAAACTTCACACTACCCATTACTATTTAAGAAAATACAGTTTAGAAGCGTACTGTACATAGTTCAATCTTACATAAACTCTTGCCACCCCCTTAATTTAGGCTGTAAAGAATATTTTGATAGCATTTTGTTAAAAAAAAGTGGAACTAAAATAATCTGGCAGGTCTTACTTACTGAAAGTACCAAATCGGAATTCTTCACATGAAACAGAAATTTTCTTTTCAGATACATGCATCAAGATTTCTGGACATACCCTATTTAAAACAAATTTGATTTATGCAAATACAGGTTTACACAAAGAAACAAATTACAGGTTGATAATTCACTTTTCAAAAGGATTCACAAAAGAACTCTTTTAATTAGTAAGTTTGCCAATATACCTAAAAGTTATGTTTCAAAAAAAATCAGTTTATAAAGAATTCTTCAGAAATACACTCAAGGGTATTAAATTAGTTATAGTTAGTTATAAGAGTATCAAGCTTCAGAAACTCCTATTAGTCTTTGTCCTAACAGCTCGACAAATATTGCAGGTGAAACATTAACTGAAAATGGCATAGAAATGCATATTTAAGATAGTCTCTGACAAATACATTTATATCTATCCTAATCATCATGAACCTACCAAATTCTTCTTTAAAAATATATACAGGGACTAGCCCGGGCATGGTGGCTCACACCTGTAATCCCAGCACTTTGGGAGGCCGAGGCGGGCGGATCACGAGGTCAGGAGATCGAGACCATCCTGGCTAACACGGTGAAACCCCGTCTCTACTAAAAATACAAAAAATTAGCCAGGCGTGGTGGCGGGCGCCTGTAGTCCCAGCTACTCAGGAGGCTGAGGCAGAAGAATGGTGTGAACCTGGGAGGCGGAGCTTGCAGTGAGCCGAGATTGAGCCACTGCACTCCAGCCTGGGCGACAGAGTGAGACTCTGTCTCCCAAAAAAAAAAAAAAAAAAAAATATATATATATATACACACACACACACACACACACACACACACACGCACGCACATACATCTCACACACACACACACACAGACACACACACACACACACACATATGGGGACTAGCAAATAATGCAGTCAATAATGACTAAAGGTGACCCCAAGAAACCAATGGGCTAAGATCTACTTTCCCTTCTTTGTATAGGCCAGAAGTACAAAAAGAAAAATCCAGAGATCCCCATTAGTGTTGCAGGTTTTTAAGAAGTCCTCTTGCAGGTCAGAGACAACGTCTAAGAAAGGAATCTAAATTTGATGATCTGGAAATGAAGCATTTTGGAGCAGCTAAGAGAGGCAGGAAGAAGGATCCTAATGTCCACAAACTATCACTGCCAGCTAGCTTCTTGTTCTGTTTAGAGTTGTATCCTAAGAACAAATCCACAAACACTGGCATCTTAACTGAAGACCAAAATGTTAGGTATGATGTAGAGTACCCTTACTGATAACAAAAAGCAGCCTTACAATAATAAGGGGGTAAAGCTCAATGAGAAATATGACAAGGATGTAGCCACTTCAGGAAAATTTGACAGTGCAAAGGAGAAAGCTAAAGTTCCTTGGGGGGAAAAAAAAAAAAGAGGAGTAGGATGAACAGGATGACAGACAGGAGAAAGAGAGGGTTAAAGGAAGGGGGTATGAAGAAGAAATAAAACTGAGCATCTCTTTCCATGTAAAATCCAGAGTAGGGAAAACATCATAATACACCTCTCTGAGAATGTCTCTGCCCTTACTAGATTTAATTACAAAATTAGAATATGATCACATGTCAGTTTCTCTAAAAGTGTTCTGAAAATCTTAAGTATGTGCATTAAACAGTCAGGGGTGTTATGAGCACCCAGAAACTGTATCAAACTTGCAAAAATGTCCAAACATTTTAAAGTAAGAACATCTTCTCAGCTGGGTGAGGTGGCTCACACCTGTAACCCCAGCACTTTGGGAGGCCAAGGCAGACGGGTCATCTGAGGTCAGGAGTTCAAGACCAGCCTGGCCAACATACTGAAACCTCATATCTACTAAAAATACAAAAATTAGCCAGGCATGTTGGCAGGCACTTGTAATACCAGCTACTTGGGGGGCTGAGGCAGGAGAATCACATGAACCTGGGAGGTGGAGGTTGCAGTGAGCCAAGATCATGCCACTGCACTCCAGCCTGGGAGACACAGCAAGACTCCGTCTCAAAAACGAAAGTTCTTTTCACTCTGTGCATCTTTCTCTTAGTCTTATAAAAGCATTTAATGATAGTCACAGCATTTTTCTTTTAAAGTGGTGTTCATTCTGGTTATTCACCAGTAATCCAGAGTTATCAGTTATATATATCTATAGCTTATAAAATAAATAAATCACAAACTCTTGAGGCCCATGATTGGAAGTGTGAGGCAATAAACATGTTACTTTTGGGAGGGGCCACATTCAAGGCATGTGGTGTGAAGCCAGATTCACTGAGGCTGCAGGTGGCAGCCATCTCACCCAGGTAGCTGCTGTAGCTGTTTTTGCAGTAACGTGTTTGCTGTATCATCTGCTGCCATTCTGAGCTTTGGAAAGGGGGGAGGGAGTCAGCTGCATGAAAAGTGTATGGATTGGTTTTTAAGTGGGATAGTTCTTAAACAAACTATAGACCTCTTCGTCAGTAAAGAGTTATTGCACCAAAGTCCAGAAACTGTTCCTACTTAACCTATGACATGTACAATAATATTCCAGTTTTGGCCTTGGGTTTTTGTTTGTGTGTTTATAACAATGAAATGTCTTTTAAAGGAAAATAAACCATACTATAATTTTTAAATCTATTCGAATAAAGCACAAATATTTTAGTGTTTTAGAGCTCTGAAAGCAAAGTGCAATTTACTTTAGAAATGCTTTGAGTTACACTGATTTAGGAGTAAAGAAGAACACAAACTTGTAAATGAGGCAAATACCATTCTCCCTCCTCTAGGGTTAAGCTAATTAAATTTACACACAAAGAGAAGAATCTGAAATTTTTCAGGCCTAGGAAAAATAAGTAAGAAGTAGTTTAATCCATTAACACGTGTAATAGTAACAATAATACCTCAACAGAAAGAAGGTGGTAAACCTAAAAATAAAGGATTGAGGGCAAACTTACAATATGCATTCAGTACTGTTCAGGAAAAAAGGGCAACGAAGCTGTAGGACCCACAAAAATAATCACTAAAGGGATGTTTTCTACTGCAGACACAGTGAGGTCTGATGAAAAAAGCTCTCACGCCTACCCACTCCCTGTCATTTTAATTCCATGTTTACCAGGCAACCTTCTAAACACTAATTCAGTTTCCCAGAAAGCTTAATAGAGGTCCACAATCCCCTGAAGTCAAAGAAGTTCTTAAAAACAAAAGCTCTTTCAGAACTTATCTGGCAGCAAATCCTGACATAAATGTACATAAAGTCTTTATTTACTCCACTTACTGTGAATATTCAAATTTTTTCTGCAGACATACTAATGTATTTGATTACAGTACCACCCTAGATCCCACTCGGTGTTTCTTAAAATTCACTAAATATTACTTCTTCACTTTCTAAAATCTAAAAAAAATACATGATTCTGAGACATATCTGAAAAGGTTTCCCCTGGAAGTAAATATAAATATTCTAACTCCTGGAAATGAGAGCCCTCTTCACAAGCCCCCACTCCCCTAGCAGCAGAAAAAATAAATCAGTATTCTTATTTATATTTCAATGTTATACAAATTTAAGTAATGTGAGTCTGCTGCCAAAAATCTGATCATTTCTGGTTATGTTGGTAAAGTCCAACTCCAGACTATAAGATCAATTACCAGACCCTATATGATCACAATCAAGGTGGCACATAGCTACCTAGAATATCTTTCTGAAGCCTACTGGTTTCTAAGCCAAGGGGAGCCTATTTACCTGTCTTCCACCCTCCCTGATTGATGTGTCAGAAGAAGACAAACCAACAGTTAACCTATATCCCCTCCCAATCCTACCTCACTGACAGCCTTCATTCACCTTCTATAAAACATAGGGGAAAAAGGTAAAAAATTAAAATGGAATACAGTTACTACATGGTAACTTAATTTTTATCAAATTTAGTGGAAAATCATTGAATATTTAAGTATGATCTGTAAGAAATTAAACATAAGATTATTCACATTGCTTAACAAGACATAATACTAGACCAGATAGATGACACTGATGATAGGTACCAAATAGATAACCATGATGATTTTCTGATCTCAGTTTAGAGCCCTATAGACTCCAAATATTTTTTCTAACGGTTACGTAAAAAAGAAATACTTAGATACATTTTGAATCTACACGTTTAGATTTTCATTTATTTCATTTACAAAACTCAACAAGAAATCATACAAAATATATAGATGACATTAACATTTATTAAACATGAAAAAGTCTGAGTTGAACCTACAAAATTTTAAAGGCAAAATTAGGAAATGTATATATAAGGCGCTAGTAGCTGACTCACTGAGCATGTCTGCCTCAAGTCCTTTGTGAAAAAGACTGGTAAAAATATTAACTACATCCAGTGCATTTTAAAAATTGTCCTTAATAACTTTCTTATAATTACTAAAGTAACACCTGATTTTTACAGATAATCAAGAAAATCTGAGGTACACAGAAGAAAATTACAATCAATCTTATCATCCAAAGATAAAGTTTATATGTAATTATGTTACAGTTTTTCCATGTTATTAGTTCTTCTGAAACACCATTTCTAATAACTGCATACTAACCCATCCATCATGTGGCTATAATTTCATTATTCTATCATTGGATATCTACAGTAATTTAAAATTCTCACTTTACTATAGATATGCAACACAGCAATTAACATCTTTGTACGTAAATCACAGAATGACCTATTAGAGTCTCTTTTGCCCATTTCTTTTAGTAAAGCTTTAAGTTTTTTCCTATTGAGCTAAATAAGTTCTTTTCATATTAATGTGACCAATCACATATTAATCCCAAACATTCTATTTGTCTTTATAATTTAACCAAGCCATTTGATTCAATAGTTTAACTCACCTCATAATATAATCACATCTTAAGAGGTAAAAAGGAACTTTTGGTCCATCCCTAATTCAGGGGTAAAATATATTTTCCCTCTTGAGACAACTAAGGCCCAAAGAAACCTTTCAAAAAATCACACACAAAACAAATATGTGCCTGATTATTTAAAAAGTTTAACAGTTACAGCCCAGCAATTTCCATTCTCATCTCATTACTGAAAACAATCTTTCAAATAGAAATATCAGGCAATTAGCACTTCAGGCTAATAAACATAAAAACAAATTATTACTTAAATAATATTTAGACACTGATTTACAAGATATTGTGCTAGAAGTGTAGAAGATAAAAAGATGATTAAGAAGATATCTTTTCCCTCAGGAAAAATATAAAAACTGAAGAATCAAATAGACAAATTGTAACAAGCAAACAAGCAAGATTCAAAGGAAAAAATCTGTAATCATCTTACAGCACAAAAGTTTAATAGTTTTTTGGAAACACTAATTTTAAATCTTGACTAGACCTTCATAAACTAAGAACACAACATTTTTGTCCTATCTAGCTATATGATACTGATAGCAGCAGGAGACAGACAAATTCCTAGGCAGACAAGGGCAGGTCCAATGAAACTGACTTTCAAGCCAAAAACAGCCTGGAGCCTGAAAACCGAGCTGCCAGTTCCTGGCAAAGTCCATGACCAGATAGAGAACTTCCTCCCTGCCTTTTCAGCCAATCAAATGGTGTTTTTTCCAGGCCTGCCCATGGACCAATCAGCATACACTCCTCCATTCTGAGCCCATAAAAACCCCTGGACTCAGACACAGGTGGAGACTATCCCCCTTCAGGTAGGGAATACTATCCACTTCAGGTCCCCTCTTGTGTGGAGACTGGAATAAAACTCTTCTCCACCTTACTCACTATGTGGTTGTCCCCATAACCCTATTCTTCCTGGATGCGGGACAAGAACCTGGGACCTGCCAAATGGTCGTAGCCCTCCCACCCTCTGCCATCACAGGGCTGCGGCCACACGTGACAGGAAGCATTGGAGGGGTGGGGCCAGCCCAAGAGCCACAGGCCAGAGCAGGGCAGTGGGAATGAACAAGCTGTAACATGAACAAGCTGATCAGCTCACCCAGCTGCAGGCAGTGACACACTCCCACCAGCTGGACTACAAAAGAAGAGCTAGGACCCTTCTGGGGGACCAGACCCCAGGACTTCCCGAGCCAGAGCTGTAACATGCCCCAGTTTGGTAGGCTGCAGACAGCAGAAATAAGCTGTCTTGTTTACTCATTGTCGGTGTTTTTGTGATGGTTTATTGAATGGTGATTTGTCACACATATATGTTTTCTACATCAAGGTTTTTTTTTTTTTTTTTAGACTGGGTATCACTCCGTCACCGAGGCTGGAGTGCAGTGGCACTGTGTGGGCTCACTGCAACCACCTTCTCCAGGATTCAAGCAATTCTCCTGCCTTAGCCTCCTGAGTAGCTGGGATTACAGGCATCCACCACCACATCCGGATAGTTTTTATATTTTTAATAGAGACGAGATTTCACATGCTGTAATGCCCCCTTTGGGGCTCCACAGTTCCTCGCATCTCCAAGTTTTCGGGCTCCACTGCCTTCTCCTCATCCTGATGCTGGCACCCAAGGTGGAAGCTGCTGTGGTATGCCTGGTCCAGCCACAGCCTCGCACGAAGCCAGTGCCTGAAGCTGCCCATCCCACCGCAGACCCACCACAGCAGCCAGCACACCTGGCTGTGCACCATGGCTGGATCCCACACTCGCTTGCTCACATATCCTTTGCTGCTCTGTGCCTGGCTCGCCCTCAGCAGACATGGGATCCAGGCTGGTAGCATAAGCTGAGCGCAGCCTGCCAGCCTGGGTGGGCAGAGCATAGAGAC
This sequence comes from Homo sapiens, assembly GCF_000001405.40. Classification (NCBI taxonomy): domain Eukaryota; kingdom Metazoa; phylum Chordata; class Mammalia; order Primates; family Hominidae; genus Homo; species Homo sapiens. The sequence continues at coordinate 97,129,743 of NC_000007.14, read as the reverse complement.
TAGTGGCCAGCTCAGAACTAAGTGAGGCCTGGGCAGGGGTGCTGCCGGCCAGAGATTTCTGGCTGGCAAAGCGGCACTGAAAAAATCCTGCATCAGTATCAAACAAGTCATTTTACTTCTATAGGCCTTAGTTTCTTCATCTTTAACATGAAAGGATTTCCAAGTAAAGATGGCAGACTGGGGATATCACGAGAGCTTATTTTTTATCTCCTCTCCCTTCCAAAGCCAGACTAAACTAGCAGTAAAGCAATTTTTAAAAGGAATAATCCATAATGACTAGAGAACAAGAATGGAGCCATTAGCAGCCAAGCAATTTCAACAGATTTTCTGAAGATGGAAAGCAGAACAGTGTAAATAATGAACCAAAGCAGACACAGGAGGCCACAGTTCCGAATACAAACAGAGAATACACTTAAAGAGACAGCCAAACTGCCAAAACCAAGTGAACTCAAACACCAGGTAGGTAGGAAATCAGGAGCAGGAAGCAAATACAGGCAAGATTAACCTAAAAGTAATTTCCCAATCAACAAGCCTATCTATATGTATAGTTCTTGGTTAGTTTCTTATTGTTTTATTCATAAATATGGACAGATAACCAAAATTCTCAAGACATTTGGAACATGAAAGAGACCAAAATAAAACAAAAAATGTCCCCTTTGAAGAGATAAACAGGAAAGAGTACACTGCTTTTTATTATAAGCCCTTCTACACTAATTAATTATTCTAAGCCATATGTATCTACTACTTCAATTTAAGAAAAAAGTTAATCTCTGCTACTAAGGAGGCTGAGGCAGGAGGATCACTTGAGCCTAGGAGTTCGAGAGCAGACTGGGCAACAGAGCAAGATCCTATCTCAAAGGAAAAAAAAAGTGCACCAACTGAAAAACAGGGGCTTAACAAAACAATCAGAAGCTCTCTTTCAGTTAATTCTACTCCCTATGTAAAACTTCAGTTGTATACAGTGTTCTTATTAAGCAACCATAAACTACATTTATTTAATAAAATAGTAATAAGGAAAATTAATATTATCCACATATTCTTTCCCATATTTTTCATGAATTTTAATTTCTTTTTATTTTCCTTTCATGCATATATAATTTTTATCACCTTAAATTTGTACAAAAACTTCAAATTTTAAGATTGCACATTACCTATACACATACCTCTACACACACAATGTTTCAGAACTATGACCACTAGCATATTAACATTATCATGCTATTACCATTATTTTAAATCTGAAAATTTTGAATCATTTAAATAAAAGAAACATACACCTGTCTTCCAGTAACATACCATAAAGTCAATAATATATGCAATATTGATCAAACTATAATTTTTACTTTGTTACTTTATCATGAGCATTGTTATAACACATTTTATAACACCAATAAAAATTAAATATTCCTAAGTAGTAATATCTTAAAAGCTTCACTAATAATGCAAGTGTTTCAGACATGAAAAAGTAGAAAACATTCTATGTTGCAAGGATAAACTGTTTTGTATCTTCTCTTGTACCCCTTTTTAAACCATTAGTTAAGGACCACAGTATGGTTAAAATGTTTTAAAAGTTAAAACTTGACTTTGGGAGGCCGAGGCAAGTGGATCACTTGGTGTCAGGAGTTTGAGACCAGCCTGGCCAACATGGTGAAACCCCATCTCTACTAAAAATATAAAAACTAGCCAGATGTGGTGGACGCCTGTAATCCCAGCTACTTGGGAGGCTGAGGCAGGAGAACTGCTTGAACCCAGGAGAAGGAGGTTGCAGTGAGCCGACGCAGTGCCACTGCACTCCAGCCTCAGCGACAGAGGGAGACTCAGTCAAAAAAAAAAAAAAAAAAAAAAACTTGATGTAGAAAACATATATGTGTGACAAATCACCATTCAATAAACCATCACAAAAACACCGACAATGAGTAAAATGCAGAATTAACAATTTGACTGAGACCCAACTGACCCACTCATACTTGGGAAATGTATCCCTGACACATACAATCCATTCACTAAACAGAGAAGCAATTCATTCCTTTTCTCCTGCAAGCTAAAACTATAAATCAAGATGTTCAAGAGTAACAAAATGAGGTCCACAAATTAGGTAAGAGAAGCATACATTTATAAAAACTAGCCAAATACCCATCCAATCCTAATTATACTAAGGAAACTCTAAATATAGGTGACATGCCACTTAATAATACATGTGTATATATGATACATACATACAAATGATGATCCACTTCAAAATCATATATAAGAAAAAGACATCCCATGAGAGTTACAAAGGAATGGCTACCTGAAGTCTGAAGCATTTCCTCCTCTCGAACAAATGCAACAAAATAAAATGGGAAAGAAAATGTTATAATAACTAAATTATCACACAAGTATAAAGAATTGAACATAATCAAGAAGAGCAGTTACAGTCAGTCCGTGATACCGGGATCATTGCCTTTACTTGAAGAGAAGAAAAAGAAAATGGATTCTCTTGGATCTGGCAAGATAGCCAAATAGGAACAGCTCTGGTTGGCAGCTCCAAGCAAGACCAATACATAAGGCAGGTGATTTCTCCATTTCCAACTAAGGTACCCTGTTCATCTCACTGGGACTGGTTAGGCAGTGGGTGCAGCCCATGGAGGGCGAGCAGAAGCAGCATGGGGTGTTGCCTCACCCAGGAAGCGCAAGGAGTTGCGGGGAGGTGAGGGGCTCCCTTTCCCAGCCAAGGGAAGCCATGAGGGACTGTGCTATCCGGCCCAGATACTATGCTTTTCCCATGATTTTTGTAATCCGAAGACCAGGAGATTCCCTCGTGTGTCTACACCACCAAGGCCCTGGGTTTCAAGCTCAAAGCTGGGCAGCTATTCGGGCAGACACCGAGCTAGCTGCAGGGTTTTTTTTTTTTTTTTTCGGTACTCCAGTGGTGCCTGGAACCCAGGCAAGACAGAACCGTTCACTTGCCTGGAAAGGGAGCTGAAGCCAGGGAACCAAGTGGTCTCGCTCAGCAGGTCCCACTCCCATGAAGGCCAGCAAGCTAAGAACCACTGGCTTGAATTTCTCGCTGCCAGCACAAGTCTGAAGTCGACCAGGGATGACACAGCTTGGTGGGGGGAGGGGCATCTGCCATTACTGAGGCTTGAGTAGGCTGTTTTCCTCTGACAGTACTAAGGACTGGGAGGAACTCAACGTAACGCAGCAAAGCAGCTGTGGCCAGACTGCCTCTCTAGATTCCTCCTCACTGGGCAGGGCATCTCTGAAACAAAGGCAGCAGCCCCAATCAGGGGCTTACAGATAAAACTCCCATCTCCCTGGGCCACAGCACCTGGGGGAAGGGGCAGCTGTGGGCACAACTTCAGCAGACTTAAATGTTCCTGCCTGACGGCTCTGAAGAGAGCAGCGGATGCTGACAAGGAGGGCTTTCGCAGGACGGTGCTTGAGCTCCACTAAGGGACAGACTGCTTCCTCAACTGGGTCTTTGACCCCCATGCCTCCTGACTGGAAGAGACCTCCCAACAGGGGTTGACAGACACCTCATACAGGAGAGCTCTGGCTGGCATCAGGCTGGTGCCCCTCTGGGACGAAGCTTCCAGAGGAAAGAGCAGGCAGCAATCTTTGCTGTTCTGCAGCCTCTGCTGGTAATACCCAGGCAAATAGGGTCTGGAGTAGACCTCCAGCAAACTGCAGCAGATCTGCAGAAGAGGGGCCTATTAGAAGAAAAACAAACAGAAAGCAGCAACATGAACAGCAACAAAAAAGACCCTCACACAAAACCCCATCCAAAGTAAATCCATGAAGATGAGGAAACACCAGCACAAAAATGCTGCAAATTCCAAAAACCAGAATGCTTCTTCTCCTCCAAATGATTGCAACTCCTCTCCAGCAAGGACACAAAACTGGATGGAGAATGAGTTTGATGAATTGACAGAAGTAGGCTTCAGAAGGTAGGTAATAACAAACTCCTCTGAGCTACGGAGGCATGTTCTAACCCAATGCAAGGAAGCTAAGAACTCTGACAAAAGGTTACAGGAACTGCTAACACAATAACCAGTTTAGAGAAGAACATAAATGACCTGATGGAGATGAAAAACACAGCATGAAAACTTCATGAAGCATACACAAGTATCAAGAGCCAAATCAACAAAGAGGAAGAAAGGATATCAGAGATTGAAGATCAACTTACTGAAATAAGGCATGGAGACAATATTAGAGAAAAAAGAATGAAAAGGAATGAACAAAGACTCCAAGAAATATGGGACTATGTGAAAAGACCAAGCCTACGATTGATTGAGGTTCCTGAAAGTGGTTTCTTTGAAACCAATGAGAACAAAGAGACAATGTACCAGAATCTCTGGGACACAGCTAAAGCAGTGTTTAGAGGGAAATTTATAGCACTAAATGCCCACATCAGAAAGTGAGAAACGCCTAAAATTGACACCCTACGGTCACAATTAAAAGAACTAGGCAAACAAGAGCAAACAAATTCAAAAACTAGCAGAAGACAAGAAATAACTAAGATCAGACCAGAACTGAAGGAGAGACATGAAAAACCCTTCAAAAAAATCCATGAATCGGAGCCGTTTTTTTGAAAAGATTAACAAAATAGACCGCTGGCCAGACTAATAAAGAAGAAAAGAGAGAAGAATCAAATAGACACAATAAAAATGATAAAGCATTCCCTTTGAAAACCAGCACTAGACAATGATGACCTCTCTCACCACTCCTATTCAACGTAGTATTGGAAGTTCTGGCCAGAGCAATCAGGCAAGAGAAAAAAATAAAACGTATTCAAATAAGAAGAGAGGAAGTCAAACTGTTTGCAGATGACCTGATTGTGTATTTAGAAAACCCCATCGTCTCAGCCCAAAAACTCCTTAAGCTGATAAACAACTTCAGCAAAATCTCAGGATATGAAATCAATGTGCAAAAATCACATGCATTCCTATACACCAATAATAGACAAACAGAGAGCCAAATCATGAGTGAACTCCCATTCACAATTGCTACAAAGAAAATAAAATACCTAGAAATACAACTTACAAGAGACACAAAGGACCTCTTCAAGGAGAACTACAAACCACTGCTCAAAGAAGTAAGAGAGGACACAAACAAATGGAAAAACCTTCCATGCTAATGGATGGGAAGAATTAATATTGCTAAAATGGCCATACTGCTCAAAGTAATTTATACATTCAATGCTATTCCTATCAAGCTACCATTGACTTTCTTCACAGAACTAGAAAAAAAATTACTTTAAATTTCATGTGGAACCAAAAAGGAGCCCGCATAGCCAAGACAATCCTAAGCAAAAAGAACAAGGCTCAAGGCATCACGCTACCTGACTTCAAACTATTACTACAAGGTTACAGTTACCACAAGAGCATGATACTGGCACCAAAACAGACATATAGATGAATAGAACAAAACAGAGGCCTCAGAAATAACACCACACATCTGCAACCATCTCATCTTTGACAAACCTGACAAAAACAAGCAATGGGGAAAGGATTCCCTATTTAATAAATGGTGCTGGGAAAACTGGCTAGCCATATGCAAAAAACAGAAACTGGACCCCTTCCTTACACTTTACAACCAACTCAAGATGGATTAAAGACTTAATCGTAAAACCTAAAACCATAAAAACCCTAGAAGAAAACCTAGACAATACCATTCAGGACATAGGCATGGGCAAAGACTTCATGACTAAAACACCAACAGCAATGGCAACGAAAGCCAAAATTGACAAATGAGATCTAATTAAATTAAAGAGCTTCTGCTCAGCAAAAGAAACTACCATCAGAGTGAACAGGCAACCTACAGAACGGGAGAAAATTTTTGCAATCTATCCATCTGACAAAGGGCTACTATCCAGAATCTACAAGGAACTTAAACAAATTTACAAGAAAAAAAAAAAACCCATCCAAAAGTGGGCGAAGGATATGAACACACCCTTCTCAAAAAAAAAAAAAAGACATTTATGCAGTAAACAAACATAAGAAAAGCTCATCATCACTGGTCATTAGAGAAATGTAAATCAAAACCACAATGAGATACCATCTCACGCCAGTTAGAATGGCAATCATTAAAACATCAGGAAACTACAGATGCTGGAGAGGATGTGGAGAAATAGGAACACTTTTACACTGTTGGTGGGAGTGTAAATTACTTCAACCATTGTGGAAGACAGTGTGGCAATTCCTCAAGGATCTGGAACCAGAAATACCATTTGACCCAGCAATCCCACTACTGGGTATATACCCAAAGGATTATAAATCATTCTACTATAAACACACATGCACATGTATGTTTACTGCAGCACTATTTACAATAGCAAAGACTTGGAACCAACCCAAATATCCATCAACGATAGGCTGGATACCGAAAATGTGGAACATATACATCATGGAATACTATGCAGCCATAAAAAAGAATGAGTTTATGTCCTTTGCTGGGACATGGATGAAGCTGGAAACCATCATCCTCAGCAAACTAATACAGGAACAGAAAACCAAAAACCTCATGTTCTCACTCCTAAGTGGGAATTGAACAATGAGAACACATGGACACAGGGAGGGGAACATCACATACCTGGGCCTTTCAGGGGGTGGGGGGAAAGAGGAGGTAGAGCATTAGGACAAATACCAAATGCATGCAGGGCTTAAAACCTACATGATGGGTTGATAGGTATAGCAAACCACCATGGTACATGTATACCTATGTAACAAACCTGCATGTTCAGCACATGTATCCCAGAACTTAAAATAAAATTTTAAAAAGTAAAAAAGTACTTCCATTGCAGCAGTAGCTAGGAACAACTACATACAGATGGAAAAAAAAAAAAGAAAAGAAAAATTCCAGCACTATACAACTACTTTCATTCTCTTAACTCCTAAATGTTAATGTTCTATCTTTGACCAACTTATACCCAAAAGGGGCACTTCCACCCACATCTTTAGTCTACCAACTACAGGTAATAACTTCCAAATCTCTGTCTCCAGCCACAATCTGTCTCCTGAGTATCAGACCAACACATATCTCTCTGAACATCTTCACTTAACTGTCCATGAGAATTTTTAGCACAAAGCACACCAAACTGAACTCATTCCCAATCTGTTCCTCCTATATGACTATTCTGGTTACTGGTATCATGCTCCAAACCTGAGAGTTATCCATTCTGTTTTCTTCTCCTTCACTAATACTGTATTAGTCAACAAGTCAAGTTCCACTCTACTTTAAAAGAAAAAAAAAAAAAACCTCATAAATCTATATCCTCCATTTTCAAGGCCTCTGTCTTGGTTTAGGTATATACCTATTTGAGACTGGGATTACTACATCCATCTACTAACAGTTCTCCCTACTTTCAATCAGGCTTTTACTTCAATTATTCCTCTATATTGCTGCTAACATGATCTTTCTAGAATGTAATTTAAGTCATTTCCACCATTTACAAAGCCTTCAATGATTCAAAATAAAAACTTAAAACCCTTAGCAGAATATCCTGTCTCCTGCCACCTCTTTAGCTTTATTTCTTCCTCATCTTCTGCGTAAAACACTAAATTCCAAACACAACACTGCAGTTCCTGGAAAAAAGTCATACTGTTTCGGCCGGGCGCGGTGGCTCACGCCTGTAATCCCAGCATTTGGGAGGCCCAGGTGGGCGGATCATAAGGTCGGGAGATCAATACCATCCTGGCTAACACAGTGAAACCCCATCTCTACTAAAAATACAAAAAATTAGCTGGGCGCAGTGGTGGGCGCCTGTAGTCCCAGCTACTCAGGAGGCTGAGGCAGGAGAATGGCATGAACCTGGGAGGCGGAGTTTGCAGTAAGCTGAGATCACGCCACTGCACTCCAGCCTGGGCGATAGAGCGAAGACTCCATCTCAAAAACAAAAAAAAAAAAAACAAAAAAAAAAAACCAAAAAACCTCATACTGTTTCTTACCTCGATGCCTCTGCATATGTTATTCCCTCTTTCTAGAAGGTTCTCTTTTTGATATGGTAAATTTGACCTACTCAAGACTTAACCATCTTGTGTAGCTTTCAACTTCCTCCATTACTCCTTGATCCCACAGCATTTAATAGACACTCTTTCATACTATATTACAATTGTCTATCCTTTTCTACTAAACTTTGAACACTGTGAAAGTAAAATACATTTATTATTCATTTTTGTGTCTTAAATGCCTAGCACATTGTCTGGAAATAGTAAGTGATCAAAACTATCTGAAAAATGTTTCTGCCTTTTTCTAGAAACAAAACAGTTAAAAAATATTCCACAACAGACACAGAACAGGTACTTAAGAAAAACAACAGGAACTAGGCAAGAGACAACTCAGAAAAATACATGGGACAGAAAAAGAAAAATAAATGAAGTCTCTTCAGGTAGCTCCTGAGAGCACACTCTTCTGTGCTCTTTGTCTCATATTCTCTCACCAACATGTTTTATCTATTTAATCTTCAATGCTTATTCTGATTTCCTAGAAAATAAGTGGTAGGCACAGAGAGAAAAATAGAAAGCCTTAAACAACTATTCCTCAAAAATGAGCACAGTCAGAACTTTTAAAATGCCGTAGTAAGACCCCCGATCTATGGAGTCTCAATTTCACTTCTAATAGTTACCTCCTAAGAGTTGAGATTACAATGCACATTTTACAAACCAGTTATCGTACATTCTCCCTTCATAGATTCCCAAAAACTCTTCCTGAACTTAAATTTTTTCTCTTATGGTGAGAAATTACATAAATTCACTATTTACTCTGTAAACATGCTTTTACATTTCTATACTTAAAATACTTTCCTTCCACGTTGCCCCACTTGGTCCCTGAACAAAAACTTCCCCCAGCTGAATTCTCTCTACTATTATATTGCCAGTTTTCCAGGATCACAAATGAAGAGAATTAGAGAACTCTCTTCCAAATATGGGGCCTCTAGTGTTCTTGATCCCTTTCTTTTCTCCAGTGGCAACTATACCCAACGTTGCCCCTGATGTAAAACAAATTCAGAATCCATTCAAGTCCATAATTAAGTTTAGATGTGTGTGAGGGACTGGGATCGTGTAGACCAGACTCTACATATTAAGTTAGAAGTCCACAACAGTTACTCTTAGTTTGATGTAAACGTAACCATTAAGTTATATTCAAACAACAGGTGCCAAGTTTGTAATGAGCACTAACTGAAAAATAAAGGCATAAAAATCCATGTCATGTCTAGCAGTATCTAGTATAACATAATCATAAATTAGATATTTTGAAGAACAGGTGGGGGGGAAAAAGACTTGGAAGTCTTAAGTATATTACTCTCTGGTGATAAAACTTCTCTAGCCAGGTTTTTCTCCCCTCCAATCATTAGCATCTTCTCTAGCCCTACTCTTTCAAAAAGACCAGTTCTTCAAGTATCTTTCCTGGTAGGATCCAACCTACCACGTCTAACTCCCAGGCTTAGATTAAGCTGCCTTGTAACTGTGATAATTATGTTATACAAAGAGATTACTACGTTTAAATTTATCTTTACCCAGCTGCCAATTCATTAATTCCAGTAGATCAACAATGGTCGGGGAAGACAGGAAAACTGTTCTCTACAGACGCGTGTCAACTAATAAATTCAGAAGGAATGAGGGAAACAAAAGAGCCACCATTGGAACACAATGGCAAAATCCATCAATGAATGCTAAGACTAGTAATCATCTGAAAGCCTGAGAGTACCTACCCCCAAATATGTATTAATTTCAAAAGAGAAAATAGTAAGTTTACAGTAGAGACACCACGTGGATTATTACTTTAACCAAGTGATCACAGTTATCATCACCAGTAAGAAGTCATGTTAGTATCATGTGCCCTCTGACATTAAGTGTTGAGGCGAACACTTTGCCCATGTGGTATTCTTACTGAGATGTTATGAAATGCATAACATCAATTTAACCATGAGAAAACATCAGACAAACTCAAATTGAGATACATTCCACAAAGTAACAGACTAGTACTTTTCAAAAAAGTATCAAGGTAATGAAAGATAGGAAGACGGAGCAACTGTCACAGAATGGAGATTAAGGAAAAAGAATAACTAAATGCATTGTAGAATCCCCATTGGATCCTGGAACAGAATAAGGACATTAGTGAAAGGGCTGGCAAATTGTAAATAAAGTCTGTAGTTAACAGCATTGTAGCAATGTTAATTTCTTGTTTTTGATCACTGTACCCTGATTATGTAAGATGCTAACACAGGGGGAAACAGGATGTAGGGAACTCTCTACTGTCTTTCTAACTCTTCTGTATGTCTAAAATTATTCCAAGTTTTAAAAAGCTCAATCCCAGTTACCAAGCCTACTAGGTCAACTAACACATTTTTTATTTATGCAGTTCTTTTTTATACCCTCTCTCTCTCCTACAACCTATTATCAATTTTTTCTGAGTTGCTACTCTTTCCTACTTTTTCCCAAAGAGGCTTCCATGTGCTTACATTTTAAGACTTCTTAAAATAACCTTATTTCCTCCCAACAGAGAGCTACTCTCCTTCCTGTACGGCCACAAAATGACCTACCATAAAAGATGTAAAATACTTTAATACAGTATCTTATAGCTTCATAACAATTAGCAATACACAAGTGCTTGTAAATACATTTACATACGTAAATTTTGAGATGCATAAACACTTATTATTTTATAGATGAGAAAATAAGACTAGAAAAATTATGTGATCTGACACTTAAAATGTCAGAGACTGAATCTGAATCCAGTTCTTCAGGCTCCAAAACCAAATTACCTTATTAAAATAAAGTGCTCTGTGTCTGAAAAGCTTCAACTTCCCTGCTTCAGGCAAGCGAATTACATCAAATACACCATGATTTTCAAGAAAGTTCTAAATTTCCCGATTGTTCTAAATGTCGCTCTTAAAAGCTTCAATAATTATACAAAAAAGAATTCTGGAAGTCAGTGCAAAGTTTGTGTTCACCCTAACCATTCTTTTGATTTTTTTTTACAAAGCCGACTTCAGTCATCTCCCCTTCAACTATTTAGGCCGAAGAACCGCTTACCTCTATTTTCATATCAGCTCCAACTCATGCTTTCAAATATCTGAGCTGTCATTCCAATCTCTAATTCCATTCATTTATTTATATTTGCAAATGAAAACTAGGGGCAATCCTGCAGGGCCCCGAGCCCCACGAAATACTCTGAATATCTTTTTTCCTTTACTCAAAAAAAAAAAAAAAAAGTCAAACGACTTATTGCTAATGCATGTGTCTGTTTAATATTTAGCGCAATGGTGCAGGGCGAAGTAACAATGACTTGAGACCGGAGGAAACAACTTTCGCCTGACTTAACTGCCACCAGCATTTTTCTCCTTCACAGTTTGTAATCTCCAACCTTTTGTAATCTTTTTCATGTTACCTGATTTCTGTATCAGCCAAGTGAGAAAATTATTTAAACCCAACCAAAAGCGCTGAGATTAAATAATAAATTACGGAAATAAGCCTTTAAATTTGAAAACTAATAAGAGAACCATTAATTTATTAATGGGCGCTTACTAGGTGCAAAGGCACTTAAAAGGACAAAAAGCTCCTGAGGTTTTTGAGCACTTAACGACGACTTGCTCATTTTTGTGACCTCCTACCCTCACCCTTTGAGCACCTGGCATCTGCAGGAGCTCAAAAGTTGAACTGAATTGGGGACGCTGAAGTAACAGGATCTGCTCTAGTGAGAAACCCGTGGGAGAAACTTTGGAAAGTGTTACCTGAACAGCATTACGCTATTTCAAACAGAACAGGTTGCTGCTCTGTTTAACCCCGCATGGGGGACTGGAACTAGAAACCTGGACACCGAGGAACCCCAAAGGTCTTGGGCAAAGAGAAGGGAGCGTCACTTGCCTCCCATTCTTGCAAGAAACGCTGTGCCTCGTCAGAACCAACGGTCTTATGTCTCCTAAATTCGTCTTTCACGTACTGGTCGCCCAGGGATTTGAGGTCCGGGGGCAGAACACGGTGCAGCTGCAAGACGCGCTTGTACAATGCCCGGACTCGAGAAACGTGCCGCCCCGGCATAGCGCCCCACGCCGACCGCCGACTGCGCCTGCGCAGAGGGACGGCGCGTTCCCGCACTTCTGCGAACTTGCGTATTAGTGAACCGGAAGGCAGACGAAAGAGGGCGCGCGACCTCTATCCGGTTTGGTCCCTTGCACAATCAGGTCCTCCCGGAAACCCAAGCTCCGCTGCGGGCGGAAAACGGGTCGGTCCTTCTCTAGGAGGGGCGTGGCCCTCGTGGAGTCGCGCCTGCGCCTCGTCGTGGCTTCTTCTGGCCTGCGTCCTGACGACACAGGCCTTGAAAGAGAGAGGTCTGTGGTGGGCCGTTGTCATTTCTCAGTCCCACTCCACTGTCTTTTTCATTCAACTTCGTTTCTGTCCTCCTACCAAAGGCCTGAGAAAAGCTTCGTTAAGATCGGGCTCCTCCGGGATTCCTTCCATGGTTCCCAACCCATTTGAGGCATTTAGAGTATTACTGCACCCTGCTTTAGGGATCAGAGTGAGATTAATCTCGCCATCCACTAGCTCACCAACCCACGCTCTTTGCACAGCGCTGTTCTCCCAATTTATACTCTGGGCATGGGCTCTTCCTTGCAAACAACCCAAGTGAGCCCAGAGCTGGCGGACTCCTTAGCCAAAGTCAAGTTGGCTGCTGAAGGATCCTTGGGAAGAGTTTTAAACGTATTGTTTCCAGGACCACGACCCTGGAGATTCTGGTTAAATAGTCTAGGATAATAAGAACGAGGAATCTAGAAATTTACAAAGCTCTATCTTTTGCGAAGGTAATACTGAGAGTAGAACTGGTTTCCAAAGCTGGCAGCTCCTTGTGTTGTCCTTTCCTGTCACACGTTTGGTTCTTCAGCAAATCCTGATGGCGTCACCAACAAAAATGCAGAAATCAACCATTTCGCCCCATGTACTCTACCACAATCTCTCTCCACTGGATATTGTGTTAGCTTCCATATCTGTGTTCAGCTTCTGGTCATGACCAACTTTGGTCATGCTCCAACATAATTTAAATTAAATTTGGCCTAAAATTTCCTCCCTACTCTGAGTTGCTATGTAGGGAACTGCAACCTAACTTAGTATGTAAATTAACTGCAACTGAGAGTATATTCTTGTGACAAGTAGCTGAGCTTCAGCCAATCACAGGCTGCCAACTGATCAGACTATGTGCATATAAGGCAAATACGTCATAATGTCCTGCCCAAATAAGACTAGCCCAACTGTAAGCAATCAAGCTGTTTCTGTGGGGCACTTCCTTTTTCTGTCTATAAATACTGCCTGCCCACAGTGCTGGGTAGAGCTCTCTGAACCTCTCCCTGTTAAGTGCTGCTGCCTGATGAATGCCTCATAAATCGTGTGTGTGTGTGCACGTGCGCTCGTGCAAATAAACTTTATTAGATTTAACTTGTTTAAAGTTTTTCTTTTAACAATCTAAACTGTAAATCGGATCATTTCACTCCTCTGCTCAACAAAAGCCTCCAGGGATTTTCATCAGAGTAAAGCCCAGTCTCTAGCCCTTAAAGGTTTAAATTTTCTCCTATTGCTTTCTCCCTAGTTAGCCAGTTGCAGCCACACTGGCCTCCTAGCTCTTAGTTCATATTTTAAAAAGCCAGGTACACTCCCAACTGAGGCCTTGGCACTTGCTGTCCCGTCTACTTGGAGTGCTTTGCCAAATGTATCTTCCTGGCTAACACTTTTATTTCACTCAGCGCATACTTCAGGTCCCCTTCTAATGAGACCCTCCCTGGCAACCCTATTTGAAACCCTGCTTGAAGTTGCAACCTCACCAAACCAAGAATTTCTTATGCTCCTCCTCTGCTTTGTTTCTCTCTATATTACTTACATAATTTACTCATGTGCTTATTCTCCATTTATTATCCCCCAACTAGAGTACAAATTCTATAGGGGCAGGGATTTTGTGATTTGTTAGTGACCTGCACTAGGTCTGTAGTAAGCACTCAATAAATATCTGTTGAATTAATGTGTGAAACTCACTAACGGTGTCAGATGCCTCATATTCCTGCTGGTGAAGAAGAGGCAGAAATGTTGAAATTTGTGTGATTGTCTCACAGACCCCAGACTTCTTTCTGTGCAAAAACTTTCTGAAAGAAAAACAAGACACACTCAGCTACTGAAGGCAGGTACTTACTCATTTTAGTATCCTTTTCAGGGCCCACCACAGTGCCATACAAATAGTAAGTAGAATTTATTGCTTTGAATAGAGCTTCTCCTTTTGCTTAAATTTAGGGAAAATATGTGTTTTAAAAAACACAGAACTTTTTAAAAATGGATTTAATTTGGTATTATGACAAACTGCATTAATGGCAAGGATTGAATGGCAGCGTGGTTATTTTGCTTCAGGAAATTTTTTTCTAACCATACTTCATCTGTTAATATCCCTGTAAAATTGAAAATTGATTTCTTGTCCCCGTTTGTTTTTTTCTGGTTTCCTTTGGAGTTAAAGAACATGTGTAATAAATACCTCTTTCAAGAGCCAACACTCTTATAAAAATGTGAGAAAACATTCTGCCAATGAATTAATTAAAAAATAAAGGAATTAATTGAGCCTAAAGAGAGTAGAAAGGGTCCACAAAGCATTGGAGAATCAATGCTCAAAATGGCAGACGATGGGTGAAAGAGAAGCCAAGACATAGTGGTGTGGTTAGGCCTTGAGAAGTGGAATAAAGCAATAACAGTGAGAATAATGACAGTTAACCTTTATTTTATTTTTTTTACAACAAGCTGGACAGTGAGCTATGTTTTGAGGACAAAACTTTTCTCTGTTTCCCTGACCAATTTAGGCTGATCAGTGTTCCTCTTGTGGTAAAAATAGCCATGAACTGAAAATAAAATCACACTTATATTTCTGGCCACCAATCTAGATCACTACACTTCATGCAGACCTTTCCTTTATCCTTCCTTCATGTGTTTCTTTTTCTTATATGTTACTCTGCAAGTGATTTAACCGCTCTGTGCCCAGATTTTCTCACTTGTAAATGAGCTGGGTTAGGTAATTTGCAGTACTTTCCAACTTTACTAATCTCTAACCATGACTTCTCTCAGATTCCCTCCAAAATTTTTTGTAAAGTGAAAGAGAACATATATCCACTCTTAAATAATTGCTTTAAAAATTTTTTGTTTAGAAAAACGTGGGGTAAATGCCTTAAAATTGTATATGGAACACATCACCTAAGCCTTTCAGGGCACACAAAATATAATAACCACCTATAGCCATAGGGATGATCAACACAGCAACTGCACTATTCAGTGTATTGCTTCTGTGGACTACCTCACACACAGCTAGAAATGGAAGGAGGCAGCTAGGGACAATTTTTGGCAAGCAGATAGAGAATTTTGAGGTCAAAAGAGATGGAGAGAATTGGTAAATGAGGAAAAATAAATTAAAGGAGAAGAAATACCTGTATGGAGTGTACTGAATTTTCACTTTGTATTATACTCTAGTCTTTACTAAAATGTTGAAAATAAGACTTGCTTGCAAATAATGCTAAAGCATTTTTCTCTCAAACGGAAGTGAGAAAGGAGTGGGGAGGGGGAGAACTGATGACAAAAGATTTGGAAGCTGCTTTACATCATTAGATAAGAAAACAAGGTTTTTACAGTCTTGAATTCAGTTGCACAAGTGGCTCAGTTTTCAAATTATAGTTACTCAAATTTCAAGTTCTAAATTACTGAGAACAATGAAAAGTCTGGGACAAGATACATCTTCAACCCAAACAGCTCTCACATGCTTAGAGGCCTAGAGAGATGTACAAACCTGATCTGGCCATTGCGACTACCCATGGTCCCCCAAAACAACACCAGAAATTGTCTTTCATTTCCCACCTTACCTTGGAGTCTCAAAGTTAGGTACATCATTGTGTGACGATTAAAACTATAAAAAGAAAAGAATTCTTTAACGTTTTTAAATGGTATCTGGTATGTCTAATTATTGAAATGCAATGGTAAGATAGCAGATAGTCTTAAAACCAAAATTTCAAGCTTAAACATACTGTTCAAGGAATTAGAAAAGCAAATACATTCATGGAAAGTCCATTCTCTGAAAGTCAGTTTAGAAAGCATAATAGTCTTTAGCATTTTTCTGAATTTCTGAAACATGTTACATAAAAAATACCAGAGACGGGAGGCTGAGGCAGGAGAATGGCATGAAACAGGGAGGTGGAACTTGCAGTGAGCCGAGATTGCGCCACTGCACTCCAGCTTGGGTGACAGAGCGAGATACCGTCTCAAAAAAAAAAAAAAAAATCAAAGAGAAACTTAATGTGTTTGTATCTGGAGAGAAAAAGCAAACCATAAGGAATGTTTTTAAATGTTTATAATTGTTGATTACTGAGAACAGAAAATCAATCGAAAGTCCAGATAAAATGTTATATTTTATAATTTAAAGTATTAATGATATACTATAAGATATAAGGAGGAAAAAAATGACCATTGTTCATAAGCTGAAAAACATTTGACAAATTCAACACCCATTCCTGATTTTAAAATAATAATAATAGCCGGGTGTGGTGGCTCACGCCTGTAATCCCAGCACTTTGGGAGGCCGAGGTGGGTGGATCATGATGTCAGGAGTTCTAGACCATCCTGGCTAACACAGTGAAACCCCGTCTTTACTAAAAATACAAAAAATTAGCCGGGTGTGGTGGCGGGCACCTGTAGTCCCAGCTACTGGGGAGGCTGAGGCAGGAGAATCGCTTGAACCTGGGAGGCGGAGGTTGCAGTGAGCCAAGAGCGCGCCACTGCCCTCCATCCTGGGCGACAGAGCCAGACTCTGTCTCCAAAATAATAATAATAATAAAAAAATAGAAATCAATGAATTCTGCAACACAAAAGCCAGCATCTTAGTTGATAGAAAAACATCTGACAAAGTAGGCAAAATTCTGTGTAAAAAGGGAAAAAAATGCACATACAGCTGACCCTTAAAGAATGCAAGGGTTAGGGATGCCAGTTAAAAATTCATATATAACTTCTGACTCCCCAAAAACATAACTACTGTGCAAAAAGGATAAACTAAAAACTGCATTATCTTGTTCAGTTGATTATATTATTCAAATTTTCTATACTTTCTCTTTTTTTTGCCTCCTCGATCTTTCCATTTCAGTAAGTAGAGCTTAGGATTCACCCACTATTGATCAGAAGCCTTATAATTAGGTAAACAGTTGATTAACACATATTGTATGTGTATTATATACTGTGTTCTTATGATAAAGTAAGATACAGAAAAGAAAATGTTAAGAAAATCATAAGGAAGAGAAAACATATTTACAGTACTGTACTATATTTATCAATGCCATAAGTTTATGTCATCTGTTTCCAAGATGAATTGTATGTCAGAAATGGCTGGCAACCATAAGTGCAGACCTCAATCTATGGTATATATCAAGCAATTTAACTTTTTCTTTTAATGTCATGACTTTTTTCTGCTTCTTGGGAGCGCTTCCAGCATTGCTAGTGGCACTTCACATGGTGTTATTCAAGGTTTCCTGTATTGCACTGGATGCAATAAAAAATATGCAAGAACTGTGACAGATCTCTTTTTACTGGGATATGCGGTTTACTGGAGAGATGAACTGTTCACGCAGAGATTATTAGCATCACACAGTGCTTTATTGTTTTTTGTTTTTGTTTTTTGAGACGGAGTCTCCCTCTGTCGCCCAGGCTGGAGTGCAATGGCGCGATCTTGGCTCACTGCAACCTCCGCCTCCCAGGTTCAAGCGATTCTTCTGCCTCAGCCTCCACAGTAGCTGGGACTACAGGCGCGTGCCACCACCAAACCCGGCTAATTTTTGTATTTTTAGTAGAGACGGGGTTTCACCGTGTTATCCAGGATAGTCTCCATCTCCTGACTGTGTGATCTGCCTGCCTCGGCCTCCCAAAGTGCTGGGATTACAGGCGTGAGCCACTGCCCCTGGACGTAGCATCACACACTGTTTTAAGCAGATACTTGCAAACCTGAGCTCACCAAAATAGCAACAGGAGGTGGCTATGAAATTATTACAGTAGAACAGTATGAACCACCATTAGTTTTATGCAGTTATGATTTAATACCACACCTTTATGTTTGTTTACATTTCTCTCTACTGGGAATGACCCCATATACAGTCTGTTTGTATGTGTAAGTTTTGATAAATTTTAGCTGTTTATAATAGATTTGAGTATATTTTATGGTAACAAATGATAAAAATAAACTAGTATCTGCATTGTATTTTATGAATTTATGACATACCTCACATTTTCTTAATTTTTTTATATTTTTAGGCTATGCAGTTTTTGAGTTTTGTCAAACTGTCACAAATCTCCAAAAAATTTTCAGTGTATTTTTTTTTAAATCCACATATAAGTGGACCCGTGCAGTTCAAACTCATGTTGTTCAAGGGTCAACCGTATTTCCTTAGTTGTGCAAAAAGAATAAACTAAAAACTGCATTATCTGGTTCAGTTGATTATATTATTCAAATTTTCTATACTTTCTCTTTTTCTTTGCCTCCTCAATCTTTCCATTTCAGTAAGTAGAGCTTTGGATTCACCCAGTATGATTGTGGATTTGTCAGTTTCTCCACATGAGTGTTTTTGTTTTTGGTTTGTGCTTTTGGGAGCTATGTTGTTAGACACATTGAGACTTATGATTGTTATACTTTCTTATACCTTTCAATAACATGAAATAGTTCAAGTTCCTTTCAGTATTTTTGTCATAAATTGTATTTTATCTGGCCAGGCATGGTGGCTCACGCCTGTAATCCCAGCACTTTGGGAGGCCGACGGGGGTGGATCACGAGGTCAGGAGTTCGAGACCCCCCAGCCTGGCCAACATGGTGAAACCCCATCTCTACTAAAAATACAAAAAATTAGCCGGGCATGGTGGCACACACCTGTAATTCCAACTACTCAGGAGGGTGAGGCAGGGGAATCACTTGAACCTGGGAGATGGAGGTTACAGTGAGCCAAGATCGTGCCACTGCACTCCAGCCTGGATGACAGAGCGAGACTCAATCTCAAATAAACAAAAAATTCTTTTTTATCTGATATTAATATAGTTATAATTGCTTTTGTTAACATTTGCTTCAAGTGTCTTTTTATGTTCAACCATTACATGTCATTTTGTTTTTCTCCTCTTTATTATAACTGGGTTTTATGCAGTCTCTCAGTTGATCAATTTAGCCTATTATTGTGTTTCATGGTCTGTTTGAACTACTCCCTGCTGTCATATTTTGTGTTTTCTACTAACCACAATTTCCAGATTTTTTTGACTGTATTGCCTTTTATTGAACTACCAGTTGGAAACTTTTAAATTCTATTTCTTTTTTCTTTTTTTTTTTTTTTGTGAGACAGAGTCTCGCTCTGTCACCCAGGCTGGAGCACAGTGGTGCGACCTCAGCTCACTGCAAGCTCCGCCTTCCGGGTTCATGCCATTCTCCTACCTCAGCCTCCCGAGTAGCTGGGACTACAGGTGCCTGCCACCACCCCCGGCTAATTTTTTTGTATTTTTAGTAGAGATGGGGTTTCAGCGTGTTAGCCAGGATGGTCTCAATCTCCTGACCTTGTGATCCACCCGCCTCAGCCTCCCAGGGTGCTGGGATTACAGGTGTGAGCCACCACGCCCGGCCTTTTAAATTCTATTTCTGTTGTTCTAGTCATCACCCTTGCATTTTCAACATGTATCCATAATATCATATTGTTCAAACAATATCTAAGGTTAATCAGTTCCTATATGCTCCTCCAAATAAGACAGGAACATTAGCATGATTTTATTTCCCTCCCTGCCTGTCCTCTGCAATGTCCTATATTGATGTCTATTCCAATTGTAGGTTCAGATTATTGTTCAAATTTAGTTTCCCTATTCTTAGTGATACACTATCCTCTGTTCTCATCCTGTTCTGCTTGCTCTGTTAACTGTTTCCTGAGGTATAAGTACTTATATTTGTTGAGTTCATTGTATTTCCGGGTGTTGGCTTTCCACAAATACGAACAATTCTGACTAGGTACTTACTTTTGTATTTCAGATGCCCAGTTAGTGTGTCTCTTCTCTCAAAGGAAAGACAAGACAGGCTACCAAGGATTGTATGTCTATCAATTTTCAGTAAGAGTAAGGGAGTAGAGACAATGTGCCACTAGGATATCTTGCCAGTCTGAGTATCTTAGTGGGTATCTTAGTCTTACACTTGTGGAAATTCCTACCCTCTTGTGTGCCCTTGTTATCCACTTAAGGGCACATTCTTATCTCTCTGACCCAATCTCCCATACCCATTGCCTTCACCTGGAGGCAGCCACCTGGCTGATCCTACTGTGGTACCCTGACTAATCACCCTGTTTGCTGCCAAGACCCTCCCTGCTCATAGTGTTTATCTCTTCCAGGTGTGGTACATTCTGGGAATCACTCTTACCTGCTTCTAACAGTACTCATGTACTTACCTTTTGGGCTGAGCTTTCTTTTTCAATGAGAGCTACTCTCCATCACCCAGGGAATCTTCACAGTTTCTGAAGTTTCAATACTTACAGTACTGTTATTTCTGGTAAGATTATGAATGTAGTTCCCAATTTTGAACAACACATTATCTCTTTTACATATAAACAGATATTTTACATAACTTGTTTAAAAACTTTAAAACAGAATTCATATTACTTTAAATTATTAATATTAAATTCCCCATCTTTTCCAATCCAGTTACAGCTTTTTAAAATATACGTTATCTCATTTCTAAAGATTAGTAGGAATGGGAGGTTGGGGTGTGTTTCCAGTCTATTATTTTAGCATTTGAAGAATGATATATTATTTTCAGTTGTAAAAAAAAAATGAAATGTAAATGTCCAACACCAAGGAATTAATTAAATTATGATATAGCCATATAATGGAATATTAAATATGCTTTTAAAAATGATGTTAAGTATGATATTTTAATGACAAAACACATCAAATTATTGTTAATAATCAAGAGCAGGATACAAATATATATAATATATATGATTTTAGTCATTTTTTAAAAATAGAAACTCTAGAAGCAAACATGCTAAAATACTTACTGGTAAGATTATGAATGTAGTTCCCAGTTTTGAACAATAAGTTATATCTCTTTTACATGTAAAAAGATATTTTACATTACTGGCTTAAAAACTGTTGAAAACAAAGAATTCATATTACTTTAAAGTTTCCATAAAAATCTTGACAAAAGCTGATCAAAAATTAGATGATATTGCAAAGAAAAATTTAAACGCATTTTTTAAAACCAGGAATTTTATAGATCTTATTCTCTGACCACAATGCACAAAATTAGAAAATCATAATACTTACTATGTAGCCACAAAAATTAAAACAACATGAAAGTACAACCACTCAAAAATTCTAAAGCATCCTTATACATAAATCTTAGAACAAAGAAAGGAACATAAAAACAGAATATTTAGAAAATATTAAAAAGATACTTAAGGGCTGGGAACAACACAAAACAAAATGGATTATATTTCAAATTGTGTGATCATATACTCAGGCACTCATCTAGGAAGACATTATAGATGAGTGGAATCTAAGCTGTGCCTTGAATAATGATATCATATAGACAGGTTAAGAAAAGACCTGAGGTTTTTCAAAAGAGAAAAACAACATGAAAAGCAACACTGAGCTTGTGTTGTTAGAACAGTGAAGAAACCAAACTGATTAGAATAATGAATAGCCTATTGTAGGCAGAATAGAAAATAGTCCTTTAAAAAATAGGAATATTTGTTTGGATCTAGAAAGAATTATATATGTATAATATATAGTATTATATAATTACATATCTTTATATATTTATTAACGTATAATTTTACAGGTGGTAAAATGGGCCAGAGAAGTTAAGTGACATCCTACGTTGAATGGGTGTTGATTATGAAACTGGTCCATTGTCCCATAAAACTGATGTTTATGGTTTCTTTTGAATAAACATAGAAATAGACCCTCCCAAGACTTTTTTAGTTATTCCCTATATTGTTTAACGGATAATGGCAAGAAAAAAATGTCTGGGAGATTCCTAAGACTTAAGAAAGTTACATTTTTCTTATCTGAGTTACTTTCTCAGGAAACCAAACATCAGGCCTTCCACATAGTATCAAGGAACTGAAACTTACTAAATCACTGCATTTGGACAATGAGATGCCAGATCCCTTAGCCATTATTATTGCCTAACTGACCACCTGCTTCCTGTTGGCCAATTCCTCTTCCTTACCCCTCCCTAATTCCTGTTTTCCCACACATAGTTACTTTTCTTTCCTGGTATATAAACTTTCAATTTTAGTTGGTCAGGGAGATGAATGGAGATGGATTTGAGACTGATCTCCGATCTCCTCAGCTATAGCACCTGAATAAAGCCTTCTTCCCTGGCAATACTCTGTCTCAGTGATTGGCTTCCTGTGTGGTGAGCAGCAGGACCTAGACTGAATCCCTGGAGTTTCAATACCAATTATATAAAGCCTTAAAAGGCACACAAAGTAGTTCACCATTTACAGAGTAGGAAATGAGGAGTTACTGGGAGATGTGAGTCAAGAGAATTGGTGAAAGCAGTCTTTTAAAAACAATCTGGCAGCCATGTGCAAAATAGACTATTGAATGAATAAATACCTTCATTTAAACAAAGGGCCTTGCATGAATCCAGGATGACAACATGCCTGAAGAACATGATTAACTCAACTGTCTGCACTTGAGCCAAAGAAGACAGCAAGAGATTTCCAGGAGTTCATAACACATAGAGGCAGGCAGAGCTGTGGGAGCATGGGCATGAGACTATGAAGGACATTGGATTTAAGGACTGACCGGATATGAGGAAATGGAAAAAAAGCTGAATCTAAGAGGTTTTCATGTTTTCCTTTGTGGATGTATAATTGAAGACAGAAAGTCCGGAGAGAAAACTGCTTGTGGAAATGCATTTTATTTTAATCACACTGAGTTTGAATGGGGCAGCCTACCCTACATGATGCATTGAAAATTTACCTAATAGTGTCAGTGCAGTTCCTTTAATCGTCTAAGTCAGTGGCTCTCAACATCTGCTGTATATTACATTCACCTGTGAAACTGGTAAAAAAAAAAAATAATAAAATACTGTTTCTTAGGCCTCATTCTAAACTGCTTGAATGAGGCCTCAATTCAAACCTCCAAGGGTGGGCTGAGACATTGATATTGCTTAGAAGCTCCAGGCAAAGTGATTCTAATGTGCAGCCAGGATTCAGAACCAGTGATCTAAATTCCCATCTTGGAGACATTTGAGTTCTGGGAAAGTACACAAGATATTACGGCACTGTGTTAAAAACTAATTATTAAATGTTCAGCCTTTTCTGTACTAAAGAGTCCTTGCAACAATGGGGGAAAATATTGTTATATAGTTAAGAATATTTTAAACCGTAAAAGTGAAACTTCTCTCTGAGGAGGAGAATGTAAAGTGAAAACAGTAAAAACATAACTTTGAGTTATATCCACATTTATAAAGTAGGGGGAGGTGATTATAATGTCATGATCTGAAGAGCACAGCCCAGAATCTTTCCACATGCCATATCCGCAATACCACATGTTTCTCCAGGAAAATGATTTAACTTTTCCAGATAACTAATGAACATTTGGAATACAGCTTACTTATACAATCATCTCTTGATATATATGGGGAATTGGTTCCAGTGCTTCTCCTCTGCTCCCCAGGTACCAAAATCTGCAGATGCTCAAGTATATGATAAAAAATGGCATAGTTATTTGCAAATAACCTATACACATCCTCCCGTATATCTTAAATAATCTCTAGATTACTTATAATACCTAATACAATATAAATAGTTGTTATACTATATTGTTTAGGGAATAATGACAAAGAAAAGTCTGTATATGTCAGTACAGGTGCAATTGTTTTTCTGAACATTTTTGATCCTGAGTTGGTTAAATCTGTGATGCAGAACGCATGGATATGAAGGGCTGACTGTACAATGTTGGCACTCTTAATAAAGATCCATAAAATCTCCATTATCTATATCTTCTTCCTTCCTACTCTCCTTCAACCCAAACTTTCCACCAGAACTCTTGATTATATCCCAACTCTTCTGAGGAGTGTCTTCATAACCCCTTGTTCTTTCTCTCACAGGCATTTTCAATTATTTTCTTCATGATATTATTTCATTGAGCTCACAAACACTCACGAGAATACTTCAGGTTAAAAGAAAATCTCTCTATTCTGCCTCCCCTTTAAGCGACCATCCTGTTACTCTGCTTTTTTTCATTGACTTGAAAATATACATTCCTATTCCCACTTTCTCCATCTCCATACCCATTCCTCATTTAATCCCCTGCCTCCTCTTTTTTTTGAGACTGAGTCTGGCTTTGTCACCCAGGCTGGAGTGCAGTTGTGTGATATTGGCTCACTGCAACCTCCACCTCCCCAGGTTCAAGCGATTCTCCTGCCTCAGCCTCCCAAGTAGCTGGGATTGCAGGCTAATTTTTGTATTTTTAGTAGAGATGGGGTTTCACCATATTGGCCAGGCTGGTCCAGAACTCCTGACCTCAAGTGAT
This sequence comes from Homo sapiens, assembly GCF_000001405.40. Taxonomy (NCBI): domain Eukaryota; kingdom Metazoa; phylum Chordata; class Mammalia; order Primates; family Hominidae; genus Homo; species Homo sapiens. Next base: position 97,105,207 of record NC_000007.14, on the reverse strand, counting down.
CCACCCGCCTCAGCCTCCCAGTGTTGGGATTACAGGCCTTGAGCCACCACGCCCAGCCCATTTGACCCCTTTTAACCTGGTGTTGGCCTCACTATTCTTCTGAAATCTCTTTCTTCAAAGTCACTAGTCATTTGCTTCTGTTCACACTCCTACCCCCTCCTGACTTCCTAGAAGTCTTTGCATCTTTGCCTTCCACACATTTGTGCTGCCCAGGCGATCCCACCTTCAGGACCCCACTCCCTCTGTCTTCTTAACTGGCTGTAGTTCTTCCAGCCCACAAATGTGAACAAGTGCGAAGGCTCAATCCAAACATGACTCCCTGTCAGCGCTCTTGTCCCGGCCAGCTGTCCCCAGCAATTACTGATGCTCTGCTGCCCCCGCCTGGCCAAGCCCATTCTAACCACTTCAAAGGCCTCACTGGACCCTTATCTGGAAAACCGCCAGCATAGCTTCTCAAAAAGCTGTTCCAAGCCTCATACACACACCTCTGACCTCTCCACAGTTAAGAGTCTTGCTCTCTATATAACCACAGGATAAGTCCAAACTGGGTGTCCTGTCATCCTTTCAGAGTCTCTGTTCCAAGCTAAACTCATCAGTTTTCTCCAAAGACTTTTCTCTCTCCACGCATCTGTGACATCTTTCCTTCTTTTGATACATGTCATTGTCGAGGAATCCTTGTTTTGACGCTACTTTTGTAAATCAGTTGCTTTTTCTCCTTGCCATTGCCCCACCTGCCTAGACTCTGTATCTCTCAGTTGAAGGATTGCAACAGTCTTCTAATTGCATTTCCTTTCTTTAGTTTTTTTTCTACCTCCAATTAATAGGACATAACATATTCAAATTGATCTTTTTAAAACATGGCTTCACTCAGGTGTCTCCCACAGCCCACCATCTTCCAAAGCTTTCCCACTGTCCTCAGAGTACAACCTGTGCCCCCAGGATATAAAGTCACATTGTAATCAAAGGCAACTGGCAGCCACACTATTACTAACTCACTTTTTCATAGCACTGTACTTTCATAGTACATAGCACTCTTAAAATTGAAGGAAAACAATCTAAATAATTCAGACAAAGATATCAACTTCATAAGGCCATTGTCATTTAACCTACAGAAAGCAAAAGTCAGTAAATATATAAACAAATGCAAAAAAATTGACAAGGGACATTATCTCCCTTCTCTCTGTCCTCCTCAAATTAGAATGAATTTACAGTATCTATTCTGTTTTGTTGTTGTTGTTTATTTCAGCAGTTTTGGGGGAACAAATGGTGTTTGGTTGCACAGAAAAGTTCTTTAGTGGTGATTTCTGAGATTTGGCGCACCCATCACCCGAGCAGTGTACACTGTACGCAATGTGTAGTCTTTTATCCCTCACCCTCCTCCCACCCCTCCGCTCAAGTACCCAAAGTCCATTATATCATTCTTATGCCTTTGCATCCTCATAGCTTAGCTCTCACTTATAAGTAAGAACATATGATGTTTGGTTTTCCATTCCTGAGTTACTTCACTTAGATAATGATCACCAACTCCATCCAAGTTGCTGCGAATGCCTTTATTTTGTTCCTTTTTATGGCTGAGTAGTATTCCATGGAATACTATATATTCCATGGAATACTATATATGTTATGTCCTATTAATTGGAGGTAGAAAAAAAACTAAAGAAAGGAAATGCAATTAGAAGACTGTTGCAATCCTTTAACTGAGAGATACAGAGTCTAAGCAGGTGGGGCAATGGCAAGGAGAAAAAGCAACTGATTTACAAAAGAAGTGTCAAAACAAGGATTCCTTGACAATGACATATATCAAGAGAAAGAAATATGTCACAGATACATGGAGAGAGAAAAGTCTTTGGAGAAAACTGATGTCATTTATATATATATATAACATATATATATAAAACATATATATATAAAACATATATATATAAAACATATATATATAACATATATATGTAATATAATACCATGGTGTGTGTGTGTGTGTGTGTGTGTGTGTATGTATATATATATATACACACCACAGTTTCTTTATCCACTCATTGATTGAAGGGCATTTGGGCTGGTTCTATATTTTTGCAATTGCAGATTGCGCTGCTATAAACATGCATGAGCAAGTGTCTTTTTTGGATGATGACTTCTGTTCCTCTGGGTAGATACTCAGTAGTAGGATTGCTGGATCAAGTGGTAGTTCTACTTTTAGTTCTTTAAGGACTCTCCATACTGTTTTCCATAGGGGTTGTACTAGTTCACAGTCCCAACAGCAATGTAAAAGTGCTCCTTTTTACTACATCCATGCCAACATCTATGGCCATTCTTGCAGAAGTAAGGTGGTTTTGCACTGCAGTTTCGATTTGCGTTTCCCTGATCGTTAGTGATGTTGAGCATTTTTTCATGTTTGTTGGCCATTTGTATATCTTCTTTTGAGAATTGTCTATTCATGTCCTTTGCCCACTTTTTGATGGGGTTATTTGTTTTTTTCTTGCTGATTTTTTTGAATTCCTTGTAGATTCTGGATATGAGTCTTTTATCAGATACATAGCTGGCAAAGATACTCTTCCACTCTGTGGGCTGTCTGTTTGCTGATTATTTCTTTTACTGTGCAGAAGCCTTTTAGTTTAATTAGGTACCATCTATTTGTTTTTGTTGCATTTGCTTTTGGTCATGAAGTCTTCGCCTAAGTCAATATCTAGAATTGTTTTTCTGAGGTTATCTTTTAGAATTTTTATGGTTTCAGGTCTTAGATTTAAGTCTTTGATCCATTTTGAGCTGATTTTTGTATAAGGTGAGAGATGAGGATCCAGCTTCCTTCTTCTACATGTGGCTTGCCAATTACCCCAACACCATTTGTTGAATACAGTGTCTTTTCCCCACTTTATGTTTTTGTTTGCTTTGTTAAAGGGCAGTTGTCGGCCGGGTGTGGTGGCTCATGCCTGTAATCCCAGCTTTGGGAGGCCGAGGTGGGCAGATCACGAGGTCAGGAGATCGAGACCATCCCAGCTAACACAGTGAAACCCCGTCTCTATTAAAAATACAAAAAATTAGCTAGGTGTGGTGGCGGGCGCTTGTAGTCCCAGTTACTCGGGAGGCTGAGGCAGGAGAATGGCATGAATCTGGGAGGCGGAGCTTGCAGTGAGCCGAGATCGCACCACTGCACTCCAGCCTTGGCGACAGAGCAAGACCCTGTCTTAAAAAAAAAAAAAATGTCAGTTGTCTATAAGTATTTGGCTTTGTTTCTGGGTTCTGTAGTCTGTTCCATTGGTCTATGTGCCTATTTTTATACCAGTACCTTGCTTTTTTGGTAACTATAGCCTTGTAGTATAGTTTGAAGTTGGGTAATGTGATGCCTCCAGATTTGTTCTTGCTTAGTCTTGCTTTGGCTATGCAGGCTCTTTTTTGGTTCCATATGAATTTTAGGAATGTTTTTTCTAGTTCGATGAGAAATGATGATGGTATTTTGATGGGAATTGCATTGAATTTGTAGATTGCTTTTGGCAGTATGACCATTTTCACAATATTGATTCTACCCATCTATGAGCATGGGATGTGTTTCTATTTGTGCCATCTATGATTTCTTTCAGCAGTGTTTTATAGTTTTCCTTTCAGAGATCTTTTATCTCCCTGGTTAGGCATATTCCTAAATATTTCCTTTTTTTTTGCACCTGTTGTAAAAGGGGTTGAGTTCTTGATTTGATTCTCAGCTTGGTCATTGTTGGTGTATAGCAGTGCTGCTGATTTGTGTACATTGATTTTGTATCCTGAAACTTTACTGACTTCGTTTATCAAATCTAGGAGCTTTTTGGATGAGTTTTTAGGGTTTTCTAGGTATACAAACATATAATTGGTGAACAGTGTCAGTTTGAGTTCCTCTTTACTGATTTGGATGCTTTTTGTTTCTTTCTCTTGTCTTATTGCTCTGACTAGGACTTCCAGTACTATGTTGAATAGCAGTGGTAAAGGTGGGCATCCTTGTCTTGTTCCAGTTCTCAGGGGGAATGCTTTCAACTTTTCCCCATTTAGTATAATGTTGGCTGTGGGTTTGTCATAGATGGCTTTTATTACCTTGAGGTATGTCTCTTCTATGCCAATTTTGCTGAGGGTTTTCATCATAAAGGCATGCTGAATTTTGTCAAATGCTTTTTCTGCATCTATTGAGATGGACATGTGATTTTTGTTTTTAATTGTTTGTGTAGTGTATCACATTTATTGACTTGTGTATGTTAAACCATCGCTGCATCCCTGTTATGAAACCCACTTGATCATGGTGTATTATCTTTTTGATATGCTGTTGGATTTGATTAGCTAGTATTTTTGTTGAGGATTTTTGCATCTGTGTTCATCAGGGATATTGGTCTGTAGTTTTCTTTTTTCTTATGTCATTTTCTGGCTTTGGTATTAGGGGGATACTGACTTCATAGAATGATTTAGGGAGGAATTCCTCTTTCTCTATCTTGTGAAATAGTTTCAGTAAGATAGGTACCAATTCTTCTCTGAATGCCTGATAGAATTCAGCTGTGAGGCCGGGTGTGGTTGCTCATGCCTGTAATCCCGGCACTTTGGGAGGCCAAGGCAGGTGGATCACGAGGTCAGGAGTTCTAGATCAGTCTGGCCAACATAGTGAAACCCCATCTCTACTAAAAATACAAAAAATTAGCTGGGTGTGGTGGTGTACACCTGTAATCCCAGCTACTCGGGAGGCTGAGGCAGGAGAATCACATGAACCTGGGAGGCAGAAGTTGCAGTGAGCCGAGATTGTGCCATTGCACTCCAGCCTGGGTGACGGTGCGAGACTCCGTCTCGGGGAAAAAAAAAAAAAAAAAAAGAATTCAGCTGTGAATCCATCTGGTCCTGGACTTTTTTTGATTGGTAATTTTTTTATTACTGTTTCAATATCACTACTTGTTACTGGTCTATTCAGAGTTTCTATTTCTCCCGGATTTAATCTAGGAGGGTTGTATATTCCCAGGAATTTATCCATCTCCTTTAGGTTTTCTAGTTTGTGTGCATAAAGGTGTTCATAGTAGCCTTGAATGATCTTTTGTATTTCTGTGGTATCAGCTGTAGTATTTCACATTTCATTTCTAATTGAGCTTATTTGGATCTTCTGTCTTCTTTTCTTGATTACTGTTGCTACTGGCCTATCAATTTTATTTATCTTTTCAAAGAACCAGCTTTTTGTTTCATTTATCTTTTGTATTTTTTTTTGTTTCAATTTCATTTAGTTCTGTTCTGATCTTTGTTATTTCTTTTCTTCTGCCGGGTTTGGGTTCTTGTTTCTCTAGTTCCTTGAGGTGTGACCTTAGGTTGTCATTTTGTGCTCTTGCAGACTTTTTGATGTAAGGATTTAATGCTGTGAAATTTCCTCTTCGCACTTTTTTTTGCTGTGTCCCAGAGGTTTTGGTAAGTTGTGTAACTATTATCATTCAGTTCAAAGAATTTTTAAATTTCCATCTTGATTTCATTATTGATCCAAAGATCATTGAGGAGAGATTATTTAATTTCCATGCATTTGTATAGTTTTAAGGATTTCTTTTTTTTTTTTTTTTTTGAGACGGAGTCTCGCTCTGTCGCCCAGGCCGGACTGCGGACTGCAGTGGCGCAATCTCGGCTCACTGCAAGCTCCGCTTCCCGGGTTCACGCCATTCTCCTGCCTCAGCCTCCCGAGTAGCTGGGACTACAGGCGCCCGCCACCGCGCCCGGCTAATTTTTTGTATTTTTAGTAGAGACAGGGTTTCACCTTGTTAGCCAGGATGGTCTCGATCTCCTGACCTCATGATCCACCCACCTCGGCCTCCCAAAGTGCTGGGATTACAGGCGTGAGCCACCGCGCCCGGCCGTTTTAAGGATTTCTTTTGGAATTAATTTCCAATTTTATTTCACTGTGATCTGAGAAGCTATTTTATATAATTTCAATTTTCTTAAATTTATTGAGACTTGTTTTGTGGCCCATGATATGATCTGTTTTGGAGAATGTTCCATATGCTGATGAAAAGAATGTATATTCTGCAGTTCTTGGGTAGAATGTTCTGTAAATATCTGTTAAGTCCATTTGTTCTAGGGTATAATTTAAGTTCATTGTTTCTTTGTTGACTTTCTGTCTTGATGACCTGTCTAGTGTTGTCAGTACAGTATTGAAATTCCCCACTATTATTTTGTTGCCATCTATTTCATTTCTTATGTCTAGTAATACTTGTATTATAAATTTGGGAGCTCCCATGTTAGGTGCATATATATTTAGGATTGTGATATTTTCCTGTTGGACTAATCCTTTTATCATTACATAATGTTCCTCTTTGTCTTTTTAAACTGTTGTTGCTTTGAAGTCTGTTTTGTCTGATATAAGAATACAGTATCTATCCTTCATTATTACAAATTTAAGGTGAGTAAGTCATATTCAGCTAGATTCCAGCTCTGCCACTTTTGAAGTCTATGCCTTGGGCTAGTTGTTTAACCTCTCTGGACTTCAGTTTCCCCTCTTAAAATGAGAATGTTGGTAGGTACTTAAAAAGCATCTGTTAGGCTGGGCTCAGTGGCTCATGCCTGTAATCCCAGCACTTTGGGAGGCAGAGACGGAAGAATCACCTGAGGTCAGGAGTTTGAGACCAGCCTGGCCAACATGGCGAAACCCTGTCGCTACTAAAAACACAAAAATTAGCCGGGTGTGGTGGTGGGTGCCTGTAATCCCAGTTACTCGGAAGGCTGAGGCAGGAGAATCACTTGAACCCGGGAGGCGGAGGTTGCAGTGAGCCAAGATCTTGCCACTGCACTCCAGCCTGGGCAACAGAGTGAGACTCTGTCTCAAAAAAAAAAAAAAAAAAAAAAAAAAGCGTCTGTGTAATTTAGCTATTTAATATGTAAAAAGCATTTAGAAGACCAGGCATAGTGGCTCATGTCTGTAACCCCAGCACTTTGGGATGTCAAGGCAGAGGGATCTCTTGAGCCCGGGAGTTCGAGACCAGCCTGGGCAACAGAGCAAGACACCATTTCTACAAAAAAATTGTTTTAATTGTCCAGGCCTGGTGGTGCATACCTGTAGCCCCAGCTACTCGGGAAGCTAAGGTGGGAGGATCACCTGAGCCAGAGAAATTGAGGCTGCAGTGAACTGAGATTGTGCCACTGCACCCCAGCCTGAGCAACCGGAGTGAGACCCTGTCTCAAAACAAACAAACAAACAAAAAACAAACAACAACAAAAAAAATTGAGAATAGTTAGTGACTAGCACATAAAAAGTGATTATTAGAGTTAACAATGATAATAATGATGATATAAATTGGTAGTCAGTAGAAACTTTACCCACTATTTTAAAAAATACGTTTTTTAAACCTAATTTTCACTTTAGAACATAACATTACTGTTAGATATATACAACTTAAAATTAACTGAAATAATGATATGATATAACCGTATATGACTGTCTAAATTTTTTTTTTAAATAGTGTCTCACTTTGTCATCCAGGCTGGAGTACAGTGGCATGATCTCTGCTCACTGCAATCTCCATCTCTGGGCTCGAGCAATCCTCCCACCTCAGCTCCAGAGCAGCTGGGATTATAAGCGTGCGCCACCATGCCCGGCTAATTTTTTGTGTTTTTAATAGAGGAGGTTTCACCATGTTGGCTAGGCTGGTCTTGAACTCCTGGCCTCAAGTGATCTGCCCGCCTTGGCGTCTCAAAGTGCTGGGATTACAGACATGAGCCACTGCGCCTGGCCCTTAAATATTTTCCAGGCCGGACTAAGAGTGTTTAAACAAACACTTTTTCCTCCCCCATAAAATAAGACTTTGACAATTAATGACTACAGTATTTTTTTACAAACATATTAGCAACTGTCACAAAGATCTTAGAATTATGCTTAGAGCAAATCACAAAATTATTTCATTCATTTTAATTATCTTATTTACTTGAACTCCAAATGGCCTTTCGGATAGTACAATAATGTTCTTAATGGATGAGATTATTTTAAAATGTAACAATGTCACAACATATGCATCCATTAATGAAATATACATTTCAAAGTTATGTCAAATGGGATCTATACTAACAAAAACAGAAAAGAAAAAGAACACAGATGTATTCTCCTTTATGGATGTATGATGGAATTATAGCCTTTTCAGGAACTCTAGCGGAATAAACATTCTATAGAGACTGTATTTTGCCATCTATAGGAATATAATATTAAAGAAATTTTTTTGTTCACAGGTACCAAATTTAAATACAATCATGCCCTGCATAACAATCTTTCAGTTAACAATGGACCACATATACAACAGCAGTCCTAAGAGATTATAATGGAGCTGAAACATTCCTATTGCCTAGTGACGTAGTAGCAGTCATAATATCATAAAGTAACACGTTACTCGCGTGTTTGTGGTGATGCTTGTGTAAACAAACCCATTGTGCTGCCTGGCCTATAAAAATACAGCACATGCAATGAGGTATAGTACATAATACTTGTTAATGATAATAAATGACTTACTGGTTTATGTATTTACTATACTCTACTATCATTTTTATTTTTTATTTATTTTTATTTTTTATTGAAAATAAAAATGTGGCGCCCGCCACCACACCCAGCTACTTTTTTGTATTTTTAGTTGAGATGGGGTTTCACCGTGTTAGCGAGGATGGTCTCGATCTCCTGACCTCGTGATCTGCCCACCTCAGCCTCCCAAAGTGCTGGGATTACAGGCGTGAACCACCGTGCCAGGCCTATTCTTCATTTTTAATTTTTTTTATCAGGCTCCTAATGAGCCCATCAGATCAAAAAGGGCTGCCAATATTCCCAAGGGATTCTTGAGCACACAGAATGTTTTCCATAGTACTCCTACTGGAGAAGCTACCTAATGTCTCAAGAAGTTGGGTCTGAGAAAAGAAGGATTTTCCTAGAATGCCTTCACCCTAAATGGGTGCTTCTCAAACTGTAGTGTGCTCACCAGTCATCTGGGTATCTCGTTTAAATGCAGATGCAGATTCAGCTGGTTCAGGGAGGGAACTGAGATCCTACATCTCTATCAAGCTCTCAGGTGATGCCGATGCCACTGAACCATAGATCACACTTTCAGAAGTACAATCCTAAAATGTAGTCTGTTTTATAAGCTAAAAGAGAGTGACATTTTGCTTCCCCCAATTAAATTGTTTATTATAGTATGTATAATGTAGATATTTTAGGTGACTTGTAAACAATTATAATTTCTCTAAACTGACATGCAATTTAAAATCATTAAACAGGCCGGGCGCGATGGTTCACAACTGTAGTAATCCCAGCACTTTGGGAGGCTGAGGCGGGTGGATCACTTGAGGTCAGGAGTTCGAGATCAGCCTGGCCAACATGGTGAAACCCCGTCTCTACTAAAACTATTTTAAAAATTTAGCAGGGCATGGTGGCACGTGCCTATAATGCCAGCTACTCGGGAGGCTGAGGTGGAAGAATCGCTGGAACCCGGGAGGCAAAGGTTGCAGTGAGCCGAGATCGCACCACTGCACTCCAGCCTGGGAGACAGAGCAAGACTCCATCTCAAAAAAAATATAGAAAAAATACAATAAAATAAAATCATTAAACAAAGGAGCAAAAATAAAGCTTCAGTATATTATTTTTGTTGTTGCTGTTGTTTGTTTGTTTTTGAGACAGAATCTCGCTCTATCGCCAGGCTGGAGTGTAGTGGCATCATCTTGGCCTACTGGAACCTCCGCCTCCCAAAAGCAATTCTCATGCCTCAGCCTCGGAGTAGCTGGAATTACAAGTTTGTGCCTACACACCAGGCTAATTTTTTTATTTTTTGTAGAGGCAGGGTTTCACCACTTTGGCCAGGCTGGTCTCAAACTCCTAGCCTTAAGTGATCTGCCAGTCTTCGCCTCCCAAAGTGCTAGGATTACACGCATGAGCCACCGCGCCTGGCCTCCAGTATATTCTTTGAGTTAAAGAGCTAAGGCAGGAGAAGGATACGAAAAAGGTGAAGGCCAATCATTCTCACATTGGAAGCATGGTCTTCAGGTTTGGGGGCCTGCCCAGCCAGGGTAGATAGATTTTATATAGGGTATGGCAGGGCAAGTGAATCCTAAGCACTTAAGGCTAAAAGGGTTCACGAAAGTCTACAGTTGCTTAATCAAATTGCTTTTATGCCGTTGGATCATCATTACATTACTCCACAGGGAATTTAAACATAACATGAACATGTATTTAAATGAACTTGGAAGAAAGCTTGTTGTCCCCTCTCCTGTTTTAATTAGATATGTCTTATATAAGAAATATATAAATGCAGACTCTGTGGTTTCCCTGGCAAGGCTACGGCACTAAGTAAATCCACTTTAAAACTATTTTGTTTGCTTTTTTTTTTCCCCCTTAATTAAGTTTTTTAAGTTTCCTTAGCTCTCTGTGTGGCTGCTTCAGCTCTGGCAGCTGGGTTTGTGGTGAAGGGTTGGGAGAACGCATACCAGCCTCCCCTCACCCCTCCTAATCACACCCCTTGTACAGCTAGATAGGAAAGTAGAAGAAACTGGAAGGGAAAACATCCCAACCAAACAATAGATGCCCTTCATATAAATCCCCTGTCATGCTTAAGAAAAGCCCATTATTTTATCTAGCACATTGATGGTGGGAGGAGGGGCTTTACTCGAAAGCTTTCATTTATCCAAGTATGTGGATGGCTTTCCAAGGCTTATGGAAAACAAGGATAGTGTCCAATTACACAATGCCAATGTATTAAAATATGCTGCTGGCCCAAATGCTATCTTCAACATAGATCTCTGTACTGCAGGCTCCTAGATCAGGGGCTGCAATCATGTGCTAGCAAAATAACCAACATGGGACAACATAGAGGCCTCTGGTTTCTCTCTTCTTTTCTTAAAGCCTTAGTGAAGAAAGCCAGGGTTGACAAATGGCACACGCTGCTGAATGCTATTTAAATTAGAAAGCTGAATGGTTTCAAAACTATATGCGTTTTTCATCTGCCTTTTTAAATTGTGTTTTGTTTTAGTTTAATATTAATTAAACCATAACTGCTGCTAAAATTGAGAACAAAAAGTAGCATATGCATAATATGACCTGTGTATGTTGATACAGCTGGCTCCAAATGTGTAATTAAGCTAATGATGACTCATATAAGATATAGGTATATATTTGTATATCCCTTTATGTTCTAAGACTACATCAAGGAAAAAAAATTAGTAAATCCATGTAGTATGTTTTAATTTATGCTTCTCTTCTTCAGGTTAGGTACTTGGTTTAAATGCATTAAAATTTATATATGAACAAAGATATGCATAGAAAAAACACTGGAAGAAATACACCTAAATGTTAATAGCGATTATTTCTAAAAAGTAAAATTAGAGTTGATTTTTAATTTAAAAAAAAGTTGCCTTTCTTCTCCCCACCCCTTCCAAAATTTCTAAGTGCTTTGAAACAAAAACAAATGAAAAAGACTGTATTACAAGCAGAAGTATGTTAATGATTTTTCTTGATATTTGTTCTACAACTATTTTACATAGATTACTTAATTCAGTCATTCAACACAATTTATTAAGAATCTCCTATGTACCAGGCACTGTGCTCAGGCATTGGGAATGCATTAATATACATACATTACATATTTTCATCAAACAAATATCTTACCAAATATTCTCCACTGGCTTACAGAAGGGTACTAGAAATGCAGGCTCCAAGGTACACTGATCTTCTTCAAAATTACCCCTTATTCTCTACCTTTCCTTAATGGAACTGAGAGTAGAATTAGTCTGACTAAGCAAGCTTTTTTATCACTTTATTTTTATCTTTAGTGAAAAAAAAGTCACCTAATGGTAACTGCCTTCAGCCATGAAAACACAAATGTGCAAGTCTTGTGTCCATCTTTTCAGAGCTTTGTGCCAAGAACTGGTAATGATAGAACAGCCCCCACACTCCCCTGAGGCAGGGACAGGCCTGGGGAGGTGGCAGTGAACAACTTCCCTCACCCTTCTGAAGACACTTGTACTGTACTTAGGAAGCCCTAGAGAAAGCTGTGTGGGACCAGGTTCACCAAACAGAATAAACAAGAAGTGATCAAACACTCAAAGACCAAAGTCTGTAAAAGATGCTTAGCTAGTTAAATATAGATCTTCATAATGGAACTTTTGTATATGCCCCAGGTTCCAGAAGAAACCTCTGTGATTATCAAGTTCCATCCATCTAACATTTAAATTCTAATGTAGCTAAGTGGTGCTTCTTCAATGTCTAGGTGTAGCGTGTTATTTAAAAACATCTCCAGCCAAGCCCACCCTGTTGCTTTCCACAATAGGCAGCACATTTCAAAGTTTCCTTGACTGCATAGTCAAGGTTTTTGATAAACTGATCCTGGCCTTTGTTCCTCCCACTTCATTCCTGCATAGCCTTTCACTTCAGTTAACTGGGATAACTAGCCAGTCCTGGAAAGTTCCTCCCACTTTCCCATTTTTGTCTCTTAATCCCAAAAGCCATCCTTTCTTTTCTCCATTTTATCTATTCTCCAATAATACATGACATTCACTTACTTCTTCAGGAAACTTCCTGAGAGGACTTCAACCCCCAGCATGTCTCCATCCTTGGACTCCACTGTGCTTCTCTCTGTAGACCTCATTGGGCCATGAATAGGTGTATGGAGGCAGATGGTTCAGATTGAGTGGGGTGCAGTACCCTGTCTACACACTCTTAGAGTGTCTTCTCTCTCTAGCTTCTTACCATTCAGTACTGGCACCTTGATTTTGCTGTCTTTGCCATAAGACGGCCAATCTAATACAGAGCTTAGTTATGTCTTCAATGAGCCAAAAGCCCCTCTTGTATTGCAGAGTACATAATGGGTAATAAAATATTAAATCATTTTTTAATGATCTAATTGCTCAATTTTTCAAGATTAAGTCTATCCAAATAGACTTTGTGCTTTCTGGAGGGAAGGACCATCTCATTCTTCTTTCATCAATTAGAGCTCCCAGTGCAATGCTTTTCACATGTTAGGTGCTTAATAAATATGTGTTTGTTGATGTATTTCATATTCAACACTATCAATAACAAAGTGTTCCCATAGAGATACCTCAAAGCAAAAAATGTGTCTTATAAATCTGGAGCTGGTCAGCTCTCCAGCTCCACCCTCTTTGTACTCTTAGCCAGACTCCTTTTATAGTTTGGGTGTATATTAATTAATACACATGTTAGAATAGCTGAAATCTAGAATACTGATAACAAACACTGGCGAGATGTGGAGCAACAGAAACTCCCCTAATTCTCGTTTATTGCTGTTGAGAATTCAAAATGGTATGACCACTTTGAAAGACAGTTTGAAACAGTCTTATGAAGTTAAACATACTCTTACCACATGATTCAGCAGCTGCACTTCCTCCCAAATGTGTTAAAAATTATGTACACACAAAAACCCTCACTGGTATGTTTATATCAGCTTTATTCATTACTGCCAAAACTTGGAAGCAACCAAGATATCCTTCAGTAGGTGAATTAATAAATAAACTGATATATTCGGACAATGAAATATTATTTAGCACCAGAAAGAAATGAGCTATCAAGCCATGAAAAGACATGGAGGAAACTTAAATGTGTATTACTAAGTGAAAGAAGCCAATTTGAAAAGGCTATATACTGTATAGTCCCAACTATATGACACTCCGGAAAAGCTAACACTTTGGAGACAGTAAAAAGATTAGTGATTGTCAGGGGTTAGGGGAAGGGAGAGATGAATAGGTAGAGCACAGAGGATTTTTATGGCAGTGAAAATACTCTGTATGATGCTATAATGGTGGATACATGTCATTATGCATTTGTCAAAACCTATTAAATGTATAATGCTGAATCCTAATATAAACTATGGATTTTGGGTAATAATGATATATCATTGTAGGTTCATTGATTGTGACAAATGTGCCACTCTGGTGCCAGATTTTGATAGTAGGGAATGCTAAACAAGTTGGGGGGCAGGGGAATGGCAAGGAGTATAGTGGAAATCTCTGTACATTCTGCTGTTTTGTTGTGAACCTAAAACTGCTCTAAAAACAGTCTATTTAAAAGGCAGGTGTGGGGGTGGGGGAATTCCTAAGTGGGTTCTACAAAGGAGCATTCCAATTAGAGAAGCCAAAGCTGTATCTCTCTAAGTCCCAGCCTCAGATACAGCTTCCCCCTGCTTGCTGAAACACTTCTGTGGGAGCCCTAGGATGCCAATGTAGAAAGCCCTCTTACCCTGAGGCTACCTTGCTGTGAGGAAGCCCAAACCAAGCCCCACAGAGAGTCCACATGGAAAGGCCCTGAGCTATGTAAAGAGATATGCCTAGCCAGCTCCCAGCTGTCCTTGCTTCCCTCCTGCTCCACCTCAAACCACTGTGACTGTAATCACATGAGAAATGCCAGAGCTAAAACTGCCAAGCTGAGCCGTTCCTGAATTGCAGTCCCATAAAAATAATGAAAGATGATAAAATACCTGTTATTGTTTTAAGTCCATAAGTTTTGGGGTAGTTTGTTACACAGCCTAGATAACCAAAACAGTCACCAGAAGTACAGAGGCCACTACCCAATTTTGCCTGGGCCCATGAGGGAAAAAGGGTATTTCTGCTCAGAGGCTTTGCTGCCTCAGAATTTTAGCCTACAGACCATAGGTTTGGAGTCAAGAGTCTCAGTCTTTATTCTTTGCTCCAACTTGATTATGAAGAATGACTTCATGCAAGTCACTTGACTTTTTCAGATTCTACATCTACAAAGTAAAGAGAATCTGTCTTTGTTTTCTACATGGCTCTTAAGAAGGCTGTGAGGGTCAACAGGATGTCATAGGAACAATCCTCCCAAGGCAGGTGTTCCATAAATGTAACCTGTGACTTGATTTCCTCATGCTTTCCCATCTTCATGAAGGTCTTGTAAGACGCTGAAGTAGTGTGAAGTGGATGCTATAATAGTTCATTAACTGGATTTACCTCCAGCACAACTCCAGCAGACTCAATAGAGACTCCAGTGAGTCTGTTACCTCCTGACTTGTTAAATTACAGGGGAAAGCACTAGACTCTCCATAATTGTACAGAGGAATGCTGCTTCCCATGCTAAATCTCTCTTCTGTAACTCCATGGGGTCAGTCCCCATTACTTTTCAATAGAAGAAACAGGATAAAAAATTCTCTTCAAAGGGCCTCTTTTTATGACTTTGCTCTCTGTGAGATCTCAGGGAACATATGTGGTTAGGATCGTTTCTTCCAGCACCACAGACTTTTTCAAAATCCCTCCTTTGGCAGCCAGCAAGTCTCTTATAATCCCTCTGGAAATAGCTTTTCCCTGAGAATAATCACCCTGGCAATGAGGCAGGGAAGAACACATAACTACGTCCCAGGAAAGCCTTGTCGGAGGCCCTCATTTAATGCCAATTCTATACAATGCGACTCCTGAAGGAAAATATCGCCTTGATAGAGAAATCGGGCCCTGTGGCTGCTCAGCCTGGGTGGTCTGACAACCAGGTAGAAAGCAACTGCAGGGACAGTTCTTAACCTAGGTCACTTCTAATGTTCAATGGTAAGAGGGAGATATTAAAAATTAATTATTTAACTGTCTATTCAGATTTCATCATGTCTCCAATCAGACAGAAGCAGGATCTGGAATAGCTTCTACCCTAAAACCTAAAATTGAAAAAAATTAAAAATATATAGGTATGCACTTTTACTTATATACAATATGAATTGTTCAATTGTTGTAAATTTTCTTGAAAACCTTGAGCAGGCTATTTATTAACAGTAAGGACAAGAATGTTCAATATTTTTGAAAAACAAGAAAGATGGGCACAGATCATTGATACTGCACTAACTAGGAATCTGGAAATGTAATTAAGTAGTTATGTTGAATTTAGTGAACTTGGTTTTAGTTGCAGCAGGATAACTGATAACATCGCATAGAAAGAGGTAAATTTAGAAGAACATGTTATATTTCATAGAGTATATTTTAGGTGATGTTTTCTTCACTTTCCACCCTTTCCACAACCCCATTTCTGCTAGAGTAGGAACACAAAGACATTTTGTTTCTGGCTTGTGTAGGCTCCCTTCAATTTTTAAAAATTGAATGTGAAGCAAACTCAATTCTAAAGGCTACCTTGACTCTTAACATTGAAAGTATCAAAAATAATTTTTGGATAAATGAAAAGATACTTTTTTTGAAAAAAATAATGTATTCAAGTTCTAGAAATTTTTAGATTGACTTTTTTCTACTATTATAATTTTTAAGTCTTTCAGGTCTTTTCATGGAAGCTTTCAGGGCTCTATCCCAAGGCATTAACTTCTGTTAACAGATCTGTCCTGGCTTCTTATTGGCATTTATTCCTGTGCCACCCACGTAGAACTCCAAATGTGGATCCAAGGATTGCTGAGCTGTGAACACTCTATTTGTGTAATTCTGCCAGTGACCACCCTTAAACCTCAAAAGAATCAAAGGAAAGCAAAGATATGCTGAAATTTTAAAAAGTTTTTTTAAAAAAACCTTGAGGACACTTTCAAGAATGTGAGTTCTTCTATACTGCATTCTGTCAAATCTGAGTCCGAAGGGTCAAGACCACCTATGTACAGTTTTCAGCAGCTATTGGCTCTGGGCATGACCTGTGGTGAAGTTGTATGTGCATATGTACCAGCCTGCCCAATGCTGCCACATATGTTGCCAGCCTGCCCAGCGAAAAAATCAAGACTAACCACAGCCTGAAAGAGGAAACTGTCATCTGCTGCAAAAAGTAGGTGAATTGTGAGCCTTGGATCAAAACACTTTCTTTTACCTTCCTCAATACTTAAATAGGATTTGTGTGTGTGAGAGTGCTGTATGCACGTGCAAACTTTGTACCTTAAACCATAACATAAAGACATGAGACAGTAGGGCTTCCTCATCCAGCAACTGTGGATTAGACAAAAGTTAAACAAAAAGAAGATATAGTAGTCATCTGAACCTTAACTACTAACTTTCTTGCCAACATCACCGGCAATAAAAACTTTGTTTTGTCTTTATTCCAATTTGTAATTTCAATTTTATTCAGTGTTCTGAATTAAAGTGAGGAGAACAGTTAATTATAAGCTAATTTTGCCATAATCTGGAATAAATTAGACGATTGTTTAGTTCAAATAAATATATTGTAATCATAAATTGGGATTTCAGACTTTGAAGGGAGCTTTGAAGTTACTTCCCATCCAAACCTCTCATTTTAGAGATGAAAAAAATGGGGAATCCAATATGATTAAATGACCTGCCCAAGGTCATATAGCTAATTAAAAGCTAAGCAAGAACTAGATATCATGTCCCCTGCTTTCCCATTAGGGGGTTTGTTTTCTTCTATTACATCTCAGCTTTTGGTTAGTCATAATAAGAGGTGGCAGTGGCCTGGATTAAAGAAAATAGCAAATAGACCTCCTGCCCCTTTCTTTGTTCTTTGGCTCTTTGAAAATGGGACTGTTTTGTTGTTAGTTTAATTATTTTTATATACTCTGCATCATCTAACATAGTGTACATTTTTTCAGCAAAAATGTGTTAATTGCACTGAATAATTAGAGAAATTAACTGATGTTATCTTTTGAGAAACAGCAGATTAATGTTAATATTAGCATTAAGGATGGTAAAGGAAAGCTGTTAGCCAGGTGGAGAATGATAGAGGAGGAAGCTGGTTTGGAATTCACATTTTCCATTTCCAGACCACAAATAATAATCCACGTGGAGGCAATAGAGACTTAACAGGAAAATACAAACAGC
Source organism: Homo sapiens (assembly GCF_000001405.40). NCBI lineage: Eukaryota > Metazoa > Chordata > Mammalia > Primates > Hominidae > Homo > Homo sapiens. The sequence continues at coordinate 97,087,513 of NC_000007.14, read as the reverse complement.
AGTATTATTCACATCATGTGGATAAGCCATTTCTTTTTCTCATTATCCTTCTCATGTTGCTAATGAATCATGTCTAACTCTCTTTCTCAAAATTTGTTCCTTCTTTCTCAGATATAACTTAAATCATCTCCTTATTGTATATGGTACAACTAGCCCTGAGCATATGAGATTTCAAAATAGATTGCTAATTACACTTTTTGCAGAAACAGTATTGTGTCTTATAAAGAGCATTTGAACTGAAAATTAGGAGACATGGTTTCTAGATCTGGACCTGTCAATAAGAAATTGTGTGATTTTGGACTAGTTGTGCAAAGCCAGTGGTGATCTCCCATCTCCCTTCCAACTTAAAGATTATGTGGCTCAATACCTTTCATAATGAAGTCACAAATAGTTATTAAACGCTACCTGGGCATTTATTTTTCTAAAAAAGGTAGCTATCTCATTTAGAGAGAGCAAACTTAACATACCATGTTATCACTATCATGAATAAAAGACTCAAGTGACTTGTTAGGCACCAAGGGGGTTGAAGGGATAAAAAGAGATACATAGGCCAGGCACAGTAGCTAACACGTGTAATCTCAGCACTTTGGGAGGCCGAGGCAGGAGAATCACTTGAGCCCAGGAGTTTGAGACCAGCCTGGGCAACATGGTGAGACCCTATATCTACAAAAAATACAAAAGAAATTTAGCCAGGTGTGGTGGCACACGCCTGTAGTCCCAGCTACTTGGGAGGCTGAGATGGGAGAATCTCTCACATCTGGGAGGCAGAGGTTGCAGTGAGCTGTGATTGTATCACTGCACTTCAGCCTAAGTGACAGAACCAGAACTTGTCTCAAAAAAAAAAAAAAAGAAAAAAGAAAAAAGAAATATAAAACAGGTCCTCTGCCCTCAAAAACTTTAACAAACCAGCTGGGGAAAGAGAACCCATCTATAAGGGGACAAGTAACGTTCATATTGTCACTGTCCATGTTAAGGGTCTAATTGATGTCCAGTTGGTTTTATTTGGGTAATGTTTTTTAAACAAGTACTAAGCTAGGCTACATAATCTTTGAACTCTGTAGGCATACAGAGGGAGAAAAATGTGACCTAGACTAGAAACACATATCCTAAAACTGGAAGACTGCAGCAAGAGCAGCCAAAGTACTCTTTCACATAGATAGACGGTGGAACCAGGGCAGTCACACAGGGCCCCACAGTTGTGTTTTAACGCTCTGTGGTTGCTGCCTTGAAATTCTTAATAACATTATCTTTGAATATGGATTTTGTGAGTGAAGTCCAATGGGACAATGGAGCATGCGTCAGGACCTTGGAGCTTCAGCTTCACATGGTCCTGCCTCCCTCTACCTGCCCTGGAGAGGCTCTCAGGAGTCTGCTCCCCTACTCCCTGTCATTCTCCACCCCAGTTCATTTCCCCCTCTCCTCCCTACAATGACTGCCATCCTCTGCTCCTGGCGGGAGCATGGGGGTAACATAAAGAGGATAGAGTTAGGTATCTGCATTCTGACATCTCAGGATAGGGCATGGTGGCAGCCCCTGAGCCCTGGTTTGACAGCACCACTGCCCATACCTCTGTTGAGCAGCCCATCAGAGGCTGCATCTAGGTGGGCTGGGTGGGAGGCGGGGGCAGCCTCTCCCCTATCCCACCTAGATCCTGAGCACATTTCAGCCCTGAGGTTTAAAGATGCTTGGGGATCACCCATCTCATGTGGATTGAGGCAGCACTCTCAATTTCCATAGACCCTAGCCCCACTGAGTGGTATGGGTTCATGGCTGGCAGGAGCAGAACCTGGTAACTGACTCAGTACCAAGCACGCATGTCCTTGTGCAGCTGTGAGGATTCACACTCACCCCACAAGTACCCTCTACTCCATGCCTGAGAGGAATCTTCTCTTCCTCTTTCCACCTTTCCCGAGTATGGTTCATATTTGTCTCTTCTGGCCCACTAGAGGCAGGAAATTGTGTGTTCACTTTTATACGGTGCTCTGACATTTGCATTTAAAACTGGCACTACACAATATAAAAATAAATGGAAAATTTGTAATAAACATTTAATATCTAAATTTTTCTTTACTTAGAATGACATTAAATAGCAAATAAAAACACCAAGAAAAGTTTGAGAGGGACACCATGGAAGAAGGAAAAAAGCTTCATACCTACTGATATAGTTTGGCTCTGTGTCCCCACCCAAATCTCGTCTTGAATTGTAATTCCCATGTCTTGAGGGAGGGACTAGTGGGATTGATTGGATCATGGGGGCGGTTTCCTCCATGGTGTTCTCATGATGCTAAGTGAATACTCATGAAATTAGATGCTTTAAAAGTGTTTGTCAGGTCCCCCCTCACTCTCTTTCTCTCCTACTTCACCATGGTAAGATGTGCCTGGCTTCTCCTTCGCCTTCCACCATGATTGTAAGTTTCCTTAGGCCTCCCCAGCCATGTGTGACTGTGAGTCAATTAAACCTTTTTCCTTTATAAACTACTTGGTCTCGGGTATGTCTTTATAGCAGTGTGAAAATGGACTAATACGGTGCTTTCCTCCCTGATTTTTGACAAGGGCTCCCCATTTTTATTTTGCACTAGGCTTTACAAATTATGTAGTCAGCTCCACAAAGAGTAAGAGGAATTCTGCCTTTAAAACGTTTATTTACTTGCAATTATGTTTATATAATTGCAAAAAGTTTAAGGATTTCCAATAATTCCTAATCTCCTACTCTTTTTTTTAATTTGTCACCTCACCGTTTCTCTGAAGACTCCTCAGTTTTCCAGAAAACCTGAGTTTTAGTATCAGATTCTTGGAAACAATTGTTCCACTATCACTTGCACCATTTTTGTCAGTCATTTTGAATAAAAACTATTCACTAAATACAAGCTAAATGGGAGAAAGAGAGCCCCTAAAAGAATAAACAGTATTGCCGGGCACAGTGGCTCACCTCTGTAATCCCAACATTTTGGGGAGCTGAGATGGGTGGATTGCTTGAGGTCAGGAGTTCAAGACCAGCCTGGCCAATATGGTGAAACCCTGTCTCTACCAGAAATATAAAAAACTAGCCAGGTGTGGTGGCATGCACCTGTAATCCCAGCTCCTCAGGAGGCTGAGTCAGGAGAATACCTTGAACCCAAAAGGCAGAGGTTGCACTGAGCTGAGATTGTGCCACTGCACTCCAGCCTGGGCAACAGAGTGAGACTCTGTCTCAAAAAATAAAACATAAAATAAAAAGAATAAACAGTATCTACTACACAGTACTCTCAATTTGGGATAGCAGAGCCCTAGTCCTCCTTGGCCTAATAATACAGCCCACTAGGTGTCATTGGCTGAGAGAGTACATTAATATTTAGAGCATGGGAAAAATATATTAAACATGCACAATCATGATTTCACTTAATATATTTGTAAAGAAAAATACTATGCAAATTATGGAACAAATCACTTGTACGCTATATATCATTAAGGAGCCATGTGCTTACAATTTTGTATCCTGCATTCTTCACTTAATACTTAAATGTTTCTCCCAATGTATCTACTATAATTAGCTTATTATTTTCTTACTTCTGGATATTAGTTGTTTCTGGTTTTGTGCTTCAAACTCCCACATTTAGAATTACTTCCTTAGGATATATTCCCCTTAGGACAAATAATATGATATTGATTTAAAAAAATTGATATTTTCAAATTGCTCTTAAAAAATGTTACAGAAATTTCTAGTCCACAAACTTGAGCATTTCACAGTGTCTTGGTCCATTTTCTGGTGCTATGACAGAATATCAAGGACTGGGTAATTTATAAAGAAAAGTTTACTAGGCTCATGGTTCTGGAGGCTGGGAAGTCCAAGAGTATGACACCTGGCATCTGGTGAGGGTCATCACAGGTGGAAGAGCAGAAGACAGAGGGCAAGAAAGTAAGTGTGAGAGACAATTGCTTTTCTAACAAAGCCACTCCCACAATAACTAAATCACTCTCACAATAAGAAAAGTAATCCATTCATAAGGGAGTAGCCTTCATGACCTCATTGACTCCCAAAGGCCCTCCTCTCAACACTACCACAATGGCAACTAATTTTCCAACACATGAACTTTTGGGGGACACATTCAAACCATAGCATACAGCATCCTTTCCAACACAAATTTGTCACTTAATTATCAATTAATTAATCATTTCCCAATTCAAAAAGTAAATCGTACCTTATTGTTTTAATTTGCATTTCTTTGATTACTAGTAAGACTAAACATTTACTAATCATTTTTTAATACCTCTTTAGTAGACTGTCTTTGTATATACGTATATACCTTTAAAAAATTAATAGGATATTGCAACATTAGTGCTGGGCTTACATCCTACCAGCATAGTAATGCTGGCAAAAATAAATTCTCTTTCCCAAACTGATGATCACTAGATTGGATACGAAAACACACACACACTCTTGACCAGTCATCATAGGTAAAGGATAGAGTAGTACCTTCATTTTCAAGGTTTTGGTCATATGCCCAACCCATTATGCTGGTGGATGGAGTCATCCCTAGTTGAGCTGGGAGCAACAAACATCACTGCCCAATACAAATTCCTGAAACAGACTCAGGAAAACTACACAGTCTTCTAACTTTAGACATCATAGCGTATGGGGTTCAGTGTATTTCCACACCTTCAATTGGGTATAAATTCTCCTGAGCTAAAGGGAATTGTGGAACAGCTTATCACAAAATGACCATTTGTAAAAGACAGAATGTACTTGAAGGTGATCAATTATCAAGTGCTTAACTTCCTACATATAAAAACTAATGCTCCCTTTTAGAACCAGGCATCTGTTAAAAGCAAGCATTGTTTGAGATCTATTGTATACAGTATTTTATGAAAACATTAAGTTGTATCTTTAATGCATGTCCAAACAAAACTTACCTTGACACATCAGCCATTATTATCTTTTCCTCTGAGTAAAATGTGTCTGGATTGAAGTAGAACAATAAAAACATTTGCACAAAAAATGGAAAAGTATCTCTTTTAAGAGATATACTTTCAGCTTATAGTGTTCAGAGAGATGTAAACCATGAGAAGTTGATTGAAATGAATTTTGAAAACTTGAAGCTTAACAGTGCAGAGAAGTATACAATAAAAGACTTCTCTGAAAGTGTAAACAAAAGGAGTGATTACATAAGATTACCTCTTGGTTATTTGGTCTTTTTAGTGTACTCTTTCTGCTTATATTTTGATCACAAAGAGACCAAGTATCATGAAGCATCAATTGTTACTTATGTTGGCCCTGAAATGTAAGTTAGTACTATGTTCTTCCCTTCTGTTTTTCACTGCCCCTTTCATTGTTGTGGGGAGTGGGGAGGTGTTAAGGTGTGGGGGGTATGGGGATGCACAAAGAAGCTAACTTGTCTGAAGTCACACAGACAATGACTAACAGAGCCAGGAACCAAAATCCTGTTTCCTCTAGTCTAATCCACTAAATCCCTCCAACAAGCGTCATAACCTCAGCAATTGGATTTTTCTGGGTGTGCATTCCAATGGCTAGAAGGCAAACTGTAAATGCCACCAGCAAGTGCTAAATATGAACCAGTGAGCACCCAGAGCTGAACCCAAATCCCAACTCTAAATACTCTGTAGTCAATCTGTGTTTCACATAATTTTTTTGAGCTCTCCTGGATATTATTTTAGCTCTGGAAAGAGAGTTGGTTAAAAACTTGGCATCAACTGTGCAAATAAAATGAAACGAATACATTTTTTTAAAGAGTTCAAATGTTTCTTCAAAACATTGGTTTAGAAGCTGTCGAAGCAGCCATATTTAATTAAACAAATGCTAAGGAACCTCATGTTTTTGGTGGAGCAAGCATGGTTTCTGCCATCTGTCTTTTGCAATTGTAGAGTCTCTGTATAGTTGAAGTGGTAAAAGAAATCATGATTGGTTTCTTCCCTAGCAAACATTTTTCATGAAAATTATCACTGTTCTTAACTACTAGCAGAATGAACAAAATATGACAAAATAGATATAAAAGGAATAGCATTTCCAAGTAGTCTTTTGAAAAGGTCCTGTTTCGGTGATATTCTGCCATTTCCTCATTCAAAACACATATGCAGTTGTCACCTATTCCAAAATGGACATCATTTTTAAAAGGAGGAGATTTTAAGCAGATGGATGAACACATGTTTCTTGATTTTGGAGATAGCAGAGTACATGCAAATGCCTTGAAAACCTATAGTTAAGAAAAATGTAGAAAAATGAGATGCCACATGTGCTGTACAATATAAAACAAGTTGAGAATCAGGAAGGGGATAGGATTTGATTTTTCACCTTAGATAGATCACAAATATGTGCAGTTTTTTTTTATTTGCAGAGTTGGAATAATAATGTTACTCTTACTCAGAAGGACATTTTATGGTTACCAGATAAGAGGATTTTAAAAGCAAATACTTAGTAGTAGTATTACAATCATGACAGATTCTTACCTCTAAAATTATTTGCAATGTAGAATCATATAAATCCCATGTCCAAAATATTTCTTGACTATTTATGTTCATTTTAGTTGTCACTAATTCATTTTCTTAATTTAAAGTGGCATGATTGCATAATCAGACTGCTGCAACCATCTCCCAACTCATATCTCTGCCTCCTTTTTTTGCGAGGGTTGACTTTAAAGACTTGAAGTCATGAAAAGTTTATAGCTCCCTCCCTAATCCTCTACATAATTTGAACAAAACTATGCTGTATATTTTTTAAAGTTTTTAACATGTGATTTTGGAAAACAGTTTGCCTTTTACTGGTTTTCAAGGTAGGCATGTGACTTTTTTCATTTATGTAGCATTATTGTTTGGTACAGAAGTGCCTCTTTGGGTGCTCTGCATTTCTATATTAATTAGAATCTAGAACTAAGTTCTATAGATTTAAAAAAAGCCATAAAGGTCACAGCTTCATATTCATGAATCTTAATTAAAATTTCAAGCTCAAGAATCACTCTGCATGGTACAACAGAAATGCCACTTATGTGGCACTTCATACTTTTGCAAGAGAAAATGCTTTGGTGAAGCACATATCTGTTGTTTTTGCCTACTAAGCATCCAGTAACTGTTCTTTCCAGAGCCATGCTTCACTCATTGGTTATATACTTGAGAGGATGTAAATCAAAGAAACGAGCATGTGATCCAGGCTAGTCCAATCAGAAGGTCTCTTCCTGGAATCTGAATCTGGAACAAGTAACAAAGACTTAAAAAATTCGTGTTTATTCATCCTGATGGTAACGGCTCCCACTACCTGTATTTCTGGAAATATTCTTCTTTAAAAATTAAAGTCAAATAAACTTTTATTTTCAGTGTGGTTGGTTACATTTAGAATGAATTCATCACTACATTAAAAGCTGACAAACAAATAAAAGCTCCCCATGCCAAGCTAGCTATGTCTTTGATCTTTGTAAAATAAGACTTTACATTTTTGACTACTGAAGGCCTGGTCGTCTGAGTATCTGTGTTAAAGAAAAAGATTATTCAATGACACTTATTAAAATGTGATAAAGCATACTTTATTCAGGACTATCAAGATAGGTATAGGGCCCACTGCACTGGGAGTTTGCAGTAGGGCAGAGAAATTGGGCTTAACACTAAATATAGCAAGGGCAAATAGGAATTTAGAACCAAGGACCAGAATGGAGCCAGTGGATAGAAAATTACTAGAAGGAAACATCAGAGGTAAGGGGGATTCTGGCTAAATCAAAATAACAAGACTCTTTTCTTTTTTCTTTTTTTTTTTTTTGTTGAGACAGGGTCTCGCTCTGTCACCCAGGCTGGAGTGCAGTGGTGCAATCTCATCTCACTGTAGCTTCTGCCTCCCAGGTTCAAGTGATTCTCCTGCCTCAGCCTCCGGAGTAGCAGGGATCACAGGTGCCAACAAGATTCTTGCTAAAGACAAGCCAAGGTGATCAGACCTTGCTGGGTGGATGACAGAGGAACCCAATCAGATTCTAAGCGTAATCAGATAGTGAGAGTGGGAGGATCTTGCTAAACTGATGTGGCAAAGTTCTTGCTAAAACTGAATCTTATAAGGAAGTACACAAAAGCACCTAGCAGATGGTTCAGGAGCTTGACCAAAGTTTGGTCAAGCAAAGAATCTCTGTCATCTCACAAGCTTTTAAATAAGACTCTATTCTAAAACCAGAACACTTATTGTGTAATGAAGAATCTGACTGCCTTTTGTCCCTGCTTCTTGGGCGACACGAAATCCTTGGGATTTCACAAGTCATAGGAGTATCTTTGTTACTTTTGAGCCTCTTGGATCACACCAAGAAACTCTTTTAGTTTATAGTAAAAGATGCGATGACTCAGGATGGAGGCTGGTCACCAGAATGACCAATCACATAATAATTAGAAGGTGGTGGCTTTGTGTCGGGAGGAAGACAAGCCTCGTGTCCATGGGAAAGAGCATAGAGCTTGTGGAAGCCTCCCTCCCAAATCTTGCCCCACGTGTCCCTTCATCTGGCTGGTCTTGATTTGTATCCTTTATCATAAAACTGCAGTCATAAGTACAGCACTTTCCTAAGTTCTGTTAGCCTTTTGAGCGAATTATCTGAGGCTCTCAAGGGAACTCTGAATCTTGAGCCAGTCTGTCAAAAGTGCAGGTGCCCCGAGAACTCCACTTGTGGTTGGCCTCTAAAGTGGGGGCAGGCTCACTGGGGACCATGCCCTTTAACCTGTGGGCACCAACTCCAGATGGTTAATGTCAGAATTATATTGCAGTGCAACAGGAAGTGAAAGGGTAGCACCCTTTCTCTACTTACATTTAAAACCCAGTCAGATTTTCCACAGCAGTGCAAAGTGCAGGCATCTGATTCTTCCCTTTGGTGCTGAGTTGGTATGTGCGCAGCGGTCACACTCATTCCTCAGCACGTCACTTGTCCCTCCTCACGGCGTGGTCAGATTCCTCCCCATGAATACAAGTAAAGGGTCCTGAGAATCAAAGTGTCTTTGATGAGAAAACAGGGTGTGAGAAAGATTCATTTACTCATCCAACAAATATTTACTGGCCACCAACTCTGTGCCAGGCGTGGTTCTAGGCTCTGAGTATGAGCTGTGAAGAAAGTCAAAAATCCTGCCTCTGGGGCTTCCGTTATTTAAAAGATCATCTGCCAGGTCTTGCACCCAAAAGGGGCTCCACATCTGTTTGTGCAACGAGTAAATGAGCACTTCTTACCCCCTAAAGAAAAGTTATTTTCTGCAGCAGAGTTTGGTGGCAACACACACACTCTGTCTCTGTACTCTCACAATATAGAACAATTCTGTGACAACATGGATGGGGAATTTTCCCCATATGCAAAGCAGTTCTCCAGTAGATACCAAGTGTCCTCTAACTGAATTCAATTCTGACACTATCTACTGTCAGATCTCACAGGTTAAGGCCTCAGTCTCACAAGAATGCCCTCTACTTCAGACACCAATTGCCAGTCCCAGGTTGTCACCTGTGCTTCACACCTACTAGCCACAAATCAGGGTTCCCATGACCCTCCTCCTTTGATTCCAATAATCTGCCAGGAAGGCTCACAGAACTCAGGGAAACAGTCCACTCACCTGTAGGTTTATTACAAAAGATATTATAAAAGATAGACATGAAAAGCCAGATTAAGTGATACACATGGCAAGGTCCAGAAGGGTCCCAAGCACTGGAGCCTCTGTGCCTGTGGAGGTGGGGTAGGATGCCCCACCTCCACTCAGGCACGTAGATGTGTTCACCAACCTGGAAGCTCTCCTGGAACTATTCTAAGCTCTCCATCCTTTTGGATAATCTTTGGGTTCTGGCAACAATATCCGAGCAATTTCCTTTTTTGTTTAAGTTAGCCAAAGTTGATTTGTGTTTGCTGCTTGCAACCAAAGAACTCTACTTCATACAGCTTTTGTGCCTTTTTAATTTAAATACTATTTAGAATAGATTGGGTGCAGTGGCTCACACCTGTAATCCCAACACTTTGTGAGGCTGAGGTGGGTGGGTAACTTGAGGTCAGGAGTTCGAGACCAGACAGGTTTCAACCTTGTCTCTACTAAAAATACAAAAATTAGCTGGGCGTGGTGGCACGTGCCTGTAGTCCCAGCTACTCAGGAAGCTGAGGCAGGAGAATTGCTTGAACCCGGGAGGCAGAGGTTGCAGCGAGCCGAGATCACACCACTGCACTCCAGCCTGGGCAACAGAGTGAGACTTTGTCTAAACAAATAAATTAAATAAATAAATACATACACACATACATACTATTTATAATACTTAATAGTATTTAATTTCACAGCAAGGAAAGTTATGAAATAATATAATTAAAAAGAGAAAACCTTTTAGCTGAGTGAAATGGCCCATGCCTGTAGTCCTAGCTACTTGGGAGTCTAAGGTGGGAGGATCACTTGAGCCCAGGAATTTGAGGCTGCAGTGAGCTATGGTTGCACCACTGCACCACAGACTGGCAGCCTGGGTGAAAGAATGGAACCTGTCTCTAAAAATTAAAATTTTAATTTTAAAAAAGGAGAAACTCTGTAATGCATGTAATTCTGGTCACTTCTTTCTTTAGTGTCTTTTAAAATAGAAGATAGTGCTAAGAATATTCTATTTTTTTTTCCAGGACCCTCCACACACCCCAGCACCATTTGAGCAGCCATTAAACTTGCTATTAGTCCAAAGGGAGGCTGCTCAAACACATTTCTGATTGATGTTAAGAACATCTACAACTTTAGATCATCATGGCAGACGGGAGGCAGAACTAGATTGCAGCTCTGGGCAGAGCAGAGTGTGGAGGCTCACATTGTGAATTTTAGCTCCAGATCGACTGCAAGGACAAACCAGCAATCCTGAGAGACCCTCTGAAGGTAGCAGACTGCTCCTTCAGGACCTGGGAGTCACGCCAAATACTGTGATTGCCCCAACTGTGGAAGTGGGAAAGGAAGACCCTCCTCTCCCAAACACACACCCCCACTGGAGAAACTGAAGGACTCTTTGTGTGAGAAGTTTCTGACTTTACCTGAAGCTGAGTCAATTTAGACAGCCAAGTGAAATACAGGGGTAGAGGAAGCAAGAGAAAAACTCTGGGAATTTGCTGGGTCCCCAAGCAGGCCATTCCTGCCTGGCACCACAGGGATCCATTGGGAGGGTGGCCAGAGAAACTGGGGGGTAAAACTCCACAGGTAGAAGAAAATCTCTAGCTGAACTTTGTAACAATTCAAATGGGTTGAGAAGCCTTCTGGCCAGAACTCGGGGAAGGTCACAAATCCAGTGAGCAGACTCCACAAGTGGAGGAAGAACCAAGCCCTTTTCTTTTGCAGCTGGGAGATGGGTAGCCTGGGGCAAGTTTTCAAGCCTGTCTCGCCCACTGCCTGGAGACAGACTAGGCGGTGTTGGGGAGCGGGGCAGGGAAGGGGCGGGGCCAGGAGTGAGACCGGCCCTTCAGTTTGCATGGGAGCTGGGTGAGGCCTGTGACTGCCGGCTTTATTCCACTTCCCTGACAACCTGCATGACTCAGCAGAGGCAGCCATAATCCTCCTAGGTACACAACTACAGTGACCTGGGAATCTCAACCCTATCTCCCACAGCAGCCTCAGCAAGACCTGCCCAAGGAGAGTCTGAGCTCAGACATGCCTAGCCCTGTCCCCACCTGATGGTCCTTCCCTACCCAGCCTGATAATGGAAGACAAAGGCATATAATCTTGAGAGTTCTGGTTCCCCACCCACCACTGGTCCCTCTCCATACTACTATAGCTGATGCTCTCTGAAAAGTGCCACCTCCTGGCAGGAGGCCAACCAGCACAAAAATAGAGCATTAAACCACCAAAGCTAAGAACCCTCATGGAGTCCATTGTACCCCTCTGCCACCTCCATTGAGACGGGCACTTGTATTCACAGCTGAGAGACCCGTAGATGGTTCACATCACAGGACTCTGTGCAATGAACCCTCAGTACCAGCCAGGAGCTGGTTAGACTTGCTGGGTGGCTAGATCCAGAAGAGAGACAACAATCATTGCAGTTCAGCTCACAGGAAGGCACATCCATAGGAAAAGGCTGAGAGTACTACATCAAGGGAATAATCTGTGGGACAAAAAAATCTGAACAACAGCCTTCAGGCCTAGACCTTCTCTCTGACAGAGCCTACCCAAATGAGAAGGAACCAGAAAACCCAACTCTGGTAATATGACAAAACAAGGCTCTTCAGCAGCCCCCCAAAAATCACACTAGTTCACCAGCAATGGATCCAAACTGAGAAAAAAATCCCTGATTTACCTGAAAAATAATTCAGGAGGTTAGTTATTAAGCTAATCAGGGAGGCATCAGAGAAAGGCGAAGCCCAATACAAGGAAATCTAAGAAATGATGTTACCGGGGGATCCTTGCTCCCAGAGCTCCCAAGATGGTGGCAGGCCGCTTCCAAAATGGCAGCGGGCCACTTCCTAGATGGTGGCAAGCCTCATGTTCTCTCACCTGGGGTTCTTGGCCTCATGGATTCCAAGGAATGGAATCTTGGGCCATGCAGTGAGTGTTATAGCTCTATTAGAAGCCGTGGGTCATGGAAGAGAACCGTGGAACCCAGTGACTAGTGTTCAGCTCCATTAGGATGAACCTGGGCACTTAGCCATCCAGGAACAATGGCAAGCTTTTAGCCTGATCTGGAGTGGCAGTGGGCGCCTCGCTGGATCAGAAGCACAGCAGACACCCTGTCGGATCCGGAGGGATGGAAGTCAGCAGCAGGTCTGTGACGGCGGCAAACAGCAGTGGTGGACGGCAAGCAAAAGCTCAGCTCGAGTCGTAAAAAACACGGACCAGAAGAATGCAGTTGCAAGATTTAATAGAGTGAAATAGAATGAAAACAGAGCTCCCATACAAAGGGAGGGGACCCAAAGAGGGTAGCCGTTGCCAGCTCGAATGCCTGGGTTTATATCCTGATCACTGTCCCTCCCACTGTGTTCTCAGGTGATAAATGATTGGCTATTTCTTTATCTCCTGTTTTAGCCTAATTAGTGTTTTAGTGAGCTCTCTTTCCTACCTGATTGGTCGGGTGTGAGCTAAGTTGCAAGCCCCAGGTTTAAAGGTAAAAGCGGTCACCTTCCCAGCTAGGCTTAGGGATTCTTAGTTAGCCTAGGAAATCCAGCTAGTTCTGTCTCTCAATGACACAAGAAGTGAAGGGAGAAATATTCAAGAAACTAGGTAGCTTAAAGAAAAAACTGTCAAAAATTTAGGAAACTTTGGACACACTTTTAGAAATGTGAAATGCTCTGGAAAGTCTCAGCAATAGAATTGAAAAAGTAGAAGAAAGATTCAGAGCTAGAAGACAAGGTCTTTGAATTAACCCAATCCAACAAAGACAAAGAAAAAAGAATAAGAAAATATGAACAAAGCCTCCAAGAAGTCTGGAATTATATTAAACAAACAAACCTAAGAATAATTGGTATTCCTGAGGAAAAAGATAATTCTAAAAGCTTGGAAGACACATTTAGGGGAATAATCAAGGAAAATTTCCCCAGCCTTGCTGGAGACCTAGACATCCAAATACAAGATGCACAAAGAACACCTGGGAAATTCATCACAAAAAGATCATTGCCTGGGCACATTGTCATCAGGTTGTCCAAAGTTAAGGTGAAGGAAAGAATCTTAAGAGCTTTGAGACAGAAGCACCAGCTAACCTATAAAGGAAAACCTATCAGATTAACAGCAGATTTCTCAGCAGAAACCCTATAAGCTAGAAGGGATTGGGGCCCTATCTTCAGCCTCCTCAAACAAAATAATTATCAGTCAAGAATTTTGTATCCAGCAAAACTAAGCATCATATATGAAGGAAAGATATAGTCTTTCTCAGACAAGCAAATGCTGAGAGAATTCGCCATTACCAAGCCACCACTACAAGAACTGCTAAAAGGAGCTCTAAATCTTTAAACAAATCCTGGAAACACATCAAAACAGAACCTCTTTAAAGCATAAATCACACAGGACCTATAAAACAAAAATACAGGTTAAAAAAACAGAAAATACAGGTTAAAACACACACACAAAAACAAAAAACACCGGCAGCAAAGAGCATGATGAATGCAATGGTACCTCACATTTCAATACTAATGTTGAATGTAAATGGCTTAAACTCTCCACTTAAAAGATAAAGAACCACAGAATGGATAAGAACTCACCAACCAACTATCTGCTGGAGACTCACCTAACACAAAAGGACTTGCATAAACTTAAAGTAAAGGGGTGGAAAAAGGCATTTTATGCAAATAGATACCAAAACTGAGCAGGGGTAGCTATTCTTATATCCGACAAGACAAACTTTAAAGCAACAGCAGTTAAAAGAGACAAAGAGGGACCTTATATAATAGTAATATTCCTGTCCAACAGGAAAACATCACAATCCTAAACATATATGCACCTAACACTGAAGCTTCTAAATTTATAAAACAATTACTAATAGATCTAAGAAGTGAGATAGACAGCAACATAATAATAGTGGGAGACTTCAGTAATTCACTGACAGCACTAGAGAGGTCATCAAGAGAGAAAGTCAACAAAGAAACAATGGATTTAAACTACACCTTGGAACAAATGGACTTAAGAGATATATACAGAACATTTCATTCAACAACTTCAGAATACACATTCTATTCAGTAGCGCATAGAACTTTCTCCAAGATAGACCACATGATAGGCCATTAAGCAAGTCTCAATAAATTTAAGAAAACTGAAATTACATCAAGCATTCTCTCAGACCACAGTGGAATGAAACTGAAAATTAACTCCAAAAGGAACCTTCAAAACAATGCAAATACATGGAAATTAAATAAACTACTCCTGAAGGAGCATTGTGTCAAAAATGAAATCAAGATGGAATTTTTTTTTTCTTTTTGAGATGGAGTCTCGCTCTGTCGTCCAGGCTGGAGTGCAGTGGCGCTATCTCAGCTCACTGCAAGCTCTGCCTCCTGGGTTCATGCCATTCTCCTGCCTCAGCCTCCCCAGTAGCTGGGACTACAGGCACCCGCCACCACGCCCAGCTAATTTTTTGTATTTTTTAGTAGAGACGGGGTTTCACCATGTTAGCCAGGATGGTCTTGATCTCCTGACCTCATGATCTGCCTGCCTCAGCCTCCCAAGGTGCTGGGATTACAGGCATGAGCCACCATGCCCAGCCTCAAGATGGAAATTAAAAAATTATTTGAACTGAACAACAATAATGACAAAACCTACCAAAACCTCTGGGATATAGCAAAAGCAGTGCTAAGAGGAAAGTTCATAGCCCTAAACGCCTACAGCAAAAAGACTGAAAGAGCACAAACTGACACTATAAGGTCACACTTCAAGAAACTAGTGAAGCAAGAACAAACCAAACACAAACCCAGCAGAAGAAAGGAAATAACCAAGATCAGAGCAGAACTAAATGAAATTGAAACAAAAAGCAATACAAAAGATAAATGAAACAAAAACCTGGTTCTTTGAAAAGATAAATAAAATTCGTAGACCATTAGCAAGATTAACCAAGAAGAGAGAAAATGCAAATAACCTCACTAAGAAAAGAAACAGGAGATATTGCAACTGATGCCATCGAAATACAGAAGATCATTCAAGGCTACTATGAGCACCTTTAGGCACATAAATAGAAAACCTAGAAGAGATGGATAAATTCCTGGAAAAATACAAACCTCCTAGCTTAAATCAGGAATTAGATACCCTGAACAGACCAATAACAAGCAGCAACATTGAAATGGTAATTAAAAAATTACCAACAACAACAAAAAAAGTCCAGGACCAGACAGATTCACAGCAGAATTCCACCAGATATTCAAAGAAGAATTGGTACCAATCCTTTTGACACTATTCCACAAGATAGAGAAGGAAGGAATCCTCCAGAATTAATTCTATGAAGCCAGCATCACCCTAATACCAAAACCAGAAAAGGGCATAACCAAAAAAGAAAACTACAGACCAATATCCTTGATGAACATAGATGCTAAAATCCTTAACAAAATACTAGCTAACTGAATCCAACAACATATCAAAAAGACAATGCACAGTGATCAAGTGGGTTTCATACCAGGGATGCAGGGATGGTTTAACATACACAAGTCAATAAATATGGTACAGAATTAAAAACAAAAATCACATGATCATCTCAATAGATGCAGAAAAAGCATACATTATACTGAATGGGGAAAAGTTGAAAGCATTCCCTCTGAGAACTGGAACAAGACAAAGATGCCCACTGTCACCACTTCTCTTCAACATAGTACTGGAAGTCCTAGCCAGAGCAATCAGACAACAGAAAGAAATAAAGGGCATCCAAATCGATAAAGAGAAAGTCAAATTGTCACTATCTGCTGATGCTATGATTGTTTACCCCGAAAACCCTAAAGGCTCCTCCAGAAAGCTCCTAGAACTGATAAAATAATTCAGCCAAGTTTCCAGATACGAGATTAATGTACACAAATCAGTAGCTCTTCTATACACCAACAGTGACCAAGCAGAGAATCAAATCAAGAACTCAACCCCTTTTACAATAGCTGAAAAAAACAAAACAAAACTCAGGAATATACCTAACCAAGGAGTTGGAAGAGCTCTACAAGGAAAACTACAAAACACTGCTGAAAGAAATCATAGATGATACAAACAAATGGAAACACATCTCATGCTCATGAATAGGTAGAATCAATATTGTGAAAATGACCATACTGCCAAAAGCAATCTACAAATTCAGTGTAATCCCCCTCAAAATACTATCATCATTCTTCACAGAATTACAAAAAACAATTCTAAAATGCATATGGTACCAAAAAAGAGCCCACATAGCCAAAGCAAGACAAAGCAAAAAGAACAAATCTGGAGGCATCACACTACCTGATTTCAAACTATACTATAAAGCCATAGTCACCAAATCAGCATGATATTTGTATAAAAATAGGCACATAGACGAATGGAACAGAATAGAGAGCCCAGAAATAATCCCAAATACTTATAGCCAATTGATCTTTGACAAAACATACAAAAACATAAAGTGGGGAAAGGACATCCTTTTCAACAAATGATGCTGGGATAATTGGCTAGCCACATGTAGGAAAATGAAACTGGATCCTCATCTCTCACCTTATACAAAAATAAACTCAAGATGGATTAAGGACTTAAACCTAAGACCTGAAACTATAAAATTTCTAGAAGATAACATTGGAAAAAACCCTTCTAGACATTGGCTTAGGCAAGGATTTAATAACCAAGAACCCAAAAGCAAATGCAATAAAAACAAAGATAAATAGCTGGGAGCTAATTAAACTAAAGAGCTTTTGCACTGGAAAAGAACAGTCAGCATAGTAAAGAGACAACCCACAGAGTGGGAGAAAATCTTCACAATCTATACATCTGACAAAGGACTAATATCCAGAATCTACAAATAACTCAAACAAATCAGTAAGAAAAAAAAATCCCATCAAAAAGTGGGCTAAGTACATGAATAGACAATTCTCAAAAGAATATACAGAAAAGGCCAACAAATGTATGAAAACTGCTCAACATCACTTATGATCAGGGAAATGGAAATCAAAACCACAATGCGATATCACCTTACTCCTGCAAGAGTGGTCATAATAAAAAAAATAAAAAAATAATAGATGTTGGCATGGATGAGGTGAACAGCGGACACTTCTACACTGCTGGTGGGAATGTAAACTAGTACAACCATTATGGAAAACAGTGTGGAGATTCCTTAAGGAACTAAAAGTAGAACTACTGTTTGATCCAGCAATCCCACTACTGGGTATCTACCCAGAGGAAAAGAAGTCATTATACAAAAAAGAAACTTGCACATGCATGTTTATAGTGCACAATTGACAATTGCAAAATTATGGAACCAACCCAAATGCCCATCAATCAACAAATGGATAAAAAAACTGTGGTATATATGATGGAATACTACTCAACCATAAAAAGGAATGAATTAACAGCATTTGCAGTGACATGGAGGAGATTGGAGACTATTACTCTAAGTGAAGTAACTCGAGAATGGAAAACCAAACATTGTATCTTCTCACTGATATGTGGGAGCTAAGCTATGAGGACACAAAGGCATAAGAATGATACAATGGACTTTAGGGACTTGAGGAGAAGAGTCAGAGGGGGGCAAGGGATAAAAGACTACAAATATGGTGCAGTGTATACTGCTCGGGTGGTGGGTGCACCAAAATCTCACAAATAACCACTAAAGAACTTACTTACGTAACCAAATACCACCTGTACCCCAATAACTTATGGAAACATAAAAAAAGTAAAAACTAAAAATAAAAATATTAACCTGATTAAATAAAAAAGAATGTCTACTACTGAGGAGCCATTCCCTCATGGTCTCAGTGTTCTGAGGTTTCTTCTTATTCCTGTAACTGAGAGCTGAATCCCTCAGGCCAGTTCACCATAGGACTCTCTGATGGAGAGGAGCAAGGAAGACTTGGAGTTGATAAAGCAGTGGCTATGTCCATTTCAGCTGTTACCCAATCAACCCTCCTTTCATGATGATCTTCTGAGAAACAAAATTCCTCTAGCCCCACTAGAGACTTTCAAGTAAATGTTTTATTTTCCAGATTATTTGTAATATCAAAATTTAACTATATAGACCTTGAAAAGCAGTAGCAAAATGAATAAATCCAAAAGAATAGCATTTAAACTACACATCTCAAGATGCTATACATTTATGTGAATAGTGCAAAAAATATTGTGTAAAACCTCTGTTAGAATTAGCTAGTATTGTTTTTTTGTTTTTGACCATCAAAAGACCAAGTGCCAAATGACTATTTTTGTGTCTGAAAATCAAATTTATCCCCAAATAATGAAAATATGATCATTTTCCAAAAAATAAAGTTTCAGAACAATGTATATGGTAAGATCCCATTTTGTAAAACCAAGTGCAAATATATTCAAGACACATTATTTTCCCATTTTAACGTAGAGGTGTTTTTCAAACCCAAAAAACTATGATTAAAATGGCAGTTCATCATATAATCACTGACATCTTAAAAATGAAAAATATTATAGATAATTTCAATGTTTCCAAGTACAGACATAGTTACTGTACTGCCCAATCTCACTTTATAGAAAAGGCTGGTTAAGGTAATTTCATAAAATATATAAATTCATAAACACCATTGCTGTCTCTCTTCTTTCTGAAATTTTTCACATGCTATTCCTCTACCAGTTTACCTGGAATACTTGCCCCTTCCTCTACCCACACCCCATTATTTACCTGCTAACTTTCATTTGTAAGGCAGTGTTCCCTAGACTAACTTAGGTTCTCCCGCTATGTGCTCTCATAGCACCCTTTACTTCCCCTCCTCAACACTCCTCATACATCATATGTATTTGTTTATGTCAAAATGTATACTCCATGAGGGCAGGGACAAAGTATGTCTTGTCCTCAGCCTTAGCCAGAGTGTTTATCAAGGTGCCCAGGATATGGAAGACATTCAATAAATATTCATTGGCTAAATGATTGAATGATTGATTGAATAAAGGTGAGTGAAAACACTGGCCTAGTTCCTGGTCAAACAGCAGGTTATCAATAAATATGCATTGAGAGAAGAAAGCAATGGAGAAATGGAGACTGACAATCAGAGTTGTGCTGAGATATAAAGGAATGAAGATAATGCATTCAACTGGATAATTCCCACCTTCTCAGAGAAGTAGGGCCTTAAGAATATACCAAGGTAAATGACATGCAACAAAAACAAATCATATGCAAATGAATGCTGATTTTTTTCAGATGTATTATATTTTCTTCCACTCCATCATTATTTTATGCATGCTTGATTTATCTGTATTTAAAACTCTATCAGTTCCACCACTTTTTAATATGATGACTATATTAAATCAAGGAACAAAGGGCACTAATGTTTTATTATTTTAAGATAAAACCTATTTTATGCATTAATCCTGTGAAAGATGAGCCAAGAGAGTATGGGAATAGGTAATTGTCTTTCTTCATTTGTATTTGTTTGTCTGTGCATCTTTGTTTTTATGTGTTCTGTATGTATTTTTATGGTTTTTGGTGAAAATAACTACCTCATTGGGTTTGAGTGGAGAATGTTATGCACATTTTAAGCATAACATCAAAATTTCATCTTTTTTTCCTTTATAATTCTTGAGTTGCCAAGGTTTTCTCTGATAATTTTCTGATATTTTCCCTATCATCACAGAGGGACGATTTCTTTATCCCTAACTCAGAAAAAGCATTAGGCCTAGCCTTGAAATGAAGGTTTTCATAATATTTAATCTTTTTTTTTCTTCCTTTTGCTGCAACTTAAGTCCCATTATCCCTAGTCCTATCCTTGTTGACTAATGAGGATAATTGGTCCCTTTCCTCCTGGAAACATTCTTTTATGTATTTTGGAGAGTTATTATGGCCCTTCAGTTCTCTCTTCTCTAGGCAGAACAGGCCTTATTCTCTTAACCTTTCCTCACAGAGCTGATTTTCCAAACCTTTGATCATTTTTGTTCTTCCCCTCTGAACTCTCTCCAATTTGTCTGTCTCTTTAAAAACGTGGTGACCAGGAGAAAATTCAATCCTTCAGTTGAATCTTAACCAATGTGGTATTAACCCGGCCAATGCTTAGTGGATATGGAATAGAATCTTAAATATTATTTATCCAAATTCTGATATGTAAGTTCCCTTTATTTAAAACATAATAGAAACTAGGAATTTATTTTGGCACTCGGTGTTCCTTAGATAATCCATGATAGTGTACCATCGATTTGAAAAGCAGGGAGCCATCAAACAATAGTGAACAGAACTTGAGTTACAGATATAGGATAACATTTTTGGAGTAGATAGTAGATGATCTTCCTAAAGGAAGGGAAATAGAGCTTTTCAAATACAAAGAGAGATTTCCACACTATTTTGTCATTTTGCTCTGTTGTATAGTATCTAATGTTTGTAAAATAATTCATTCTATGTTGGTGTTCCCTTGAAAATGTTCTGGGAATACATTTTTACAACAACTCAAGTTGGTATAAGGCTTATTTATTGTTTCGTATCTCAGCTTAACATTATACTAACAGTTACTAAAAACTAGAGTCCACCAACTAGTTGGACAAGAAGAGATAGAGTTGTTCCACTGAAACTTGAGGAGAAATTAAGGAATGGTTTAGATGAGGATTTGTTTTAGATATGTTACATCATTTAAAAACTATGGGCCAGGCATGGTGGCTCATGCCTGTAATCCTAGCACTTCGGGAGGCCGAGGTGGATGGATTACCTGAGGTCAGGAGTTCAAGACCAGCTGGCCAACATGGCGAAACCCCATCTCTACTAAAAATGTAAAAATTAGCCAGGTGTGGTAGTGGAGATGCCTATAATCCCAGCTACTCGGGAGGCTGAGGCAGGAGAATCGTTTGAGTCTGGGGAGTGGAGGTTGCAGCAAGGAGAAATGGTGCCATTGCACTCCAGCCTGGGTAAAATAGCGAAACTCCGTCTTAAACAACAACAGCAACAAAACAAACAAACAAAATAAACGACTATGGAAAATACAAAAAGACATATAAGATATCAACTCTTGCTTTGGCAGAGTTTTAAAACTTGCAGATGAGACAAGACCAAGAAGCCTGAAACACCAGTGAAGCCATTTAATGCTTCACTGAGTGGTACTAAGTGTAAATGAAATGGAAATTCAGAGAAATGAGAGGTCGGCATAGGCTTGAGCAATAATGAAGATATGGCTTTGTAGAAGGGATGAACTTAAAATGAGCTTTGAAAAATAGATATCAGAGAAGAAAGGAGCGAGAAAAGGAGGAAAAAAGGCAAGAAAAGAGAAAGGACTATGATGGATCCAGAGAACAGAAAAGAAACTAACTTGGCTGGAGTAGAGAAATGAGGAATTGTTAGAAATAAGTACAGTGGGTGATTCTTATGAGTGCTTTGAAAGCCAGGCAGGTACGTATGAATTCAATGTGGTGGGCAGCTGGGGACAACTGAAGCATTGATGACAGTTACTATTTGGGGAGATTAGTCTGGTGGCAGCCTTCTGTGTGATGGAGTATAGGAGCAGGACAAAGCAACTCTGAGCGTTCTAATCATGACGAAGATCTTCGGGCTGTCAGACTTGTTTTGTCTTTTTTTTTTTTTTTTTTTTTTTTTAATATTTGGGCCCGATTGTTCTCCTTTTGCTATATTGCAAGGTGACTTTCATACAAATCAAAGAAAGACTCAGTTAAACATTTTAGCCCTGATCTATCAATACTTGTATTTGAAACAACTTAGAGACCCAGAAAGACCATTTAAGGGTAGATATTAGCAGAGAGATTCAACTTTAAATGCTTAACTCTGATATCACTCTTTTGGGAAGGGTTTGGGGAGGAAGAGAGGTGAGGAGATGCAATTAGTGTGACCACTAGATGTCACTGTTGCTAGGTTGCCTCAAGGTTAGATGCACAGTATTCAGTGGGCTTACAATGGAACTTTTTCAGTTCAGGAGAAAAATTTAAAATCTCTAATACTTGCAGCCAAAATGCTTCCCAACTCAGCTCTCCTCCACATCCAATCTCTGCCCGGGAGGCAAATTCAAGCTACTTACCTGAGGGTATGTTATAATTTTAAAAATAATCAGGCTGCTGTTTTTGCATTTTTGCTTCTTAATACAATTCGTTACACTGGGTTCGTAACAATTCGTTAGCACTGGGTTTTCTGAGGTACTGTAGGCAGGGCTGTGCTATTGCTTCTTTTTTTTTTTTCCTTTTTGAGACAGAGTCTTGCTCTGTCGCCCAGGCTGGAGTGCAGTGGCGCGATCTCGGCTCACTGCAAGCTCCGCCTCCCAGGTTCACGCCATTCTTCTGCCTCAGCCTCCCCAGTAGCTGGGACTACAGGCGCCCATCACCACGCCCGGCTAATTTTTTGTATTTTTAGTAGAGACGGGGTTTCACTGTGTTAGCCAGGATGGTCTCCATCTCCTGACCTCGTGATCCGCCCGCCTCGGCCTCCAAAGTGCTGAGATTACAGGAGTGAGCCACAGCGCCCGGCCGTATTGCTTCTTAAGCAGTAAACTTAGCTATAATGATGTGATGGATTTGTTCTTTTTCAAGTGATTTTGGAAATGTTTTAATCATTTAATATCTGACCAGGAGTGTTTGATTTAGTTGCACAGGTTTACTGTGACAGCAGAACTCCAGAGTTCTCTGTTCACTGTTTTAGAATGTAGCTTTTAATACAGTGGATTATTTGGAAGCCCAAAGCACACTTTCTTACGTGTTTACACAGTCCTAAATGCCACGCCATTAAATAGATTTTGGATATTTTAATTATTTTAGATGTTTAGGCTGTAGCTTATGATCTGAACATAGCATCCTATAACAACATGTTTTGTGTACATAATAGGGGCTCTTAAGTAGCACTGTATGTACCCTTTGTAAATACATGCTACATAAAATACCTTATAAAATATTTAATGACCGTCTTCTATAGTAACTGAGCTGTATTTAACCAAAATTCCTGGGGTTTCTTTCTACCCCACAAAGATACTATTTAAATTAAGGTGGTCAGAAGCTAACTGCACACTAAAATGTAAGCAAGAATTTTTTAAGCCTGCAATCTTAAGCATCTGGATTTTTTTTCCATCTCCTGCTTTCTTGGGGTAACAGAAGCATTCTAGTTCTTATTTCTATCACTGATGGTAACATCATAAAAGAGTTAAAGATAAGGATATCACAAACTACTATTTTATTGATTTAAGGTGATTAAAGAAAAAGATGCATTATTGTCCTTCAAACTTGTGTAAGTGAGTACAGTTATTTTATTAGAAATAATTTTTGTGATGGTTCCAAGCCTGATTTTTTGCCCCTGAACTTTGGGAGACATACATGAGCAGGTTTCCATGCGATACTTTTCTCCCAGACTTCTACATCCCTTAGAGAACTGCATAGTGACTTCCTCAACCAGAATCTTAAGAGCACAAAATCAGTGAGACTCATCTCACACCATGATTTCAGAATATCAGGCATTATAGATTCAGGGTAATGGGCAAAGACCTTCAAAGTCCCAGACAGGATGTGCTGGTCCAGCAGTGTGCAAACAGCCAGCTTTGTGAGGACACTGTGGATCTACAAAAGGAGAATACTCTTCTTTCTCCTCTCATAGCCTCTAAAGAAAGCTTTCTGTTCTGTCTACCTAACTCATCACAAGGGAGAGATCTTGGCTGACAGATTCTCTGAGCAGCATCCATGCAACTTGAAATTAAATGACCACAAAACTTTACCTCTCTATACATACCAAGAAGATATGAAAAAGTACATCATTAATTAATGAATTTTTATTTTACTTTAAGTTCCGGGATACATATGCATAACGTGCAGGTTTGTTTCATAGGTATACGTATGCCATGGTGGTTTGCTGCATCTATTGACCCTCATGTAATTTCCCTCCTGTCACTCCCCATTCCCCAAAGGTGTGTGCTGTTTCCCTCCCTATGTCCATGTGTTCTCATTGTTCAACTCCCACTTATGAGCGAGAACATGTGGTGTCTGGTTCTCTGTTCCTGTGTTAGTTTGCTGAGGATGATGGTTTCCAACTTCATTCATGTCCCTGGACATGATCTCATTCCTTTTTATGGCTGCATAGTATTCCATGGTGTATATGTACCACATTTTCTTTCTCCAGTCTATCATTGATGACATTTGGGTTGGTTCCATGTCTTTGCTATTGTAAATAGCGCTGCAATAAACATACATGTGCATGTGTCTTTATAGTAGAATGATGTATACTCCTTTGGGTATATACCCAGTAATGGAATTATTGGGTCAAATCGTATTTCTGGTTCTGGATCCTTGAGGAATTGCCACACTGTCTTCCACAGTGGTTGAACCAATTTACTTTCCCATCAACAGTGTAAAAGCATTCTTATTTCTCCACAGCCTTGCCAGCATCTATTGTTTCTTGACTTTATTATTATAATTTATTATACTTTAAGTTCTAGGGTACATGTGCACAATGTGCAGGTTTGATATATAGGTATACATGTGCCATATTGGTTTGCCGCACCCATCAACTCCTCATTTACATTAGGTATTTCCCCTAATGCTATCCCCCCGCCAGCCGCCCACCCCCAGACAGGCCCCAGTGTGTAATGTTCCCCACCCTGTGTCCAAGTGATCTCATTGTTCAATTCCCACCTATAAGTGAGAACATGCGGTGTTTGGTTTTCTGTCCTTCTGATAGTTTGCTGAGAATGAAGGTCCTCTGCAAAGGACATGAACTCATCCTTTAGTATGGCTGCATAGTATTCCATGTTGTATAAGTACCACATTTTCTTAATCCAGTCTATCATTGATGGACATTTGGGTTGGTTCCAAGTCTTTGCTATTGTGAATAGTGCTGCAATAAACATATGTGTGCATGTGTCTTTATAGTAGCATGATTTATAATCCTTTGGGTATATATCCAGTAATGGGATTGCTGGGTCAAATGGTATTTCTAGTTCTAGATCCTTGAGGAATTGCCACACTGTCTTCCACAATGGTTGAACTAATTTACACTCCCACCAACAGTATAAAAGTGTTCCTATTTCTCCACATCCTCTCCAGCATCTGTTGTTTCCTGACTTTTTAATGATTGCCATTTTAACTGGTGTGAGATGGTATCTCATTGTGGATTTGATTTGCATTTCTCAAATGACCAGTGATGATGAGGATTTTTTCATGTGTCTGTTGGCTGCATAAAAGTTTTCTTTTGAGAAGTGACTCTTCATATCCTTTGCCCACTTTTTGATGGGGTTGTTTTTTTCTTGTAAATTTGTTTGAGTTCTTTGTAGATTCTGGATATTAGCCCTTTGTCAGATTGGGTAGATTGCAAACATTTTCTCCCATTCTGTAGGTTGCCTGTTCACTCTGATGATAGTTTATTTTGCCGTGCAGAAGCTCTTTAGTTTAATTAGATCCCATTTGTCTATTTTGGCTTTTGTTGCCATTGCTTTTGGTGTTTTAGTCATGAAGTCCTTGCCCATGCCTATCCTGAATGATATTGCCTAGGTTTTCTCCTAGGGTTTTTATGGTTTTAGGCCTAACATTTAAGTATTTGATCCATCTTGAATTCATTTTTGTGTAAGGTGTAAGGAAGGGATCCAGTTTCAGCTTTCTACATATGGCTAGCCAGTTTTCCCAGCACCATTTATTAAATAGGGAATCCTTTCCCCATTTCTTGTTTTTGTCAGGTTTGTCAAAGATCAGATGGTTGTAGATGTGTGGTGTTATTTCTGAGGCCTCTGTTCTGTTCCATTGGTCTATATCTCTGTTTTGGTACCAGTATCATGCTGTTTTGGTTACTGTAGCCTTGTATTATAGTTTGAAGTCAGGTAGCGTGATGCCTCCAGCTTTGTTCTTTTTGCTTAGGCTTGTCTTGGCAATGCGGGCTCTTTTTTGGTTCCATATGAACTTTAAAGTAGTTTTTTCCAATTCTGTGAAGAAAGTCATTGGTAGCTTGATGGGGATGGCATTGAATCTGTAAATTACTTTGGGCAGTATGGCCATTTTCACGATATTGATTCTTCATATCCATGAGCATGGAATATTCTTCCATTTGTTTGTGTCCTCTTTTATTTCATTGAGAAGTGGTTTGTAGTTCTCCTTGAAGAGGTCATTCACATCCCTTGTAAGTTGGATTCCTAGGTATTTTATTCTCTTTATAGGAATTCTGAATGGGAGTTCACTCATGATTTGGCTCTCCACTTGTCTATTGTTGGTGTATAGGAAAGCTTGTGATTTTTGCACATTGATATTGTATCCTGAGACTTTGCTGAAGTTGCTTATCAGCTTAGGGAGTTTTGGGGCTGAGACTATGGAGTTTTCTAAATATAGGGTCATGTGATTGGCAAACAGAGATAATTTGACTCCTTCTCTTGCTATTTGAATACCTTTTCTTTCTTCCTCTTGCCAGATTGCCCTGGCCAGAACTTCCAATACTATGTTGAATAGGAGTGGTGAGAGAAGGCATACTTGTCTTGTGCCGATTTTCAAAGGGAATGCTTCCAGCTTTTGCCCCTTCAATATGATATTAGCTGTGGGTTTGTCATAAATAGTTCTTATTATTTTGAGATATGTTCCATCAATACCTAGTTTATTGAGTGTTTATAATATGAAGGGATGTTGAATTTATTGAAGGACTTTTCTGTATCTATTGAGATAATCATGTGGTTTTTGTCATTGGTTCTGTTTATGTGATGGATTATGTTTGTTGATTTGCATATGTTGAACCAGCCTTGCATACCAGGGATGAAGCCAACTCGATCATGGTGGATAAGTTTTTTGATATGCTGCTGGATTCTGTTTGCCAGTATTTTACTGGGGATTTTCACATTGATGTTCATTAGGGATATTGGCCTGAAATTTTCTTTTTTTGTCATGTCTCTGCTTGGTTTTGGTATCAAGATAATGTGGGCCTCATAAAATGAGTTAGGGAGAAATCCCTCCTGTTCAATTGTTTGGAATAGTTTCAGAAGGAATGGTACCAGCTTCTCTTTGTACCTCTGGTAGAATTTGCTTGTGACTCCACCTGGTCCTGGGCTTTTTTTGGTTGGTAGGCTATTAATTATTGCCTCAATTTCAGAGCCTGTTATTGGTCCATTCAGGAATCAACTTTTTCCTGATTTAGTCTTGGGAGTGTGTATTTGTCCAGGAATTTATCCATATCTTCAGATTTTCTAGTTTATTGGCATAGAGGTGTTTACAGTATTCTCTGATGGTAGTTTGTATTCCTGTGGGGTCAGTAGCGATATCCGCTTTATCTTTTTTTATTGTGTCTATTTGATTCTTCTCTCTTTTCTTTTTTATTAGTCTAGCTAACAGCCTATGTGTCTTGTTAATTAAAAAAAATAAAAACAGCTCCTGAATTCATTGATTTCTTTGGAAGGGTGTTTCGTGTCTCTATCTCCTTCAGTTCTGCTCTGAACTTAGTTATTTCTTGTCCTCTGCTAGCTTTTGGATTTGTTTGCTCTTGCTTCTCTAGCTGTTTTAATTGTGATGTTAGGGTGTCAGCTGGAGATCTTTCTAGCTTTCTGATGTGGGCATTTAGTGCTATAAATTTTCCTCTTAACACTGCTTTGGCTGTGTCCCAGAGATTCTGGTACATTGTCTCTTTGTTCTCATCCGTTTGAAAGAACTTCTTGATGTCTGCCTTAATTTTATTATTTACCTGGGAGTCATTCAGGAGAAGGTTGTTCGATTTCCATGTAGTTGTGTGGTTTTTAGGGTGTTTCTTAATCCTGAGTTCTAATTTGATTACACTGTGGTCTGATAGACTGTTATGATTTCAGTTCTATTCCATTTGCTGAGGAGTGTTTTACCTTCAACTATGTGGTTGATTTTAGAATAAGTGCCATGTGTCACTGAGAAGAATGTATATTCTGTTGATTTGGGGTGGAGAGTTCTGTAGATGTCTATTAGGTCCACTTGATTTAGAATTGAGTTCGAGTCCTGAATATCCTTATTAATTTTCTGTCTTGTTGATCTGTCTAATATTGACAGTGGGGTGTTAAAGTCTCCCTCTATTATTGTGTGGGAGTCTACATCTCTTTGTAGGTCTCTAACAACTCGTTTTATGAATCTGAGTGCTCCTGTTTTGGGTGAATGTATATTTAGGATAGTTAGCTCTTCTTGTGGACTGTTTTACCATTACGTAATGCCCTTCTTTGTCTTTTTTTTTTAGACAGAGTCTTGCTCTGTTGCCCAGGCTGGAGTGCAGTGGTGCAATCTCGGCTCACTGCAAGCTCTGACTCCCAGGTTCATGTCATTCTCTTGCCTCAGCCTCCTGAGTAGCTGGGACTACAGGTGCCCGCCACCACGCCTGGCTAATTTTTTGCATTTTTAGTACAAACGGGGTTTCGCCATGTTAGCCAGGATGGTCTCGATCTCCTGACCTCGTGATCCACCCGCCTCGGCCTCCCAAAGTGCTGGGATTACAGGTGTGAGCCACCAGGCCTGGCCTTTTTTGTCTTTTTTTTATCTTTGTTGATTTAAACTCTGTTTTGTCAGAGACTAGGATTGCAAACCGTGCTTTTTTTTTTTTTTTTTTTGCTTTCCATCTGCTTGGTAAGTTTTCCTCCATCCCTTTATTTTGAGCCTATGTGTGTCTTTCCATGTGAAATGGGTCTCCTGAATACAGCACACCAACGGGTCTTGACTTTTTAATTCAGTCTGCATCTTTTAACTAGGGCATTTAGTCCGTTTACATTTAAGGTTAATATCGTTATGTGTGAATTTGATCTTGTCATTATGATGCTATCTGGTTGTTTTGCACACTAGTTGATGCAGTGTCTTCATAGTGTCATTGGTCTTCATATTTTGGTGTGTTTTTGCAGTGGCTGATACCTTTTTTTTCCCCATATTTAGTGCTTACTTCAGGAACTCTTGCAAGGCAGGCCTGGTGGTGATGAAATCCCTCAGCATTTGCTTGTCTGGAAAATATTTTATTTCTCCTTCACTTATGAAGCTTAGTTTGGCTGGATATGAAATTCAGGGTTGAAAATTCATTTCTTTAGAAATGTTGAATATCGGCCCCCACTCTCTTCTGGCTTGTAGGGTTTCTGCTGAGAGGTCCGCTGTTAGTCTGATGGGCTTCTCTTTGTAGGTGACCTGGCCTTTTTCTCTGGCTGCCCTTAACAGTTTTTCCTTCATTTCGACCTTGGAGAATCTGATGATTATGTGTCTTGGGATTGATCTTCTCATGGAGTATCTCAGTGGTGTTCTCTGTATTTCCTGAATTTGAATGTTGGCCTGTTTTGCTAGGTTGGTTAAGTTCTCCTGGGTAATATCCTGCAGTGTGTTTTCCAGCTTGTTTCCATTCTCCCTGTCTCCTTCAGGTACTCTAATCAATCGTAGGTTCAGTTTTTTTACATAGTCCCATATTTCACGAGGCTTTGTTCATTCCTTTTTATTTTTTTTCTCTAATCTTGTCAGCATGCCTTGTTTCATCAAGGTGGTCTTCAAACTTTGATATTCTTTCTTCCACCTAGTCAATTCAGCTATTGATATTTGTATATGCTTCATGGAGTTCTCATGCTGTGTTTTTCAGCTCAATCAGGTCATTTATGTCACTCTCTAAATTGGTTATTCTCATCAACTATTACTTTAATGACCTTAAAAAAAACTTACTTCTTTAAAATATCATGTACTGTGATGAATTCTTGTGCTAATTGTGTGTATTTGAATTTGTATACATTGGTTTCATTTCCCAGAATAAATATACATTTCTTTTTGCAAGTGAGAGTGGAGATAAAAAAAAAATTTACATTGGCAAAATAAAATGAGACATATTGAAACAATATGGATAACTTTTTTTTTAAGTTCTGGGATACATGTGCAGAACATGCATGTTTGTTACTTAGGTATACATGTGCCGTGGTGGTTTGCTGCACCCGTCAACCCGTCATTTACATTAGGTATTTCTCCTAATGCTATCCCTCCTGTTGCCCCCAATGCCCTGTCCGGCCCCAGTGTGTGATGTTCCCTTCCCGGTGCCCATAATGTTCTCATTGTTCAACTCCTACTTATGAGTGGGAACATTTGGTGTTTGGTTTTTTGTTCCTGTGTTAGTTTGCTGAGAATGATGGCTTCCAGCTTCATCCATGTGCCTGCAGAGGATATGAACTCATTCTTTCTTATGGCTGCATAGTATTCCATGGTGTATATGTTCCACATTTTCTTTATCCAGTCTATCATTGATGGACATTTGGGTTGGTTCCAAGTCTTTGCTATTATGAATAGTGCTTCAATAAACATATATGTGCATGTGTCTTTATAGTAGAATGATTTATAATCCTTTGGGTATATACCCAGTAATTGGATTGCTGGGTCAAATGGTATTTCTAGTTCTAGATCCCTGAGGAATTGCCATATTGTCTTCCACAATGGTTGAAGTAATTTACACTCCCACCAACAGTGTAAAAGCATTCCTATTTCTCCACATCCTGTCCAGCATCTGTTGATTCCTAACTTTTTTAATGATTGCCATTCTAACTGGCATGAGATGATATCTCATTGTGGTTTTGATTTGCATTTCTCTAAAGACCAGTAATGATGAGGTTTTTTTAAATATGTTTGTTGGCCACATAAATGTCTTCTTTTGAGAAGTGTCTGTTCATATCCTTCACCCACTTTTTGATGCGGTTTTTTTTTTTTCTTGTAAATTTGTTTAAGTTCCTGGTAGATTCTGGATATTAGCCCTTTGTCAGATGGACAAATTGTGAGAATTTTCTTCCATTCTGTAGGTTGCCTTTTCACTCTGATGATGTTTTTTTTTTTCCTGTGCAGAAGCTCTTTAGTTTAATTAGGTACCATTTGTCAATTTTGTCTTTTGTTGCCATTGCTTTTGGTGTTTTAGTCATGAAGTCTTTGCCCATACCTATGTCCTGAATGATATTGCCTAGGTTTTCTTCTAGGATTTTTATGGTTTTAAGTTGACATTTAAGTCTTTAATTCATCTTGAGTTAATTTTTGTATAAGGTGTAAGGAAGGGGTCCAGTTTCAGTTTTCTGCATATGGCTAGCCAGTTTTCTCAATGCCATTTATTAAATAGGGAATCCTTTCCCCATTGTGTGTTTTTGTTAGATATGTCAAAGATCAGATGGTGGTAGATTTGTGGTGTTTTTTCTGAGGCCTCTGTTCTGTTCCATTAGTCTATATGTCTGTTTTGGTACCAGTACCATGCTGTTTTGGTTACTGTAGCCTTGTAGTATAGTTTGAAATCAGGTAGCATGATGCTTCCAGCTTTGTTCTTTTTGCTTAGGATGGTCTTGGCTATGTGGGCTCTTTTTTGGTTCCATGTGAAGCTTAGAGTAGTTTTTTCCAATTCTGTGAAGAAAGTCAGTGGTAGCTTGATGGGAATAGCACTGAATCTATAAATTACTTTGGGCAGTATAGCCATTTTCACAATATTGATTCTTCCTATCTATGAGCATAGAATGTTTTTCCATTTGTTTGTGTCCTCTCTTATTTCCTTGAGCAGTAGTTTGTAGTTCTCCTTGAAGAGGTCCTTCACATCCCTTGTATGTTGGATTCCTAGGTATTTTATTCTCTTTATAGCAATTCTGAATGGGAATTCACTCATGATTTGGCTCTCTGTTTGTCTGTTATTGGTGTATGGGAATGCCTGTGATTTTTGCACATTGATTTTGTATCCTGAGACTTTGCTGAAGTTGCTTATCAGCTTAAGGAGTTTTGGGGCTGAGAGGATGGGGTTTTCTAAATATGCAATCATGTCATCTGCAAACAGAGACAATTTGACTTTCTCGCTTCCTAATTGAATATGCTTTATTTCTTTCTCTTGCCTGATTGCCCTGATCAGTATCATTTGTTAACACTATGTTGAATAGGAGAGGTAAGAGAGGTCACCCTTGTCTTGTGCTGGTTTTCAAAGGGAATACTTTCAGCTTTTGCCCTTTCAGTATGATATTGGCTGTGAGTTTGTCATAAATAGCTCTTATTATTTTGAGATATGTTCCATCAACACCTAGTTTATTGAGTGTTTTTAGCATGTAGGGGTGTTGAACATTATCAAAGGTCTTTTCTGCATCTATTGAGATAATCATGTGGTTTTTGTCATTGGTTCTGTTTATGTGATGGATTACGTTTATTGATTATCACATATGTTGAGCCAGCCTTGCATCCCAGGGATGAAGCCAACTTGATCGTGGTGGATTAGCTTTTTAATGTGCTGCTGGATTTGGTTTGCCAATATTTGATTGAGGATTTTTGCATCAATGTTCATCAGGGATATTGGTCTGAAATTTTCTTTTTTGTTGGGTCTCTGCCAGGTTTTGGTATCAGAATGATGCTAGCCTCATAAAATGAGTTAGGGAGGATTCCCTCTTTTTCTATTGTTTGGAATAGTTTCAGAAGGAATGGTACCAACTCCTGTTTGTACCTCTGGCAGAATTTGGCTGTGAATCCATCTGCTCCTGGGGCTTTTTTGGTTGGTAAGCTATTACTGCCTCAATTTCAGAATTTGTTATTGGTCTATTCAGGGATTTGACTTCTTCCTGGTTTAGTCTTGGGAGGGTGTATGTGTCTCAGAATTTATCAATTTCTTCTAGATTTTCTAGTTTATTCACGTAGAAGTGTTTATAGTATTCTCTGATGGTAATTTGTATTTCTGTGTGACCAGTGGTGATATCCCCTTTATCATTTTTTATTGTGTCTATTTGATTCTTCTCTCTTTTCTCTTTTATTAGTCTTGCTAGTGGTCTATCCATTTTGTTAATCTTTTCAAAACACCAGCCCCTGGATTCATTGATTTTGTTAATGGGTTTTTTGTGTCTTTATATTTTTCAGTTCTGCTCTCATTTTAGTTATTTCTTGTATTCTGCTAGCTTTTGAATTTGTTTGCTCTTGCTTCTCTAGTTCCTTTAATTGTGATGTGAGGGTGTCGATTTGAGATCTTTCTAGCTTTCTGATGTGGACATTTAGTACTATAAATTTCCCTCTTTTTTTTTTTTCTTTTTCAGAGTCTCATTCTGTTGCCCAGGCTAGAGTGCAGTGGCATGATCGTGGCTCACTGCACCCTCCACCTCTCGGGTTCAAGCAATTCTCCGGCCTCAGCCTCCTGGGTAGCTGGGACTACAAGTGCATGCCACCATACCCAGCTAAATATTGTATTTTTAGTAGAGATGGTGTTTCACCATGTTGGCCAAGATGGTCTCGATCTCCTGACCTTGTGATCTGGCTGCCTTGGCCTCCCAAAGTGCTGGGATTACAGGCATGAGCCACTGCACCCAGCCTACTAAACTTCCCTCTTACGCTTTACCTCGTAGTCATTCAGCAGTAAGTTGTTCAGTTTCCATGTAGCTATGTGGTTTTGAGTGAGTTTCTTAATCCTGAGTTCTAATTTGATTGCACTGTTGTCTGAGAGACTGTTCGTTATTTCCATTCTTTTGCATTTGCTCAGGAGTGTTTTACTTCTAATTTTGCGGCCAATTTTAGAATAAGTACTATGTGAGGTTGAGAAGAATGTATATTCTGTTGATTTGGGGTGGAGAGTTCTGTCTATTAGGTCTGCTTGGTCAAGAGCTGAGTTCAAGTCCTGAATGTCCTTGTTAATTTTCTGTCTTGTTGATCTGTCTAATATTGACAGTGGGGTGTTAAAGTCTCCCACTATTATTGTTTGGGAGTATAAGTCTCTTTGTAGGTCTCTAAGAACTCGTTTTATGAATCTGAGTGCTCGTATATTGGGTGAATGTATATTTAGGATAGTTAGCTCTTCTTGTTGCATTGATCACTTTAGCATTATGTAATGCCCTTCTTTGTCTTTTATGACCTTTGTTGCTTTAAAGTCTGTTTTATCAGAGACTAGGATTTCAATCCCTGCTTTTTTTTTTTTTTGCCTTCCATTTGCTTGATAAATATTCCTCTATCTCTTTATTTTGAGCCTATGTGTGTCTGCACGTGGATGGGTCTCCTGAATACCGCACACTGATGGGTCTTGACTCTTTATCCAATTTGCCAGTCTGTCTTTTAATTGAAGCATTTAGCCCATTTACATTTAAGGTTAATATTGTTATGTGTGAATTTGATCCTGTCATTATGATGCTAGCTGGTTATTTTGTCTATTAGTTGATGCAGTTTCTTCATTGGGTCAAAGGTCTTTACATTTTGGTATGTTTTTGTAGTGGCTGCTACCGGTTTTTCCTTTCCATATGTAGTGCTTCCTTCAGGAGCTCTTGTAACACAGGCCTGGTGGTGACAAAAATCCCTCAGCATCTGCTTGTCTGTAAAGGGTGTTATTTCTCCTTCACTTAGGAAGCTTAGTTTGGCTGAATATGAAATTCTGGGTTGAAAATTCTTTTCTTTAAGAATGTTGAATGTTGACCCCCACTCTCTTCTGGCTTGTAGGGCTTCTTCAGAGAGATCTGCTGTTAGTCTGATGGGCTTCCCTTTGCGGGTAACCTGACCTTTCTCTCTGGCTGCCCTTAACATTTTTTCCTTCATTTCAATCTAAGTGAATCTGACAATTATGTGTCTTGGGATGCTCTTCTTGAGGAGTATCTTTGTGGTGTTCTCTGTATTTCCTGAATTTGAATGTTGTCCTGTTTTTCTAGGTTGGGGAAGTTCTCCTGGATAATATCCTGAAGTGTGTTTTCCAACTTGGTTCCATTCTCCCCGTCACTTTCAGGTACACCAATCAACATAGGTTTAGTCTTTTCACATACTCTCATATTTCTTGGAGGCTTTTTTCATTCCTTTTCATTTTTTTTCTCTAATCTTGTCTTCATGCTTTATTTCATTAAGTTGCTCTTCAATCTCTGATATCCTTTCATCTGCTTGATCGATTCAGCTATTGATACTTGTATATGCTTC